>NC_000012.12:90585128-91210128 GCF_000001405.40 Homo sapiens
TACATAAAAAGCAAATATTACAAAAAAGAAATAGCTTCACTTTGCTCATAAATTTGTAATATTACATGAGTAAAAAGCAATTGAGCAGAAATATTCACTAAATTAATATGAGTCGATTAAAATGAGTAACATGTTATGCAAAGAGCATAGCTTGTCTTATTATATAAAGAGAATGAAGGTAATATTTGTATGCAAGAGAATAATAATGAAAATTCATTCTCAGATTTCACTATGTGCTTTAAGAGTGTACATATAAAAATGTAGCATGCATGAGGCACTAATTATTCCTTAAATATTCATTTGCATGAGTTTTAGTTGTTGGCACAATTGTAAAATTACCATTAATGCTTTTCTAAAGGTAATTTCAGATGTCAGCATTGGTCCAAGAAGATGCTTTGGGGTTAAAAAAACGCCATAGTATACAATCTACACATTATGTTTATAGAATTACAAAAAGAATCTGGAATAAATTATTCTTTGACATATCATTTCTCATGTTCAAAAAACATTATCTTATCTAGAGAAAATAATTACATGACATCACTGCATACTTTTTGCCTTTAACACTTCTTTTAATCTCCACCAACAGGCATCTATTGATTGCGTTGAATACATTATTGCATTAGATGACCTTTAATGTTCTTTCTGACACTGATAGTAGGTGATTTGACAATCTTCACTGTGGGTGGCTTCCCAGAGAACGCTGTATACACCTCTCTGAGAGCAATTATTATTAGCTTATTACATGTCTTTCTCCCTGAGGTAAATTGCAGTACAATTCACTAAACATTGCCTCTTCAAGTTACACCACACTCGTGCAGAATTATAGCTCAGCCTTATAGAACTGAAGAGTACAAATGCAACTTGGTTTTGCTGAAAGTTGTGGAAGGGAGTGCTGTGTATAATCTGAAAGAGAAGTTTGAGAGTCAGCACATGATTTGCTGTTTCCTTTACCCTTGCCAAATGATCAGACAGCCTGTTTTGTCAGCCTGGGTTTTGGAGTGCATTTGGAACAGAGTCTAGCTGCCTATAAATGGACATGTACTGTGAGATATATACAAGCTTTTTTTGTTTGTAAGTGACTAGGATTTGATAATCATCTGTTATGGCAGTATATTTGTCAGTTCTCACACTGCTAATAAAGACATACCTTATATAAAAGAGACTTACTGAATTCACAGTTGCACATGGCTGCGGAGGCCTCACAATCATGGTGGAAGGTGAAGGAGGAGCAAAGGCATGTCTTACATGGTGGCAGGCAAGAGAGCCTGTGCAATTGACCTTTTTTAAACCAGATCTCATGAGACTTATTCACTATCATGAGAACAGCATGGAAAAAAACAGACTCATGATTCAATTACCTCTCACTGGGTCCCTCCCACAACACGTGGAGATTATGGGAGCTACAATTCAAGATGAGATTTGTGTGGGGACACAGACAAACTATATCAGGCAGCAAAACTTATCATATTCTGACTGACACACCCTTTCTACAAATGATGAGATATCTGAGAGAAGGCCCACATTATTTCTTCCATTATTACCTTATCCCCTTCAACCTAAGCATCCCAAAACTGGTATGTAGTGAGTGTTCAGTAAGTGATAATTGATTCCAATAATGCAATGAATTTTTTGTCAGTCAGTATGCACAACAAGAAAGAGAATCAATCTTGCCTAATCCCCAAAGGCTTAAAATGTAGTTGAAGAGCTAGCACATCCAAAATACATTTTCTACTTGGCAAGTTGGTGTTGCTATTTACATTCAGACAAAACACAGGTCAGTCTATATTGAGCCGGTCAAGAAAAATTTCTTACTTGAGCTGAAACTGGAAACAAAAGGGACAGAGATGATCTGGGAGGAAGAAGGACGACAGCATTCATGTAAGAAGAAACTCATAAGCAAGGATGCAGAAGCATAAATATTAGGAAAAAAGAGTGTATTGTTTCCATAATAAAACAAAAACCAGAAAAGAAATTGCATGTGGTAAAGAAAAATAACAGTAAAGCAAAAAAAGAAAAACCAATTAACTCCATGTTGCTAATTTATTTGTGACTTTTCAGATTCATATGAGCTGTGCAATGATAACACGTGGATTCCCTGACAAGTTTTGCTTTTCAATAATTTTTCTGCAATTATACAAACATGGGTTTTATTCTGACAATTTAAGCTTTGATATATTTTGATTTATTGACTATCAGAGATAAATATTGGAGACAAATCAGTAATGAGCACAATATTTCAATTTTTAACAATTTAGTTAATTACCTGTGATTTTACTACCACATACTGCATCTACTCCATCTTGGTACCAACTAAAAAAATATTATGTAAGAATGACTTCTGTCACACTAGTTCTGTTTATACTTAACCATTCTGAACCCTATCACTGTGTTCTCAACTTGCACCTGACTGACCCATACCTGTGTTCCTCTAGCTCTGCCTTGGATCTTTGTTTTCAGGCTCTCAGATTTTATAATGTTATAAATCCCCTGTCACTAATCTTTAGTTCTCCTCTCACGTGTATGTGTGTGTGAGAGAGTGTATACATGTTGGAAAATTATACTACTTTCACTCGTTTCATTTTGTTGGTATATCTCACTCTGACGCATTTCTACAGTCTGGGTCACTACCTTTGCATGGCTTATGCAGAAGTAGGATCAGGACACTATAAGCATCAGGAAACTATAAGCATCACACCATGCATTCATGTTCATGTAGTTCTTAAATACAATGTAAAATAGTATAGAGAAGTGACCTTGGGCTTGAATTCTGGAGTCAGCGCCCGCCTAGGCTTGATAACTACTTTGCTACTTGCTAACTATGCATCCTTGAATCCTTGTGCATCCAAGCTAGTTATCATCTTTATGTTTCTATTTCCTCTTCAGTAAGAAATGTTTAATAATATTACTAACCTCATAGGATTGTTGTGGGGCTAACTGAAAAATTTAGCATAAAGTGCCTATTAGAGGAGTCTGGCACTTCCATATATTTACGATTCTTGATTAATTTGATCAAAGTTGCCAGTCTTGATCATATTCTTATAAAACAAAGACAAGTTCATTTGTAGGTCTGAAATAATTCATCTCAGAAAAACAATTATAGAGGTTCCACTCCGAGCAATATATCCTCGTCAATGAATCATGCTACTATATTTAACTCTTAGCCTACCAGCTCTTGACAGAAAGTTTCTTGTTTTGGAAATTGGAACTTTATAAATCTAGGGAATCTTTCCAAAATCTTTGTCTTTTTAGGGGATCTCACATAAGAAAAATCCAAAATCCCCATGCAGAAGAAGGTATGAGAACAGTTCTAGAAAGTTTATTGTTTAGCTATTTAGCTTTGCTTTCCAAAAATTTTCTTCTTTCACACATACACACTCATTCTGAAATTGTCCTTCATTGATCTCTTATTATGTGCTAATCTTCCAAATTATAAAATAATACTCAGAATTATCACAATTACATGTGTTCCTGGTGGTTCACATGATTATAATAATCATTTCATCATGCCACTAAAATATTAATAATCCAATGATTATAATCATCTTTCATTACTAATCACTTCATAGTCTACCACCTAACACCACATAATGTAACACAGAAAATGACAAAGATTGCTCTGGATTTCTTTTCCTTCCAGAAGGTTATTTCAGTGGTTTAAAAGGAAAACATATGTATGCTAACTGCACTGAAGCTAACTGTTCAAGTTCTCCTAGGGAGTTAATTTTTTATGTGACAATATGCCTATTATTAGTTCTTATATATTAGCCTTTAGTAAATAGTACTTATTCTGTCTGCATATCTTGACAATGATTTCTTCCCACATTTGCAGCCACCCACTGAGACAATCATTGCCACTATTCAAACACACAACAAACTAAGGTTTTATTACTTTAATTTTCCAAACAAATTATACTGTGCTAAATTACAACACATGGAAATAATTCTTAAAAGACAAAGAAAACAGCAGATTTTGCATTTTTATTAAATGAACTATCTGTAATTTCAAATTATGGCTTATATTGAGTATTGTCCAAACGTGCATACACATGTGTGACTCACTTTCAGCAAGCATCGAAGTTTTCTGAACCCTGATGAAATTAAATAAACTCTCTAAATTGTCCTCATCCTGGTGTTTTATACTCAATAAATTTGGACTCTAAGCAATAACTGATAATCACAAGGAATTTGCACTCTCCACTAGTGTACTTATGTTTGGCAATTTAAGCTTTATATATACTTACATATATGTCAGTAAAATTTGTAACTCCAAACTATAGAATGCACCTTCTATGTTTATTTTAGCACTGCAAAATAGCCTTACAAACATGAAAAAAATCTGTCATAGAGAATATTTTGTTACTTGAATTGTCACAGAACAACATTAGGTTAAGAGCTTAAATGTGCTCTAAAAGTTAACAGTGGGAGATTATACTAATATCAAAGAGCTCAAAGCAGGAAATGTCCTTTAACAGTTTCTGCATTTCTCCATGATATTCACGAGAACAGCTATGGTCCAGGAAAAGATGGCAAAGTACGCTGTCAAATTTTAGTTTAAAGAAATTATAAAGGCTGGGCACAGTGGCTTGCACCTGTAATCCCAGCACTTTGGGAGGCTGAGGCGGGTGGATCACCTGAGCTCAGGAGTTCGAGACCAGCCTGACCGGTATGGTGAAACCCCATCTCTACTAAAAATACAAAAAATTAGCTGGATGTGGTGGCGTGTACCTGTAGTCCCAGCTACTCGGGAGGCTGAGACAGGAGAATTGCTCGAACCTGGGAGGCAGAGGTTGCAGTGAGCTGAGATCACTACACTCCAGCTTGGGTGACAGAGCGAGACTCTGTCTCAAAAAAATAAAAAATAAAAAATAAAAGATTTTGTCAAGCATTATCATTTCCAGTCCCACTAATTTTCACAGTGTTTTAAGAAAGAAGCTCAGCTTTGGAAACAAAACAGTGGGAGCTTTTTAGGATACCAATTCAAATGCCACCCAGCTGAGTAATGATCTGGTTGTCCTTACTAAAGTTATTATTTCATGGTTGCTCAGTGAATAATGTCATTTAAAATGACCACATCTTTTAGTTCACTCCTATATGGACAAATGCCACCATTCAAACATCATCACCATGTTACCAGTTATTTCTGAGAAGCTATTGAACACTTCAATGCTTTATTCATGTTTAATAAAAGATAGAAAGACAGAGGGAATGGTTCAATGCTGTTGTTTGCCCTGTGAAAGCAATTGATTACTGCTAATTTTCCTGCCCCGGTGGTGTCCATTCAGTGGCCAATTTCACAAAATTTAGAGCAGCTGGTCTCAATTTTTGCTGTGCATGGAACTACCTAGGGAGCTTTTAAAATTATATAATACTGAGCTTTAACCCAAAGCTACTGAATAAGAATCTCCAAGAGTTATTGTCATGAAGTTACATTTAAACATACTCTCTAAATAATTTTATTGCAGCTGCACATGGACTGGCCTTTGGGATCCATTGACTTAAAGGATTCATTTTGAAATCAGCCTCAAACTGTATCTTTGATGCTTTCTAGCTGAATAATCTTCAAGTCCCAATGTTTTTTGAACTTCTTTATCAATAAAATGGAGATAGTATCCTTTTTTAATTGTTGTAAGGACTACATGAGAAACACAAGAAATCTGTCTAAACAGTTTATAGCATAGATTGTGGCAGAAATGGCTATGTGTTCACCAAAATTCATTTCCTTTTATTTATAGGGATACAGATAGATTACATTTTCTAGCCCACCTTTTGGTTAGTTGCGTTCATGTGATTAAGTTCAAGCCAGTGGAATGCAACAGAAGGAATGTGAACCACTTCTAGGTTGGGACCATAACGACCTCCACATGAAACTGTATGATCGTTTCCCAATCTGGCTGGTTGCAGGAGGTAGCCTACAGAGTCACCTCGAGATTCAGATATTGAACATGGGAATTTCACAAGATGAAACAAACGATCGTGGGGAAAGCCAACCACCAATAACCTTCATTTGTGTTAAACATCTATAAATTGGAGTTTATTACAGCAGTTAGTACCCCATGTTTTCTGTTGAATTCTTTTAATTTTCTTTTGAAATGACAGTAACATTTGAAAGACCGTTTGTCTTCATTTATCTGTCCATTACGATATGTCTGATTTATCAGTTGTGGAGATTGCCAGGAATTCCAATGCTCACAACAAACAATGAGCACCTTGCAGATTCCTGAGGCAATAATAATGATCCAGTGTGTCAGGGTTCTCCCCTTAAAGGAGATCACCAGTCACCAGGCACATGATCCCAGGGCATCTGCCTTTCAAAATTAAAAAAAGCAAGACAAATTTACACATAGTGGAATATTATTAGGCAATTTATTGGAATTCAAGACACTACAAGACACTACAGGTACTCACCATACACTATGTCATTTATGTAAAAAACTATTTATGAGAAGTTGCTCCTGAGGCCACAGTGAAAATACTTCTCTCTTCATTGCTGTTTTGGATTTTATTTCTCTCCTCCTCTACCTACTATTATACGCAGCTCTTACTTTCATATCAACTCTAACATTCTGATATTACATGGGGCTGATCCAGGAGGACGACACTTTGGGAAGGACAGGAATGATGTGAAAGAGAAGGTACAGGGAAAAATAACATAAATATTAAAAAATAATTTCGAGGCCTCCTCTCTCATCTCTAAGGTCTCCGGGTAGCATGTTCAATGCCCTATACTGTTTTCCTCAGTTCACTCACATAGCTTCAACATTATCTTACCTCCTACTTTCCTTCAGGCTCAGGTCATTTGATGTAATTCCATAGAGAGACACAATCTCTGGTTTTCACCATTTTGTCAGGGGTAATTAAATATTAAGTTATTTTATACTCAAAGGCCCATTTTAGCAAACCTCTATGATTTGTTTTTTCCTATAGGATCTAAGTTGGAGGTCACAGATATAGTTCATCTCACTTGCTAACTAATAAATCATTAGTGACTCTTTGGAGTGCTATGTTTAGAAAGGTTTAAGACCAATGTGTTGTCTCAGCAAGAAAGAGCCTCATCAATTAGCAGTGTCTTTTGCAGTTGCAGAAAGAGAAGCAATGCATTCATGCCAGAAGTTTGTCTACTGAGGTGTGACACCAAAAATAATAAAAGGATATTAAGAATTATTACTACAAAAATAAAATACAAGTGAGCAATTATTTTTGTCTTTAGGAATGGTAAGGTGTAGGCACGCCTTCACAGAATTAAGAAAGAATCATGCTTCAGATATCCTTTTGAGATCCAAGCAAATTAAAAACCAAAGAAGTCACTTTGGGAGGCCAAGGCGGGCAGATCACAAGGTCAGGAGATCGAGACCATCCTGGCTAACACGGTGAAACTCTGTCTCTACCAAAAATACAAAAAAAAAAAAAAAAAAATTAGCTGGGCGTGGTGGCGGGCGCTTGTCGTCCCAGCTACTCCAGAGGCTGAGGCAAGAGAACGGCGTGAACCCGGGAGGCGGAGCTTGCAGTGATCCTGGGCTACAGAGGCTCTGTCTCAAAAAAAAAAAAGAAAAAAAGAAGAAGAAGAAAAGAAAAAACCAAAGAAGTACAAAGCAGTATTATGATTATGGTGATATATTTTAAATGCCTAAGTTGAACAATTAAAGGTCGATAAATGATATATTTCAATCTTTTCAATATTGTATTTCCATGACTATGTGCAAAAACTTATTTGACGATGAAAGTAGAAGTCAAAATTTGTGACCCTTTATTCATGGAGGCTTGGCCCAATTGGCTCCCTGAATTCCACCACAAAAATGGGCCATGTAATCAGTGTGATGTGTTTCCTTCAGTGGAAGAGAGAATGGGAAATACTTGTGAGAAGGAGGGATGAAAGAGTGAAAGTGGGACCATCAGGTCAATGCCTAAAGCAAGGGAGGTGACTGGAAAATGAATTCAAGGTGGAGGCACATGGTATCTGGGATCCCTGAGCCCCCAAATTCCTTAGACCTTTCCTCCTGGTCTCCCTCCCCGGTGTTTAATATTCCTTGGGTTCTATTTGATCAAGGATTTAGCCACCTCAGCTGCTAACGTTCAAGTTACCTGCTGAATCCTTGACCGCAAATGCCATCAACCAGTACCAGCATTTTGTATCTGGAAATATCCTACTTCTTGTGCTTGACAGAGACAGAGGATGTGGCACAGAAGCCCCTGACCCATTGCTTCAGGAATGTCAACTCAAATGGTATTGTAGAGTGTTTTTCTGGTAGTCCTTCATACTTTGAACATAGTTCTAACCCTTGGACTCATGATTAATGTAATAGAATTTCTGGGCTGAATGGATAATAGCCACTGTATATAACATTGTGGTAAAATATCTGTCAATTTGCAAATAATTGACTTCCAAAAAAAATTTGCGTTGCACCAATTTGTAGCTCATCTCTTTGCTTTCTTTTTTCAGTTATGTAATGGAATTGAATGAAGCAAGTGTCAGATCTACATCTCTACAAACACTCACTTTATCAGTTCAGAGAATAAAGAGATGAATTTAATAATGCCACTGGACACTTATACTCTATCGGATCCTAATAATTTCTCACACTAATGAATTCTTCTATCAACTTCATGTTAATCAAGAGGAGACAGAGCCAAGAAGTGAGTAATTGCTTACTGAATTGTGAAAGCTGGGATGATTTAACTACAGGTAAGTACCACAAAGAGAATGTTTATAACAACCTTTTGTGTTTCATGTACTCAAATATCTTTTTGATGAAAGGGTGACAGCAAAAGGAGCTATTTTTGAGACATACTCTATAATTAGAGTGAGCTAAACATGTCATTTGACTTTATTGTGATTTTTCTTATGATTTGGGAACTTAGAAAATAAAATGCTGTGTACAATATGAAATCATTTCTGTAAAATTTAAAGCACACACTTGTCCATGGTACTGACATATGTTGTAAGAGTGTAAAATCATGCACAAAAAATGCATGCTGTATCAGACTATGCCTATGTCTGGGGAGACAAAAGAATGACATGATGGGCAAGACTTTTGCTGTCAGCTGTATTTACTTTTTTAAAGACGAGATGCAAATGTGGTAAAATACTAGCATATGTTAAACCTATTATATCTTTTATGTTTTATATACTAAAATATTTTAATAGATATTTAAAATATATTTTTAAAAAATGTTTATAAGATTACAATGTCAGAAGAAAGTTTGCTTAACTGTTTTCATACTTTTAGGCAGTAATTATTACATGTGAACTCGATTACCCAGTTGTTTAGTTAAAAAAAAATGCTACTAGCCTTTTAGAGTTAATTGTGAGTTGTATAATCTAATTTTGACACTGTCAAAGTTTTGACTCCACTTCATCTCCTTAATAAGGTGCCATTTGTTACCTAATATAAAATTCATACATTTTAAATATGAATTTTAACAATTTTCTTAGTATTTAAATTTAGAAATAAGTGATCTCACTGTGAAATATACATATTAGAGAACTTCATGCTACCTTATATTAAGTAAGATTAGAATTGACGGAGATGAAAGTGAATTGTCATAATTGTATCACTGCCTCATTTAGACTTGCTCATATTTTATATTTTATAAAATTATTCTGATTATTTGGAAAGAAAACTGGTGAATGCATGGAATGGATAGAGGAAAAATTTTTCTCTTTCTTTTTTTGAGAATAGATTTTAGTTAGCGTAGAAAATTTTCATACACTAAAGTATGAAGAAACACATTAAAATTTGGTACCTGAATTTCTGAGGACAAGGACTAAGATAGAAAATAAAATAAAATAATATTAGAATTTTCATTTATATTAATGATGATCACAGAGGGCCTCTAGCCTCCCAATTAGCCAACAACTCTCTAGGATTTTTTTTTTTAAGTTCAGAGTTAAACATAACACTGTATCTTGAAGTCTACTAAAATAGTGCTTTATTTTTTCACTTAAAATTTTAGGCTAGATGTTATAAAGCACATTCAAATGCAGTCCTTAAGCTTCCTACTGTTCACAGAACTTAAATGAAGGTTGTTTTTAGAATTCCACTTATTTACTACTTTGCTATAAGCAACTGATCAACATCAACACAGATTTAATAAGAACCTTAATTTCACATAAGACTGTATACGATGAAACAGAAGGAAAACAATTAGAGCAATTATCATTGCCTACATCATCCTGATTATCATTATTATAATGATTGACATTTACACTCTTCACAGATTACAAAGTGCTTTCATCTTCAATGCTTCTCTGTACCTCACGATCACCTGGTAAATAGGTATAACACATATTATCTGTTCCCACTCGAGCTGGAAAAGCTGGCAAATACATCATTGTCTCTATGTTTCCTGGCATTGTAAGAGACAAATGAAAAAGAGGGATATATTATGGGAGGGAGGAAAGAAGTTAAGAAGATGTGCTACTGGCTGAACAATGGGACTATGTCTATTTTAAGATGATTCTCCACAGGTTTCTAACATATAGTTAATAATAGTTTCAATAAACATACATGGGAAAATATACACCTTGTACTTATTATGAAAACACTTATATTTATATAATAGGGGAGGCAATGTTATGATAATAAATTTGCATGTATCCCTCACCAATCTTGTTCTATTTCCCCACACACACTCCACATAACACAAACTGGATAATTTTGAAGCAAATCTTAGATATCATATTATTTCATTCAGGAAAATGCAAATACACATTATAAAGGAAGCTAACTCCATTTGAATTGAATGTGAATTTAAACAGAAGAAGTAATTATTTGATTCAATTACTCAAAATTAATATTTTTATTTGGAAATTATTCATTTTCAAACTCCTGGATGAATTTGGCCGACTCTTGCATGAGGAATACATTCTACCTGAAATGTGATAATCTCATAAAATATCATAAACTCTCCCTGAGGCTAACTATAAATCTTATATATATATATATACGTATATATATACACATATATACATATATATGCACATATATACATATATTCACACATATATACACATATATACATATATACACACGTATATATATACACACATATATACACGTATATATATGCATATATATATACATACACACATATATACACGTATATATATGCATATATATATACATACACACATACATATATATATATATTTTTTTTTTGAGACAAGGTCTTGCTCTGTCACCAGGCTGGAGTGCAGTGGCACCATCTCAGCTCACTGCCACCTCCACTTCCCAGGTTCAAGCGATTCTCCCACCTCAGCCTCCCAAATGACTGGGAGTATAGGCATGTGCCACCATGCCCAGCTAATTTTTATATTTTTAGTAGAGACGAGGTTTCACCATGTTGACCAGGATGGTCTCGATCTCTTGACCTTGTGACCTGCCCACCTCAGCCTCCCAAAGTGCTGGGATTACAGGCGTGAGCCACCACGCCTCTTGTATCTTTTTATTTGTCTAAAATCTAGCTTTGGGGGAAAAAGGGTTTAAATGTCCCTTTGATAACTGACAATATGGATAAATTGATATAAACATGATAAAATAATATTAGAGTTTTCATTTATATTAATGATGATCATTCACAGAGGGCATCTAGCCTCCCAATTAGCCAACAACACTCTGGGATTATTTTTTTAAAGTTCAGAGTTAAAATAAACATAACACTGTATCTTGAATAATATTTGATAGATGACCACAGTAAACAGTCATTATACTGTTTTAATGAAAAGAACTACTGTTAGCCAAGACAGCTAGCTTTTAATACTGCCTGCCAGAACTAGCTTTGTGATCTTGGGCCAGTCAGGTAACTTTTTGGATCTTTTATTCTCGTTAATAAAATTGATTATGTTCTATATTACTTCTAAAATGAATAGATATCATAGTATCCAGCTCTCAGTTGTGTTATTATATCTCAAAAATACTTTGTTTCTTACTTCCATTATATATATATACATATATATTCATTATTTTCAGACCAGGCTTCTTTCTTCAGCAGTAACTCTTATTTCATTCAAATAAGCTCTATTCCCTATGCAAGGTAGTTCTGCCAAATCTAGAAAAGGCACAACGATGAACTGAAAGTTGGCAGTAATTAGAGAGGCAAACAAATTTTCAGGAACATAACTTGAATGGCAAAAGCAAAACAATTTTATATCTATCAGGCCTGTAGAATTACATAATCTTAGCTTCCTTAAAATGTAGGATGCAAATTGGCCCTTACTAACTTATTTACTAATAACAAATTGTAAGCATCTATGGCATTTTACTTATTTTTGAAGTTGATAAGTCAGCTTCTTTGTAGTAGACATTTTCTAATTATTCCTTGTTATTGGCCAAAAAAGTTGCCCTGAATGTATCAGGCCATCCCTTAAAACATCAGAAATGGTACTTTAGTTATTGAGAAATACATATTTGATTATAACCATTGGTAATTGACACATACATACACACATATATATTTTATATGTATATATACACACACTATATATACACACACATATAATAGTTAAACATTTAAAATACATTTTCTCACTGCTGTAATATAATGTGAAATATACATGTTAAAAATATAGAGAGATTATTTTTTAGAATTGTTTCAGAGGTTGTTTTTAGAACATACACATATTTAAGAATCTGTTCAGTATACTAAAAAGAAGGAGAAGCAAACTGCAGCATTGTCTGCAAGTTAATTTTAAGAAAGAAGCTCACAAAAACTGTTACACACTTTCCTTGTTAATATAAGCAGTAATGCTTCCTGAGGGTCCTTGAGCGTGTGTTTATCAAATATTTATTTAACACATAACAAAACATAAAAAGAAATTTGAAAATGCTTTTATTGCCCTGTATAAGATTAGTTTTCACTCATATGAATTTTACTTGATCTAGCAATTAGTTCTTGCCAAAATCATTAGGCCTTGACATATTTTTCTGTATGGCTAAGAGTATTGCTACCAAATTTTGTTTCCTAAGAGTTAAGGATAGAGAATTTAAAGATTAGTGAAGCCAGGATTGCTACAAATTCTTTATGCACCTATAACTAAAAACCTCAGAGATGAAATGTTTCTTCTTGGACTACCAAACAGACAGATGCATACATATACTCATAGGCGCATGCACACACACACACACACACACACACACACGCACACACACACACTTTTCCCACTGTAATTCAAGGCATAATTGGAACAAGTTGTTGCCTTTGAAAATAAAAAATAAAAAGTACTTTGAAAAAACATTCTTCTTAGACTTCACCTTGTTTCTACCATCCAGATACAATACATAATAAAATAAAGAATGACTAGGAAATTTTGAGAGACTTGAGGGTGTCTCATAATAGTTAATATGAGTAAATATAGTATTAACTTTAGTCTTTAAGAACTGTAAGACATGACTTTAACATCTTACTATTCAAGATGGGTCTATTGAACTTCTGTGGTAAAAGGTTTAAGAGACCTTAAACCTGTTAAGGCTCTTAAGCTTAAAGGTAAAGACTTTAAGAGACTTTTGCATTCATATCTGTTTTATCAGTCAGCCGTCTTAATCAATTGCATCTTTGGTATAACTTACTGGATAATTTTTAAAAAATTATTTTAGCTATATGTGTATAAAATTGCTGTATACAAAATATACCTTTAGACTTAATTTTTCTATAAGAGGCAAAAGCGAGGATATATTATAATAAAATTACATACCTTTTTAAAGAAAAGTGTGATGTTGGCTTTTATTTATGAGATTTTTTAAAAAAAACCTTTATGCTTATTATTTCCTCTTCAATTATTTAAGGTTAAATTGCATTTTAGAACTCAAATTTGAAACTTCTCCCTGAGTTTCAACCCAATTTTCGGGCAATGAGAACATATTAAGGCTCTCAGTGTGCTACAATAATATTTAATCATATTATAATTATAATAACTTAAGGGATACATCAAAATGTCTCTTTGGAAAAGGTATAGTAGGTTGTGGTAAATAATGATATTTTTTGTAACATACGTGGGAATTTCTTTCTTTCTTTCTTTCTTTCTTTCTTTCTTTCTTTCTTTCTTTCTTTCTTTCTCTCTCTCTCTCTCTTTCTTTTCTTCCTTCCTTCCTTCCTTCCTTCAGCACAAGTGTATAGAACATAAAAATATTTAAATAATCTTTTTATGGGAATGCAAAGAAAGTGGTAGAGGGCAGAGTTGAGGTATCTAGTTCATAAGCTGAACTTGCAACACTTGCCTGGAAGTCTCCCTTACCAAAGATACAACGTTATTTAAAAATCTATTGATTACAGAGCTTAGTAAATTAAAAAAGTCTACGTATTAGTCCGTTCTCACACTGCTATAAAGAACTAACTGTGGCTGGGGAATTTATGAAGAAAAGAGGTTTAATTAACTTACAGTTCCACAGGCTGTACAGGAAGCATGGCTGGGAGACCTTCAGAAACTTAAAATTATGGCAGAAGGTGAGGGGGAAGCAAGCACGTCTTCACATGGCTGTCAGGAGCAGTTGGAGGGAGGTGCTACACACTTTTAAACAAGTAGATCTCCAGATAACTCTATCACAAGAACAGCAATGGGGAGCTCTGCCCCCACGATTCAATCACTTCTCACCAGGCCCCTCCTTCAATACTTGCAATCACAATTCGACATGAGATTTGGGTGGGGATACAGAGCCAAACCATATTAGTCTGTCATATTCATGGTGGCTGTGATGGGTTTGTTGCCAGCCAATGGCAAATTGCTTGCATAAATACATTAATGACATATTTCAGTGGCCACATTTCTCCCTCTTGGGACCTAGAAGAGCCTGTGTGTTAAGTTGTTCTTCAAGTTTAGTCCTACTGGTATGGTCTGAATGTTTGTGTTCCCACCAAATTCATATGTTAAAAACCTAATCACCAATGTGTTAGAAGGTGGTATTTTGGAGCGGTGATTAGGTCATGAGGGTGGAGCCCTCATGAGTGGGATTAGTGCCCTTATAAAACAGGCTCCAGAGAGCTGCTTTTGCCTCTTCCACCAGGTGAGGACACAGCTAGAAGGTGCCATCTATGAACCAGAAAACCAGGCACTGACATATTCGGTGCCTGGTGAGCATAATATGCCAGTGCCTTGATCTTGTACTTCCTAGCCTCTAGAACCATGAGAAATACATTTCTGTTGCCTACAAGCTACCCAGTTTATGGTATTTTTATAGCAGTCCAAACAAACTAAGATACCTACGTTCTCCATTCTTCCTTTTCTCACAATATTTCTTTACCTCTGAAACCTGATTTAAATGAACATAAATACGTAGCTTGAATCAAATAGCCAAAAGGAACTAATCTGAGGGAAACATGTACTGGGAAACCAGCCTCATTCCTTTGACTTGATTACCTTCATAAACCATTCATTCTAGCAGAACTATTACTACTAACAGCAAAACTAACTACCTACTTTATTTATTTTACGGAGTCCTTGAATTAATTCAGTTGCCTGGCCCTGGGAAAGGTTGCAGTTGACCATGAACTGGTAGACAGGCAAATGTATAACATGCTTCCTCTGAAAGGTTTGCTTAAAGAAGATCAACTTCCTAGATTTGAAGAAAAGGTATGTTAAAATAACGAGAAAAAAGAAAACCTATATTGTAGCTACACTGTGAAGTAATTGGAATAATTGAATAAGGATAAGAAATGTAAGCATTCTCTTTAGTAGACTACCTCCTATACCATTCTGTACTTAAAGCAGTGCATTCCCATTGTGTACATGGACACTCTTCAGAATGGAGTAAGGAAAACAAACCCCACACACTTGGATAGCACCCTACTCTTGCTATTTTTCTTAGCAGTGAGCTCCCTTCTTTAGAAAAGGAAAATAAGAGCCAAGATAATGAAAATACAAAAGGGAAAATGTCATGCTAGGTTAGGTTAGTGGTTTTCATCTAGTCCCCATTTTTTTCAAAACATAGGATGCATGTCCCTGGTAGTCTAAGGTCACACACACACACACACACACACACAAACCACGACATTAAATAATAGTGACTTACACGGGGAGGAATATTCAATTTTATTTTATCTTATTTCTTGTATTGAACTCATAAATAATACTTGTTTTTTTTATGTCTTAAATTTTTGGCATATTCTGCTAACCTCTCTTAAATATTTGCCACTTGTCCTTTATAATACTGAAAGTAGACTTCGGCTTAGAACCTTTGGTAGACAACAGTATCTGGTTACAATTTAATAAGTTTTAAAGTTATAATTTGTTTTTAATTGTAATTTTCTATTTACAGTGATGATATAAAATCATCTTTAAAATAAATAAGTTGGGGCTGGGTGTGGTGGCTCACACCTGTAAGCCCAGCACTTTGGGATGCCGAGCTGGTGGATCACTTGAGGTCAGAAGTTCAAGAGCACCCTGGCCAACATGGTGAAACCCCCTCTCTACTAAAAATACAAAAATTAGCCAGGCATGGTGGCTTGCATCTGTTATCCAAGCTATTTGGGAGGCTGAGGCAGGAGAATCGCTTAAACCCAGGAGGCAGAAGTTGCAGTAAGCTGAGATTGTACCACTGCACTCCAGCCTGGGCAACAGAGGGAGACTCCATCTCAAAACAAAAACAAAAACAAAAACAAAAACAAAACAACAACAACAACACTTTGGGAGGCAGGTGGATCACGAGGTCAGGAGTTCGAGACCAGCCTCACCAACATGGTGAAACCTCATCTCTACTAAAAATGCAAAAATTAGCTGGGTGTGGTGGCACACACCTGTACTCCCAGCTACTCAGGAGGCTGAGGCAGGAGAATCACTTGAACCTGGGAGGCGGAGGTTGCAGTGAGCTGAGATCACACCATTGCACTCCAGCCTGGGTGACACAGTGAGACTCTGTTTCAAATAAACAAATAAATAAGTTGGATAGAGAGGAGTTCAATAAACTGTCAACATTATATTGACTCTTTCTTCCAAAATGCTGAGTTTTGAAGATGTGAGATAAGAAAAGTACCTTACTACCAGAATTACTTTTAAAAAGTAAACATTAAACAGTAAAGAAAGATAAGAAAAATAATCTCTTAGTCAATACTAATTATTTCATGACTTAGAAATCCTATACTATGTTATTTTTTTAAGACTGGAGGTGAGCTTTTTTACAGTCTAATTAAAGATTCTAGTTAAGAATCTCAAGATTTGTAACTTATATGTCCAAAGTCCTAAACTTCTCTGTGTCTGGTACTAAATACTTAAGTTATCTGTCACATACATTCTTTCTCCTTCCACAGCAACTTTCAGTCTATCAACTATCTGAAGCCTCTACAGGCAGAATGAAGAAAGTTTGAAATAGTGAAGTTCAGGAATAATACAGTCCATTAATTAAGTCATGAGAAAAGTCAATCAGTATACATTGAATCCCTCTTTGTACCAAGCTCTTTGATATTAAATGAATACACATGTAAAACATATGTGATCTCAAGGATATAGTCGTTATAAAACAAACTACGTTTGACTTACAAATGCATTTTATTTTTCAAGGCAAGTGATAAGGAAAACTAAGTATTATTTTTAACGCTCTTTTTCCGAAGGACATGGTATCTCAAATTCATAGCTATCCACCATTCTCTATTTATTACACCTGATCCTCTAGTAGGTTGTATCATCTGTCTGCACCTAAAGGCATTAAACTGGTGACCCCAGATTTAAAATAGAATGGGGAGACAATTAAACAAATTGAATAAATTGATCCGCAAGAACACTAGGTACTGTGGGAACATGCAGAAGGGCGTCCTACTGACCTTGGTGTAAATGAAGATGGATACGTTTTGAAAAACAAGTAACTGTTATCCCACTTGAAAAGAGAATAAAAAGTGGATCAGGAAAAAGGCAACAACACATATAAAGGAAGAGCATCTTGAGGCATATAAGATGATACAGCACTACAATTAGTAAAGCTTTATGAGAATAAAGGACAAAAGATCAAATGGAGCTTGGTGGAGGGAGTCTAAAGCCAGATTAAGAAAGTTCTTTTATTTTATATTTATTTTATAGTAAAGATTGGGATTTATCTTAAAAATAAAGGATGGATACTAATATGCTCATATATTAATATAGTCATGTTTTCCCAATTTACACCTAGCTTGAAGATAATCAAGGGATTTGCAATGACAATATCTACTGTTCTAGGCCCAATCCAGTTTGATTTGCAAGATTAGGTTCTCTTAGCCCTGCAGTTACTTGTGGTTTCTGAATTAGTTTCATAGTCTCTCTGGGCATCTGCTCTTCTGCGTTTTTCTTTTCTGGTATCCTTAAAGAGATTTCATTAAGGAATAATGATTACCTCAGATACCTTGGCCTCTAAGTTGCTCCTTTACACTAAAACTCCAGCAGCAGGATCAAAGGTAGATTAGCTAAAGTTCAAAGTGATTGTATCTCACTCTTGTACTCTCTTTCTTCTCTTCCTCTAGTTTTCTTCCTATTTTCTTTCCCTACCTACTATTCATGGAGAACTTTTTTCTACTTTTGCAATCAGTTAAGTGCTCTTCCAAGACACAGCATTGCAAAAATTGAACCGGGGTGGGAGTAAGGGGGGAAAACACACATACACACACATGCTGTCAAAACCAAGAGACTACATGATCCATTATAAAATAAAATATGCAGTTTTTAAAATATGTTTAAGTTATTAATTAAAATTCCATAAAATGTAGATTATTATTTTTCTCCCACAGAATATGTCATATCTCTGATAACAGGTAGAAATAGGGCAGTCAATCCTTTCTGCGTGAGGTTTCAATAATTTATTTTGCCAATTGGCTTAGGGAAATTCTATACACAATTGTAATGAGTTTTTGTAACCTAAATAAAAGATTAATAAGAATTAGGAAAACCATCACTTATAAGTGCTTGTCACAGCTCCCGAAAGTCATCTAGAAACTTACAAAATGTATGAGCTTCTTCTTCGTTTCAGAATAATGTTTCATTTAAATCAATGTAATCTAAATTTCCACTTTCTTGGTTGAAATCTGTTATTGCCTTCCTATAAACTTTAGGATAAACTAAAAATTCTAATCAAAACATGTAAAGTTCTAATAACTCACTGATATGGTTTGACTGTGTTCCCATTTCAAGCTAGGAAGTAACTAACTTGCTTTTGATTTTATAGGCTCATAGATGGAAGGGACTTGCCTTATCTCAGATGAGACTTTGGACTGTGGACTTTTAAGTTAATGCGGAAATTAGTTAAGACTTTGGGGGACTGTTGGAAAGGCATGATTGGTTTTGAAATGTGGAAATATGAGATTTGGGAGGGGTCAGGGGCAGAATGACATTGTTTGGCTGTATCCTCACCCAAATCTCATCTTGAATTGTAGCTCCCATAATTTCCGCATGTTGTGGGAGGGAACTGGTAGGAGATAATTGAATCGTGGGGGCGGTTTCCCCCATACTGTTCTTGTGGTAGTGAATAAATCTCACGATATCTGGTGATTTTATGAGGGGTTTCCTCTTTTGCTTGGTTCTCATTCTCTCTTGTCTACTGCTATGTAAGACCTGCCCTTCACCTTCTACCATGATTGTGAGGCCACCCCAGCCAATGTGGAAGTGTGAGTCCATTAAACCTCTTTTTTAAATTAGCCAATCTCAGGTATGTCTTCTTTGTGAGCAGTGTGAAGATGAACTAATACACTGACGTATTCATTCATTTATCTATCATTTAATGAACATGTATTAAGAACCTAGTAAATGTCATGCACTTTACCAGGTGCATTGTCCATCTGGTTTCTTCCTAACTTTTAGGCTTTTATCTTGCCATATGTCCACTCCATTCTACATGACAGCCATCCTCACCCCCACTTGCAGTTCCCCTGATATGCCCAGCTCAATCACACACCCATATCTTCCCTATACTGTTTCTGTGACAAGGATGCCCTTTACATCTCATTTATGTAGCTCAATGCTTCAACAACATATGTGATCTTTGAAATGAAATGGAGGATTTTTAAAAATACATATTCCAGATAACCAATCTTTATTATTTTGATTCACAGACCAGTAGATCTGTGGTGGGACTTATGACTGTCATTATTTCTAAAAGGTTTCACAGGAAATTGAGATAATAATTTCATTTTGAAACATTTGACCAATTAATACCTCTTTAATCTTTAAGGCTAAAATTAGGTACCACTCCTCATTAAAAACATTAGTTGACCTCATGTTTACTTAAGTGACCATTTTTGCATTCAATAATGGCACTTGAGCTCCTTGAACTGTGTTTATATTTTAGTTTTGTTTTTGTTTTTTTTTTTGAATTTTTTTCCTAAACTGTGAGGAACTCAATTATCTCTTCATTTTATCCTAATTGATATGCAGTTCCAGGCATAAGAAGGCTATGTCAATATTTGTTAAATGGATGAATAAGCCTACAATATATTTTTATATACCTTAAGAATATCTTTATTATTATTATTATTATTATTATTATTATACTTTAAGTTTTAGGGTACATGTGCACAACGTGCAGGTTTGTTACATATGTATACATGTGCCATGTTGGTGTGCTGCACCCATTAACTCGTCATTTACATTAGGTATATCTCCTAATGCTATCCCTCCCCCCTCCCCCCATCCCACAACAGGCCTGGGTGTGTGATGTTTAAAAAATAATGAAGGCTTTTCAGTATCTAGCCAAATATTACCAACTTTTGTGGAATAGAAGTACAAAGCTCACCAAGATATCACATGTAGTATAAAATCAATCATTTATTTTTACTACATACTAACTATGCTTTTATGAGGGTAGAATTGAGTTACAAAGGAAAAACTTCATACTACTCATGTTATTTCATTTTCATATGCATCTTAACACATTAAGTATACTATCTTTTACTCTCCAGTTTATTTGCTTGGAGTGTCTTAATATCCATGTTAAAATTCAGGCCACAGACTGAAAGACTAATGCAGTGTACATAAAGGACAATGAATTAGCAACCAGCATATATAAAGAAGTAAAAATCAACAATAAAAAGGCAAATAACCCAAACCCAATAGTAATAAGGGAAATTTACCTTAAAAACCAGAATGAGATGTCAGTTCACACATTTAAATTAAAAATCAAGACCAGGCACATGGCTCACACCTGTAGTCTCAGCACTTTGAGAAGTCGAGGTGGGAGAATTGCTTGAGCCTTAGAGTTAAAGACCAGCTTGGGCAACATAGAGAGACCTCATCTCTAAAAAAATAAAAAAATAAAAAATAAAAGGAAATCTGTTTTTTTTGTTTGTTTGTTTTGTTTTTCAGCAAAAGTATACATCAAAACATCCAGCAATGTCAAGTGCTAGAGATAATGTGCACTCCTAGGAACTTCCGTACACTTTGGATGGCAGTGTAAAGTGTCACAACCATTCTGGAGAACAATTTGGAAAGGTCCAGAAAACTTGAATATGTTCCTATCTCACAACTCAGCATTTCCACTGCTTAAGAAAATTTTGCTCATGTACACAAGGAGATATAAACAAAATATACAAACCAGTATTGTTTATAACAACAAATTTTGAAATGCCATCAATAATAGCATGGATAAACAATTTGAAATATATTACACAAGACTGGACACTCTAAAACAGTTACACAAATCACCTAGTGTCAATCCTGTCAATGTGCACAAACTTCACAAACATATTAAATAAAATCAAATTGCAAAAATTTCATACTATGAAAGCACAGGTAAAAATGATAATGAATCTATATGCAGAGAAGGAAATAAAACTGCTTTCCAGCAGCGTATACAACAGAGAGTCAAATTGATTTTAAATCTCCTTGATATATTTTAAGTTACATGTATATAGGCCAAATAAATTTTTGTGACATCTCCAAGCCATCAATACTATTTTCAGCAGCACAAAAAACAAGCTATTTTATGAAGAATCCCATCAAAGCTATGTGTTTTCCGTTCTCCCTCAGCTTTGCTGTGAAAAGTAGGACTCTCCAAGCCATAAAACTTTTATTACAACAGTTTTTATTTTTGCAACACCTAAGTTGTTCAAGAAAATTAAAACCTAAATATCAAGTCAAGTCATTCACAGAAAAAATTAAGAAAAGCATCTTGTGTGTGTGTGCAGAGAGATTGACTGTTTTATTCTTTTTGGAAAGTTAATTACCCATTTATATTTAACTAAACCTAGAAATTAAAAAAAAAGTTATACTCTTTTAGTAAGTTTTCTTTGTCAAAAGCAGTGAAAATTATGTTTCTATACATTATTATGATTATGTTAATATTTATTAATAAACATATTAATGTTTATTATAGAGTAAACAAATGCTTTATAGTAACAAGAATTAAGAGATGAACATCAATTTACTGATTTTTGAATTTTGGCTGGCCTTGCGACATCCTTTAACAAATGGAATGTACCAGAAACTATGTTGTATAAGTTCAGGAGCTATGGTCTCTAGAGGCTTTGCAGTATTTGCCTTTACTACTCTTAGAAGGCTGCTCTAACATCACTAGACAAGGAAGTTGGTATAGTCTACTAGAAGATAAGTGACCACTTGGAGAACTAAGTTGTCACAAAGGAGACAGCATCAACTGCTGGACAGGTGAGTGAGGCCACCTAGTACCTTACTGCCTAGTTTACCTCCAGGAGTCATGTGAGGGAACCCAAGTAAAGCAGCAGGAGGATCACCTGTTTAAACCATTGAGTTTTGGTGTCGTTACTTTTGACCAATAGTTAACAGATACAGAGATAGTACCTAAAAGTTGGGAGCTACTATAACAAAACTTTAAAATAATTGCATCATTGACATTGGGACTGGGTGGCAGGAAGAACCCAGAGAAGCAGTGATAAATCAGTTAGCAAAGGCTAGGAAAATGGCAAAAGGGCTAGGGTTTTTATTAAGCCTTCTGAAATATTTAAATTGGTGCCTTATAAATTTTCTCAGTTTTCCAAATGAGATCTAAGAATCTTGAGGGCATTTCCTTCAGCAATCTCATACACAGACCAAGATAGGGATCTGCTGCAAAATTAATTATTGATGTGGCTTTTGGAATGTGCGGTGAATTAGGGAGCCAGCAAAGTTTTAAGAGAGTGGTGTCAACAAAACCCCAGCTATCTTGAATTTAAAGATAAGAGATTGCTAACACTGAAAAGAGACTTCTGTGCTTACAACTTGCAATGGGCAGAAAGCAGACAGAGAGAGATCCTCAGCTGCAAAGAGGGGCCACTTCTTATTAAAATGAAAAGACGTCTCATAAAGGAGAGCCAACAGCCCAATAGATGCTACCAAGAGTCAAGGAGAACAAAGGATCAAGGAATCACTCTCAAGCAGAAATGGATCCTATTCTAGCAACACCCTCAATGAATAAGAGAAGCTGGTGGCACATACTCAGCTTGTTTTCAGAATTACTGTGTTGAGTAATTGCTATGTTACTGTATTAGGGTTCTCTAGAAGGAAGAACCAATAGGATATATGTATATATGAAAGGGAATTTATTAAGGAGAATTGACTCACATGATCACAAGGTAAAGTCCCACAATAGGTTGTGTTCAAGTTGAGTAGCAAGGAAGCCAGTAGTGGATCAGTCTGAGTCCCAAAACTTCAAAAATAGGGAAACCGACAGTGCAGCCTTCAGTCTGTGGCTGAAGGCCTGAGAGCCCCTGGGAAACCACCAATGTAAGTCCAAGAGTCTAAAGCTGAAGAACCTGGAGTCTGACATTTGAGGGCAGGAAGCATCCAGCACAGGAGAAAGATGAAGGCCAGAAGACTCAGCAACTCTGCTCATTCTACCTTCTGCCTGCTTTATTCTAGCCGTCCTGGCAGCTGATTAGATGGTGCCCACCCAGATTAAGGTGGGGTCTGCCTCTCCCACTCCACATACTCAAATGTTAATCTCCTTTGGCAACACCTTCACAGACACACCCAGGAACAATACTTTGCTTCATTCAATCCAATCAAGTTGACACTCAATATTAACCGTCACAGTTACCCATTTTTTAGTGGAAATGTCTATTGTGGTAAAATTGTCCCTTTCTTATGTTGTATCAGGCATGTAAGAGCAGAGGGTATACAGTGAATAGTGTTACTTGTTTCTTCTGTTTATAAGTCTCTAGATCAAGAGGAGCTGCACTTAAGGGCCTCTACTCATACCTAAGCCAGATATAGATCAGATAGTGGACTTTTAGCCTGATTCTGTGATTAAGTGACCATTTGGGACACTTTCCATGTAGGAGAGAAGTAAATAATTGTGGCCAGAGGGTACAATACAGTAGATTAGATACGGCCACATTTTCCTTATACCTGTTCCCATCAAGAGAGTTAATCTTTTTCCTCCACTACTAGAACATAAGTTAACCTCAAAACTTGCTTTGACTAATAGAAGGTGACTCCCAGGCCTTGACCTTATGAATATTTGCAGCTGCCATTTTCAACTGCCCTGAGAATACCATGTCAGAAGCCAGTCAAGAGTACTGGATGATGGAAATCTACATGGAGGAGAATGAAAGTGTCTCAACCAAAATCAGCACTGACTGAAAAGTAAGGCCATCTAGGATGTTCCAGCCCCAGCTAAACTTCACCTGAATGCATGAGTGTACCCAGGAGAAATGTCAGAAGAACCACCAAGTAACCTACAGACAAATAAAAAATAATCAAGTGCCATTTTTTTTTTGTAAGCAACTGAGCTTTGGAGATGTTTGTTATGCAGCAATAGTTAGTCTAACATGACTGTCATTCTAAAAATCAATGCTAATCATTGCAAATGTTAATACCAATAATTAATACAAATGACAGCTTTCTGACAAGAGTCGAGTATATCTCCAAAACCTAAGTTTCTTAATGTTGAATTAGAGTTCTTAATGAATAAACATATAGTCTTCTAAGTTAGTAAATGTACTTCAAATAGAAATCCGTTTTTTGAAACTAACTATATTGCTGTTGTGAATTAAATTGTGTCCCCAAGAATTCATGTTGAAGCCCTAACCCCATTGATACTGTATTTGGGGATAGGGGACTTTAGGAAGGGAATTAAGGTTAAATGAGATTATGTGGGTGGAGTTTTAATCTGATAATTCTGGTGACCATCATAAGAAGAGGAAGAGGCACCAGCAATCTCTCTTTCTTCACAAGTACACAGAGAAGAGGCCATGTGAGGACACAGTGGGGAAGTAAATATCTGCAAATTAAGAAGGGAAGCCTCACCAGAAGCCAGCCCTGACAGGCCATGGATCTTAGAGTTACAGCTTTCAGAACTGTGAGAAAATAAATTTCTGTTATTAAAGCCACCCAGTTTGTGGTATTTTGTCATGGTAGCCCTAGAAGATGAATGCAATCACTTATTTACTTTACTTTACATTTGGATTTTCATTTACTCCTGGAGAATTAAATAGTCATGAAGAAGGACTGAGATAAAATGTTCTGCTACTATTGTAGTTTTCTTCTGCTGCTTTGTATTTCCTGCCAATTTCCCCCATATATTTGATGATAAGTTACGGAGGGCATAAGAGTTCTTTAGTACACTCTTCTAATTCTGATTATATACCCATTGTGACAAAATAGCACTTTCAGTAAATGCCTTTGGCTTTGATTTTGATTGCATTCATGTTTGTAAGGAAAAAAAAAATCACACCTAAACCAAATTACACTTGACCCTCCCCACCAAATTGTCCATATATTCTATACACATCATTTTACTTTGTGTATTAAACAAACACGGTAATTCTTATGCACACTGAAGTTTGATAAACACTAATCTGAGAAAGAAACAAACTAAATGTCTCTTCACAGATGTTCAAGTAATCAAACCATTCTGCATTTAGACTAACCCTCAAATCATGAAGGAGTGCAAGGATGAGTGAAGAATTTCAAAATGTTTCTGTCTGCCTGCAATGTTAATTCCATACTGTTTCAGTTTTAATCCTGTATTAGTTTTTAAAATATCAGTAGTTTGTATAGTGAGTTATTGAAGTGCCTACAATGAGAGAATAGATTCTAAAAACATCTCCTGAGTTAAGACACAACTGCATCAAGTTGTGATTCCTACGTTCTTTTGTTAGCTTTTCCTTATTGTATTTTTGTCCAACATGTTTTAGAGCTTTACTGATTCATATAAATTAAATGGTCTACCTTTTACTCTGTTGCTGTCTTAGAGCTGCTAGCCTGTTCTTAATTGCTTACTCTGCAAATCCCCATTGATTTCAAGAGTGTCCTAGAAACTTGAGTCAACATAGACTTGAACTTTCCCACACTGTACTCTCAATAAAGTCAGTTCACTTGAAGAGAGCTTTGGAGCGCTCTGGTCTAATGGTCTGCTTCTCCCCTTGGGAAAACCTGAGCCACTGCCCCAGAGGTGGGAAGATGACAACGGACCACTTCCCTTGGAGTGATCCCCTGTGCTTTAGGAGTAGGGTACTGGGTGAAGATGATAGTTTCTGGTTTTCTTGGTTTTTATCTACCAGCTTAGAATCTCTGCTCCATGAGCAAGCTGTGACAAGGACTGTATATATGAATATGGGGCCCTGTTATTCTCATGTGTCTTGCCTGGTTAGAGCATCCACCCATGAGTGAGGGCTAAGTAGAGGAAGGCAGCTCTCAACCTCTTGGCTGCACTTGTTTAGAATTTAGTTCGCCAAGACAGAGCTTGGGAGGATGAGACATGCTGTGGCCTTCTATCCTTGAGGAGACAGTGTAGTCTTCAATGCAGTTCTGGGGTGAGTTGAAGCCTCATCGTTTGGCCACATCTGCCCAGGTAGAGATTCCATCATGCTGAACTGGATGGAGGTGGAGAACCAAGGGGCAGGTAGTGGCTCAGGTTCCTCAAATGCTCATTGTTCTCACTAATATTTAGTAGATTTTATTGAATATATACTTCTTCATTTACTGTATGTCCTTAGGATATTTTCCAGTGACTTTAAATAATTGGCCTTTTTGTTTTTTTATACTTCTTACCATAATGATTATTTCACTGAGGAATGGGTTCACAGAACAGCTCACACTGTCATTCTGAAAGTACTGTTTCTAGTTTTTGACTGTTACATATGAAGCTGCTAAGAACATTATTATACAAGTCTTTACTATGGAAATATGATTTTCTCACCCTTGGGTAAGTATACAAGAGCAGGAATGCCTAGGTCATATGGCAAGTTTGCATTTAACTTTTTAGGAAATTGTCAACCTACTTTCCAAAGGGTTTTCAACATTTTACATTCCCATTAGGAGTATATAAGGATTCCAGCTACTCCACAGGATTTGCCATACTTAATATGGTAAGACGTTTTACCTTTAGACAATCTAGTAGGTATATAGTAGTATCTCAGTGTTGCATTAATTTGAATGTCCCTAATGACAAATAATGTTGAGAATATTTTCATGTGCTTATTTGCCATCTGTATATCTTTGGTAAAATGTTTCTTCAAACCTTTAGTCATTTTGTTAGTCTTTTTTTTTTTTTTTTTTTTGACACACTCTCACTGTTGCCCAGGCTGGCGTGCAGTGGCACGATCTCAGCTCACTGCAACCTCTGCCTCCTGGGTTCAAGTGATTATCCTGCCTCAGCTTCCTGAGTACCTGGGATTACAGACGTGCACCACCACACTCAGCTAATTTTTGTATTTTTAGTAGAGACAGGGTTTTGCCATCTCGGCTAGGCTGGTCTCAAACTCCTGACCTCAGGCGACCCGCCCAACTCAGCCTCCCAAAGTGCTGGGATTACAGGTATGAGCCAACGGCGCCCAGCCTAGTCTTTTGTTTGTTTGTTTGTTTTGTTTGTTTGTTTTTGTTTTTAAAAACAAACAAAAAAAGTGTATTTTTCCTTACTAATGAGTTTTTAGAATTCAGTGTGTTATTTTTTGTTCCATAGTCATGTTAATTAGGTAGATTGCTTTTCAGTGTGAGTGATGTAGTGTGACATGATAAGTAATGTCAGTATGACTTGTATGTAGCGTATAGTTCAAAATGTTATTTTTGTTTAATTAAAATGTCTTTCTTTTTTAATTAGTTTAGCTCACTTACTTATAAAAAATTTTAAAAAATACACAGAAGTAAGTAGGAAATTCAGGTATACAAGTTTATAGAAAATGACTTATAATGGAAAGTAATTTTCCTCTGTCCTTTCTAATCCTCCGCATTCTCCGGCTTTTTGTATAAGTTATTTTATTTATGATTTTAGTTGTTCTGTGAGGTGTTGTGTACCTGTAAATTATAGATTTAGATATAACTTTATCTTTAATGACATATTTCCTTCTGACTTATCTATTCACTTTCTGCCATGATGAGAATTTAGCTAACTTAAAAAGATTCATGAATATTTACAATTACACAACTTTTGATTAGCATAGTTATAGTTATGAGACTTAAACTCCTATTTCTTGACATGCCTAATTCTTATGATATTTCTTTACTAAACGAAGAGTTTTCCATTTCTAAACTCTATCAATTTTACCTGAAAATGTAGTCAGGTTTGGTAACATATTTAGCTTCTGGCAAAATGGACAAACGTATCCTCTTCTCCTATCATCCACCAACTTCTCAAAGTGTTTTCTAGTTTGCATCTACAAATTATTACTTTCTTGTATAGATATTTGTGGCAGGGTTGGGTATTTCTGACTGCCTTTCTTTTTATCATTAGGAGAATACAAGAAAAATAAAGCATGCACATTGTTTACTCAGTCATTAATATCTTCTAGTTTTTTAATAATTCTTTGTTACTTGGGACACATTTCTAAATAAATTCTTCTTGAAGAGTTTCTTAAAGACTTTTTTTTCTCATTATGTGACCAGTAACAAAGTGCATAGCTCTCTCTCTCTGAACTTCACTATTTTATTGAGCTATATGCTGTTTCTTGGATTAAAGTTCTTCCTCTTCCTTGATTCACTTATTTTAGTGGAGTAATTCATCAAATAATAAAAGGTGAATGGGAGCTACAACACTACACATTATTTTGGTTATGAGTAAAAAATATTCAAACTCAAATTGACTAAAGGCTAAAAGCTCAAGAAAATTCCAAGAATACAATAATTGTATTGAAGGTCTTAATAATGTCATCACAGCTCAGTCTCTCTCTATGTCTCAATTTTACTTTCAAATTTGGTCTTGTCTCTTTAAAACAGTCTATCTTCCTCTGATAGAAGCAGAATGATCTGGACTTACATAATTACGGCTTAAGTCCAGAGAAGGCTTTTCTTTATATTAGTAACTACCCTACTATGGAAAACCTACTAAGCATGCCTCTCATGGCTGAAAGGGGTCATGTACCCATTTCTGGTCCAATCAATATGGTCAAATGAGGGGGATATGTTGAGTGCTTCTGACAGGCTTATACCCACTCATGCAGTTAGGAATTGTGCATGCCACCACTGTAACTACTTGAATGGAGCTTAGAGAAAGAGTTCTTAAATAAGAATATGTATGCTAACATTAGAACAAGAAGGAAATGAATGCTGAGAAGATAATATAATAAATTCCCTCTTCGGGGGCAAGAATTTTTTATATGTCTGCATTTGCAGTTTTGCTATGGTAATAAATAGTCTTCAAATTTCAGTGACTTACAACAACATGAATTTATTTCTGGCTCACATTGCATGAGGGCTATGGATCAGCTTGAGATCTGCTTGATTCAGTATGTCTCAGCTTGGCTTAACTTGGTTCCATATATTTTATTCCAAGACCCAGACTGACAGAGTAGCTCCTGTCTAGGAGTCACATTCTCAAGGCAGAAGGCAGGAATTGGAAGGGTGATGTCAAACCTAATCATGCAATAATCTTAAAAGCTTCTAGATATGATCTGGCAAATATCATGCCCATTTATATCCCAAAGCATGTCACCTGCTCAAAACCTGTGGTCAGTGCCATGATGACATATGCAGAGACATATGCTTCAAGTATGTAAACATGTTTTTGCTAGACAACATAAGTATCCTTTATTTTAATTCTTTGTGTTACACTTTCTCTCCTATCTTTGCTAATTTGCAATGAATATAGTCTATTCATTGTTCTTTTCTAAGAGGGATTACTCCTATATCTTTACATTATATTGCCTAAATTTTATCTCTTAGCTATAAACTACAAAACTAAAACAGTATCCTTTAATCTCCTCCTGTGAAAAATTATGTCCTTCCCTGTGTGTCCAGCCATCCCAATTTTTAGCACACTATGAGATATTTTTGCCTACTGTTTTTCAATGTATTGGCTTTAGAACTTCCCCAACCTAGCAAGACAGGCCAACATTGAAACTCAGGAAATACAAAGAACACCACTAAGATGCTCCTTGAGATGAGCAACCCCAGCTCACATAATTGTCAGATTCACCAAGGTTGAAATGAAGGAAAAAATGTTAAGGGCAGCTAGAGAGAAAGGTTGGATTACCCACAAAGGGAAGCCCATCAGACTAACAGCAGATCTCTCTGCAGAAGCCCTACAAGCCAGAAGAGAGTTGGGGCCAATATTTAACATTCTTAAAGAAAAGAATTTTCAACCCAGAATTTCATATCCAGCCAAATTGAGCTTCATAAGCGAAGAAGAAATAAAATATTTTACAGACAAGCAAATGCTGAGAGATTTTGTCACCACCAGGCCTGCCTTACAAGAGCTCCTGAAGGAAGTACTAAATATGGAAAGGAAAAACCTGTACCAGCCACTGCAAAAACATAACAAATTATAAAGACCATCGAAACTGTGAAAAAGCTGCATCAGCTAACAGGCAAAATAAGCAGCTAGCATCATAATGACAGGAACAAATTCACACATAACAATATTAACCTTAAATATAAATGGGCTAAATGCCCCAATTAAAAGACACAGACTGGCAAATTGGATAAAGAGTCAAGACCCATCAGTGTGCTGTATTCAGGAGACCCATCTCATGTGCAAAGACACACATAGGCTCAAAATAAAGGGATGGAGGAATATTTACCAAGCAAATGGAAAGCAAAAAAAAGCAGGGGTTGCAATCCTAGTCTCTGATAAAACAGACTTTAAACCAACAAAGATAAAAAAAGACAAAGAAGGGCATTATGTAATGGTAAAAGGATCAATGCAACAAGAAGAGCTAACTATCCTAAATACATATGCACCCAATACAGGAGCACCGAGATTCATAAAGTAAGTTTTTAGAGACTTTTATTTGTAAAATTAAAATACTTACATTGTATTTTGCTATCCGTTGATATAATTATTAAAATTTAATATGTTTACCTGTACTCAGAATTGTTTCCTAGTCCTTTAATTCTTTAACTGTTGATTCATTTATATAATATATATATGTTTAATATTTATATATTTCAAAATGTTTTTCTGTTTTCTTTTTACGTGAATGATGCTCTTATTTAGAAAATATATTTAATATGTTTCCCCAAACATTCTTTAGATATTGATTCATGTTTTTAGCACTTTAATGTTGTAATGGAGTATTCTCAATTTAACATGATTGTTGTATTTTTATGATTGGTACCTTTGCCAATTTATTTCTCATTCTCAGGTGTTGTGTATTTTATTTTTCTTGACATATGATAAACTTTCCATCTAAATAGTCAGGACTTTCATTTCAGTATATTGTTCCTTCTATATTTTCTATTATTTTTGTTCTAGCCTCCTTGTCATAGCTATGGCTTAAATGTGATCCTTCCAAAATTCAGGTGTTGAAACTTAATGGACAATGTGATGATATTAAAACATGGGGCCTCTAAGAGGTGATTAGTTCATGAGAGTATCCCTCTCCATAAATGGGATTAAGGCTTTTATAACAGAGGTTTGACGCAGCATTTGGCTGACTTGTTCTTTCACCTTCTGCCATGTGAAGACACAGTTTTCCTCCCCTCTGAAGAATACAGCTACTAGGCACCATCTTGAAAGTAGGAAACAGCCCTCACTGGATAGCTAAACCTGTAGCACCTCAGTCTTGGACTTTCTAGCCTCTAGAACTGTGATAAAATAAATTTCTGTTATTTATAAACTACCCAGTCTCAGATATTCTGTTATAGCAGTGCAAAATGGACTAAGATAGTTAAGATGTCTCCTGTTTGATTTTCCCTTTGTATTTTCCTACTCTTCTTTCAGGACGTTTTAATTTTGGCAAAATTCTACCGAGAGTTAGTTCTTTTTAACATGTTCATTTTCTACATATTTGAAAAATTAATATTATTCATTTCTAAAAATTTAATAGGAATATAGTGAGGTAAGTCAGTGTTACATTGGAAGAGATCTTAGAAGCTACTTAGAGTTCTCATTCTATAATTAAAACTGAATATAAAGCCACAAATCCAGAGTTCAGTGGATGAAAAAAGGGGTGAAGTGCTATTTTTTTAGGATTGCCTTCTCTTTGTTCCTTGCCTTCAATCCTCAATATTTAGCATATTTTTAGTAGATTGGGAAGCATCAACCTAGAAGATATCATGATGCCTTTCTGTATATATACTTTGCATACAAGAACTCAGTGAACCTAATGTAATAGTGATGTCAAATTCTATTTCTTCAAATCTCCTTTACATCATACAACCTATAACTGAATGTATATTCTTAAGAATTTTCCAAAATTAATTATCCTCAAAAATGGAAAATATAATCTAAATTGTACACAAAAGCCAGGAAACTTAAATGCCTCAGGATGAAGCTACAGTTTATCTTACATATTTTAACATCTAACTGGCTTTCTAGTCTATCGCTGACATTTATTAACAGGAACAATGGACAAAAACGTGGTTTGAGAAAGTGATTTGTTTTATATTGAAGAAGTTTTGCCACACATGAGTCAATTTAGTTATGTCAGAGGAAAAATAGCCATCTAAGATTCCATCAGGTACATTTCATATTCTTAAAACACTTCAGTTTGAAATGGGGCTGGGAACTCTTTCTTCGTGTTGCTTATTGGCCCAAACAACTTCACACATAGTTATCCTAAAAGTGTATTCTTCTTTCTGTCAGGCAATCATCCATTGGCTCAATTTAATGATCATCCTGGATAAATCTCTGCACAACAATAAGAAGGAAATGAGCTACAGATATGGCAAATCTTTTATAACTCCACATCACATTCTGTGTATATCCCATATATAATGTTCTTCCAAATATATATATATATATCAAAAATGTCTATAATAGAAAATTCAGAAAATGTAATTGCATAACAATAAATTTTACTTTTTATTCTCAGATACACTGTAAGAATCTTTAGAAGTGCAAATAATTATATTATGAATTAATTTTGTATCTCATAAAATCATCTAAATAATTATTGATAATTACCTGAGTCTACTAAAAGCACCCAACATCCAAATTTCCTTTTTTTTTTTTTACTTAAAATTTATTGGCTTAGATATTTGGCTTACTCTCAAATACATCCTCTTAAAAATGACTCTATAACATGACTATTTTTGCTGGATAAAATATTGCTTTACTGGAGAAGATTATTTGATTCTTATGATTGCTGGAAAATAAATTTAAATTATAGGTGAAGCTATTTTGGACTATTTCAGAAATATTTTAACATCATTCTAAGCTACTTATTTACATGGTTATGGTGATTTACACAATAAAAATCCAGTCAAATATGTTTCAAGAATATTTTTTATCCATTACACCAATTTATTGTATGTCAAAATTTCCTATGCACTCATATATTTGGCAAAGTCTTGGTGATCAACTTTTTCACAACAAAACATTGCTGTTGCCAAGATTTTGGATTAATGACTGTGTTTACCTTCACAGCAATGGAAAATATTAAACAATGCAGAATTTTAAGCTTGGAGGTCTGACTAATGCTGCAGAACTTGTTGAAATTTGCTTAACTCAAGCAGTGTGTCTGCAAAGACTGAATAACAACTCTGATTCCTTGTCTTTGCCAGTCAGTGTCAATAAACATAGTTTTTACCAGCATGACTATTTTTACTCATCTTTGTGTACACAAATTCCATATTCTTTTTTATTACATGGTATAAAATTAAAGATTTATTTAGACATTATCTTAATTTGAGTGTGTTCAGACATGCTGAGTTCTCAATAATATGACCTGTGTGGAGGGAGAGGATATTTAGGATTGTATAATATCTAGGAAATTTATATATATATGTATATTTCCTATACTTAGCTTGCATAAAGGCAGCCTGTTTCACAAAGAACGCTGTGCAAAGGGATGAAAGTTTAGAGCTGATCTAGGAAGATTTTGGTATATGAAAGAAGGGGATGTATCAACCAGTACTAGGTGGTTTTCATAGTGAAGGCAATACTCAAAATCAGTAGTGACTTTTTAAGGAAGGACCCCAGCCAGACACTGGATTACGGGAAATAGGGTTTAGTTTCTGTGGGTGGTAGTTTTTTCTACTTAAGTGGCTTTAGAACAAGTTTCTATTTTTAGCCTCTCATTAAAGTATAAGTTAGAAAATTTGAAGAAATAAATGGTCTTGTGGATGCGTCCAATCTGTTCGTAAGGGAAGAAAGGAGAAGACGATATACTCCAGGGATTCATGGCAAGCTAAACAGTAAACTCCATAGGTAACTAGAACTTACCCAAGGTGTCAGTTTAGTTGAAGAAAGACTAAGTCTAGGTCATATTCTGTCATTGAACTGAGGCTACTAATTCCCTGTAGTTCTTCCCAGAACTGACTGAAGAGCTAAGCGAGGCTAATCAGTTAAGGGTTTATCTGAGCAATTTCAACTATGATGAACCCAGAAAGTCAGGGAGAAAAATCAATACAAATATTTCATCTATTGTTGCGTTATCTTGTTAGAGATAGAGACATCCTGATTTATGATTTATAAAATAGCAACAATCTCTTTCATAGACAATGTATACGTCAGTCTGGTAGGATGTAATGAATTGTGGGATAGTTAGTCTTCCAAAATTTACATGTAAACCCTGCTGTAAAAAAAAAAAAAGATTCAACAGGCACAATGGTTAAAGTATCAGGTTTTTTTCAATGTATTTCTTAAACTTCAGTAATTTTCTGTATGTGTGCACGCTCTCAGCCATCACTAAAGAAAATCTTCATGAAAGCCTGACTTTTAGCACTGTATACTCAACACCAAGAACAGGTTCAGAGGAAGCCTTAATCAGGATGTGTTGAACCAACAGTATCCCATTACATGCTTGGAGTGACTTAAAGTAATGAGATTTCTTGGCGTTGGTCAAATGTAAACAACTATGTTAAAGTTTATGGTTATAGTACTTTCCTGGAGATGTGTAGGTATCTATCTCTATTAGCCTTTTTGCTGTTAGCATCATACTTACACTTTCTTTCTTTAAGTCTATAAAGTGTTTCACAAATACTTTAAAAATTTGTGTTTTTCTCTCAAACTTAATCTCTCAGATGCTAAGACCTAAATAAATCTAGAACTTAAAGCATATTTGGAAATACTTACTTATTCATTCTTATATTTGTTACCCATATTCACAAATTAATAGGCAAGTACATGTAGAAACTATCAGCTTCCCACATAAGAGATACACTATTTTCTTCAACTAAAAAAAATGAATGTTTATTAATCATATATTGAGTAATATGCTTTATGCTAGGAAGAGTGATAGGTTCTGAGAACTCCAAGATTAATTAAGACCCAGTTTCTTCAGACAAGAAACTTACAATCCAGAAGAAAAGAAATATCAATATACAGCAAAAAGTATAATTAGATAAGATTCAAAATAGAGGGTTAAAAAGAAATAAGAAATAACTAATTCTAACACCTAATAATTGAAACTTCTAGTGAGCCTTCCATACATTTCCCTTTTGTGATTCAATAATTTGATATTAAATACTCTTGCTTAATTGGTAATGATAAAATATGGAAGAAAAAATGAGTTTGCTGTGCAAGCAATACTTGATTTGCTTTGGCACATTCTAGGTAAGTTATATTTTTAAATGGAAGCAGTTAACTCTTCACTTTCTTTATTTCTTTAAGCAATCACTAAAAATTATAATCAGATCTGAAATGGGAAAGTTGATATAGCCCAATGATGTTAAGCTCCTATTAAAATTACTGCACAGCATGTGATAAGTCATTAGACATAAAGGTATTGAATTTCTTAGTCAATGACTTTAATTAACGTCTGTTATGTACTTTGTTAAGAGAAATACTTACTACCCCACTTCTCCTGCTTCAGTAATATTTCACTCTACTGCCCAGGAAGAAAACATATTGAAAGGACACTTCTGGGTCTTTACCCTTGAATATCTATACCAGAAAAACAAACAAACAAAAAACAAACAAACAAACAAACAAAATAAACAAAAAACAATAACTTATTCAGCTGGTAGCATTAGTAAAAAAGGCTGCTGGGAATGCACAACTCATGTCTCTTGTTCTCAAGCTCTCTCTTTCCTTCTCTGAACCCACTTTTCAAACTGGTTTTCCTTAAGCAGTGTAAGGACTCTCTATTCCTATCCTCCATACAAGAAGAAACAGCAAGACCCAATTGTGTAAAGCTGTAGTTATGTTATTTATTTGCCCAAGTTAAATTTATGGAGTAAATTCCAGGAAGCCTAATTTGGCTTTGGGTTTATGCTATGTTTTCACACTTCAGTCCAGCTTTCCCAGTCATCCCTATAGTACTCCTGTGTCTCTATCATAATTGATTCTGAATTCAAAAGTACGTCATGATTTATCATGTCAAACATAGACACACTTTTATTTGCAAACATTCATGTGGAACATTAACGTGTACACATATATACAAACGCTAATATACTCTCTGCCTTTTAAGAGTTTATGATTTAAATAGGGATAAGATTATTACCCAAGGCTATTACCCACAGAACTGCAATGTAACGCCAACAATGTCTGAAGGTATAGAATACAGGTTATGATGGATGCTGCTGGTTTCCTGCCCCAACTTCCAAGGAGCTCTTAAAACACTATCACAAAATATTTCCATTTCTCAAGATCCATTCAGCTATGTGTTTGATTGACTATGTGCTGGCCAATGGATCATGAGTCAGGGTGTTTCGTGAAAGTTTGCAGGTAATTTGTTTGAAAGAGAACTAGAGTATGTCTGTCTGTCTTTCCCTTTTTCTTTCTACTGCTGCTTAGGATGTATCTCCTGTAAGTGGAGGCCTATTTTTGTCTATGGGAACATGACTCATGTCTTAGTGTTAGTGAAACAGGGAGCTGCAAACAACATGAAATCCCCAGGACTAAAAGTCACCATTCTAACCCTAGAGATTGCTCACATCTGGGCTTTTTATAAGAAAGTTTTAAACTTCTATTTTTTTTAAATAGCACCATTTCTATTATCTATGTTATGCACAGACAAGCTGACGTTTAGAAAATCAGTTATGAAGTAAAAGAAAGTCTTTTTGAGATTGATGACATACGAGATAACTTCTTAAGGCTGAGTAGGGATTACGTATGTTGCTGGATTGGTAGTGGTTGGGTGGCACGGTGGGGGACTGATTGCTACAAAACAAAGTGACTGTTTAGAAATTTTAGAGAATGAAAATAACCTGGCTTTGTGGAAAGTGGAAAGTATGTGAAAGGGGGCAAGGTCTGGAGAGTCATGAAACCAGACTGAAAAATAATGGGTAATTGAATAGAGAGTGCTCTAGGTTCTCAGGCAAGATACATAATCATTCTGTATAAACAGAATGATAAACATGGAGGAGATTAGTGGAGTGATGGGGAAAGCATGACTCAGCAGTAGCATGAGAAACAGTCGGGGCGATCAACCATGCAAGGGGTCAAAGCCTTTAACTTTGGGACTGGCAGTGAGAATGGAAAGCAGAGATACATACAATACCATCTGAAATCATCAAATGTCTTGAAAAGGTATATACTGTAATATCTCCAACCCTCATATTCACTGAATTTTTAAGTCATTACAATTTTGTTTTAGCATGCCAGTGGAATTCCTCTTGTTTAAGTTGCCATGAGGAAAGATTATTCTTCACTGGTCTCTTCTCTGTTTTAAAATGTAGGCCCTTCTGTAGCATTTGACTTTGCTAAACACAACACTATTTGAGGCTCCATCAGAGACCAGAAAGATAATCTCTCCTGGCTTGTTAGGCATTCTTTATCAGACTCTGTCTGTCAGTGTTCTGTAAGGAAGCAGAAACAATAGAATGTTTGTGTGTTTATGTTGTTTGTGTATGTGCGAGCGTGGAGACAGAGAGAGAGACTGATTTTAAGAAATTGGTTTATCCTATTGTTTCAGGGCAGATTTGCAGCTAGAGACCCAGGGATAAGTTGATATTGAACCTCAAGTCTAAAACAGTCCAGAAGCAGCATTCCTTTTTCTTCAGGCAGCCTCAGACTGTTTTCTCTTATGGCCTCCAACTAATTGGATGATGCTCACTCATATTATGGAGGGCAATCTGCTTTACTCAAATTCTACTGATTAACCTGTTAATCTCATCTAAAAATATCATCACAGCAACATCTAGATTGGTGTTTGACCAAGTATCTAAGCATTGTTCAATAGCCAAGTTGATATATAAAATTAAATATCACACACTCTTCAACAAATATGCTTTTTCCTACCCCTCAAAGTAAAATATTTTTAAGTGTTTACTCCTTGGATCTCTTTGTTACCCAGATAATACTTGCCTATATTCAGTAACCACCTATACATTGATGACTCACAAGTCTTGTTTCTTAAAATTGACTTCTGAATTATCTGTACTGAAGAAAGAGATAGAATTGTCAATAATATGACAGCAGAGAGGTAAAGAGGTTCAAGAACAGAATCAGAGAAAGAGTCAAATTTAAAGAAAAGGAGGATAAAAGTAGTCCTAACAGACAAGAAGGAAACAAACTAAAGGTTGAGGGGTCAGGTGGCCATACCAATAGAACCAGCCAATTATCATGTTGCTGAGGACAGTTTCAATAGCAGTAATGAATCAGAAACCTCAAAGAAGATGAAAACCAAGGTAAAGGTAATTCAATTTGGACACTAGAAGATAATTGGGGATATTTTTGGAAGGAGACATGGGTTCATTGAAATAGAGATGTGTGTGCGGAAAATGGTTTCAAAATTTTAAAAAAACTGCAAAACAGCAGTCTCAAGGGGGAAAACCACCACAAATCATAATGCTGGGAGGATATACAAGCCATCAAACCATCCTGCTTATAAGCTATGAGAACTTAGGCAAATGAATAAATCTCTATCTCAGTTTCCTCATTTATGTAGTAGGGCTAATATATGTATTTTGAAGGGTTATACGTGTGTGTGTATATATACACACACACATACACATACACACTCATATATATGTGAATATATATATATATACATATGTATGCATGTCATGAGTCACATAATGAACTTTTGGTCAACAACTAACTGCATGTACAACAGTAGCGTAATAATAATAGAACTGAATTATTTCCATTGCCTGGTAACTTTACAACCATATTTCTGAAAAGAAAGACGCCTCCTCAAGAAGAAATTCAGGCAGGTCCTCCAGGAGGTATTGCAGGAGAAGGCATTGTTATCATAGGAGATGACAGCTCCATGTTTATTATTGCCCCTGACGGACCTTACATTGGGACAATATGTGGAGCTAGAAGGCAGCGATATTGATGATCCCGACCCTATGTAGGCCTATGCTGATGTGTTTATTTGTGTCTGAATTTTTCACAAGAAAGTTTAAAAAGTAAAAAATAAGTAAATATTTAATATATATACTTATAGAATACAGATATAAATAAATAAAATATTTTTGGACAGCTGTACAATGTAGTTGTATTTTAAGCTGCTTTATTAAAAAAGAGAGATTTTTTTAAAAAAGTGAAATGTTTGTAAAGCAAAAAAAGTTATAGTAAGCTAAGATTAATATATCATCAAAACTAAAAATATTTTTTATAAATTTAGTGTAGTCTAAGTGTACAATAATGATAAAGTCTATAGTCATGTCCTAGGCCTTCACATTCACTCACCATTCATTCACTGATTTGCTCAGAGCAACTTCCAATCCTACAAGCTCCATTTATGGTAAGTGCCATGTATAGGTGTGCCATTTTTTATCTTTTATACCATATTTTTTCCTGTAACTTTTCTATGTTTAGATAGAAAGATACAAAAATACTTACCATTGTATTACAATTGCCTGTAGAATTTAGTACAGTCAAATGCTATACAAGTTTGTTGCCTATATTATATAGCCTAGAAGTGTGGTAGGCTATACCATATAGGTTTATTAAGTATACCCTATAATATGAATACAATAAGGAAATTCCCTAACAATGCATTTATCAGAACACAAACCTGTCATTAAGTGACAAGTCTGTATACACTTCAATATGTTAAAAATTATAGTAAATATTCAATAAAACCAGATACAGTAATTGTTTAATGTACAGTAGGGACAAGTCTGTGTGCCTATTTGGATGATGGGATTTCACATGCAGCCACTTTCTACCTGGAAATACAAGTGAAATTTCTCCCACATTGTCCCTGTGCTCTCTTGTCACTAGAGCTAAAAGCAACTGGTCCAATGTTTTACTAGTCATTGAGATATGTATGAAGTGAAACATACCTATGTACTGTGTGGACTGAAGCCAGGATCTTCTTTCATCCAAGGACTTGTGCTTGTCTGTATCTTCTGTGTACTGAGCTGGGCTACTGTATGTTTGTTTCTCAGATATATGCCTTGATGACATACAGTAAACATCAGATTGATGGGAAATCCTACAACAGGATTTTTGAGAATTGGAACTATTGATATTTTGGGTTGAATAATTCTTTTTTGAGGGGTGAAGTTGCTGTCTTGTGAATTGTAGGAGGTTTAGCAGCATCCTTGGCCTCTACTAACTAAATGTGAGTAGCAACCTCCTTGATGTGACAGCCTAAAGAGTATCCTCATATTTCCAAATGTCCTTGGGCAGTGCAAGGTATAAACTGTTTCTCTTCCTGCAGTTCAGAACCACTGCCCTGCAACCATCGAAATGCAGTGTATAGGAATTATTCTGTGCATGGCCTCATTTTCTGGATGCTTCTATGTATGTATGTAGTAAGTAGAAAACTTTTTTGCCGTTGGTTTATTCAAAGCATGACTGTGTATTTCTTATAGACGGGTATGGCTAATTACTAAGAGCATTAGTCCGGCAGCTTGTGACAGGGATCAAGCAGCAATTTTTACCAAAATAAAACATTTTATTAGAAAGAACAAGTTAAGATTTTGGACAGTATGAATAATCTCTTGGGTCTCTATTAACAGGACTAAGAAAATAATCTTTGAGTAGCATTCCCAGAACTTTTTCTATTACCATCTAATGGGAGTTGCCAGTATTATGGGAAACTCTCTTTGAGGAATACCAGACTATGGGAGGGCCAAGAATGTTCTATTGTGTTCATTAATGGTAGATATCGAATACTCTCAAAGTCCTTCAAAAGAGTGGCAAAGAATCCCCAAAGATTCACAAGTACTTCTGCTCAGTCCATCTCCTAGATTAAGCCCTTTTCTATACATTCCCTAAAACTCTTCAGAGATTTTTATAAAACTGTTTTTAACAAAATAGCCTCTAATACAAAAGGATCTAAATTCTAATTTGAAATGCCTTTTTCTAGAAGTCATGAATTTTAAGGTCTAGATTCTTACAGGAAATGGATAACTAATCTTTCAAAATAATTTTAAACATCAGAAACTAAAATGAAAATTATTTCAAAAATCAATTTACCTTTTTCAAAATCTATTTTTTTATTGTCAGTTGAAAACCTGGCTAGTGTTGAAATGGTAGCAAGATTACTTTCTTTTCCTTCATAATATTAAGAGCATGCAGTCATGCAATTACTCTGGTAAGAATCCTTTTCTGACCATTTTCCTTCAAGGTAAAATCATGCATGCCTTTTGTGGGGTTCATGATGATCTCCCTTCTGGGTGCCATATTTCTAATCTCACTTTGCTCACTACCACATGCCCTATGCACTCTATTGTAGGTGTAGGTTTCCAACACCTACAATGGGCCTCATGCCTCAGTGCCTTCATAGGCTGTTTTTTTGTTTTTTTTTTTTCCTCACATCTTCATGGAAATGACTTTTGACACAGATCCACGACTCATCTCAAGTGTAGGTTGCTCTGGAAAGTCTTCCTTTGGCTCCATTTGAGTTACATTCCGGGTCTGGCATCTTCCGACAGGGTAGCAGCCATGAGGTCCTGTCTGGCCAACCTTCCACTACAGGAGCATCACTGAGCAAGAACCCAACTGCTGTACTCAACTACATGGCTGCAGTTGTGTGAAGGCCGCCCCTCCTAGGCTGTCTGGTCAACAACTGAGTGTGGTGAGAGACTAAGGCAGACTCATCCTGGGGAACATGGACACTTGTGGTTTTGGCGTTGCCTCAACGCCTCTTCTGCTTGGCTGGATTTTTCTCAGACTAACTGGCAGGCTAAGAAATGTTCACCCAGACCACCTTCCTCTCTTTTTCATTCTGAATCAGACTTGCTGACTGCTTCTCAAATTTCTTCACTTCCTTCCTATGTTCTCTCACAGCCATTTGCCCTAAGAAAATCTTTGCATGTTTAATCTTGTCTTAGCATCTGGTTCTCAGAGGACCCACAGTAACATATACAAGTTCCCATGTAATTCTCTAACTAGACTCCCCATTATGCTGCATTGTACTTGCACATTTATTAGGTGGTTTTCCAGACTTGGTTATAATCTTTTTTGTCACTGGGAATTGGGCCTTCTTCTTCTCTATCCTCAGTGCGATATTTAGGAAACGTTCAATACATGTCTGTCAAATGAAAGACAGAATCACTCACTTTACCAAGCTTTCAATCCTACAGACAAACACGACTGAATCCATTAAAAAAATTGACTTACTGCAAGGCACTCTGGTTGCTATAGGATACAGAAAGCTATTAAGATAGTTCTCCATTTCTCAGCTTATAATTTTAGATCTGAAGATAGAGAAATATAAATATATTATGTTCATAAAAAGGCTTGTGTGTGTGTGTTTGTGTGTGTGTGTATGTCTAAAAAGTTCTATTAAGCAGTTTAGAGAAAAGAGAATGCATTGTGGGTTTGCAAATATAAATACATTATGTTAATATAAAGGTGTGTGTGTGTGTGTGTGTGTGTGTGTCAAAAAAAGTGGTATTAAGCAGTTTACAGAAAAGAGAATGGATTGTGGGCTGGGAAAATCATGTACATTTTATCAGCAATAGTGTTTCACTTGACAGTTATAGATTGTTTACCCAGATAAAGAAAAGGGTATGTAAACAGGCTGGTAGAATGGCAAAAATAAAATGTGGAAGCCAGGAGTGCTCACAGAGTCTTTGGGAATGAGCAAACTCCTTTCTCTGCCATAAAGTGTTAATTTAGGAAGATAAGACTATGAATCACTTTAAATAACAGGCTAAGGAGTTATTTCATAAAATTTTTTACCTAATTTTCTATGCACTAGCCACCCACACCAACCTGCTTGCTGTTCAGGAGCAATAAGAATGCTTCCACCTCAAGGCCTTTTCACTTGCTTAGCCTTCAGTATCATTAATTTTCTCTATTCCTTCCTGTTTTTACTTAAATGTCACTTCCTCATTGCCTCATTCCCCACCATTCTATCTAGGGGTTCAAAATCATTCCAACGTTTATATCATCCTCAACTAGCCCTATCACTAACATTCTATGTGCTGAACTTTTGAAAGATTATTTCTTACCTCCCCACTAAAACATAAATTCATTAAGAACATAGAATTTTGTTTCTTTGCTTCAGTCTTATATTTTCACTGTCTGGATTCATAATTGGTACATACTAGGCATTCAGGAAACAATTTCTGGATGAGAATTGGGGAATTGCTGAAGCTTCCAAAATGAGAATGGAAACATTATGTGCAGTATTTTAAAGCAATGGCTGAGAAAAATTACATGCATCTACAATCAGCAGAATGAGTCACTTAGGATGGAAGTAATGATGAGGGGTTAAAAAAAAAAAGTTGGTAATCATTGTAAGCTTCTAAGGGCCAAACTAAAATAATAATCATGTGTATGAAAACAATGTTTCTCAAACTCTGACCCCTGAACCATCATCGTCATCATCACCTCAGAGTTTTTGGGAAGGCAAATCCTCTGGGTCTACCTCATACCTACTTAATCATAAACTGAAGATGGGGGTCTAGCAATCAATGCTGTAACAAGCTCTCCAGGGATTCTAAGGACGCTAAAGTTTGACAACTGATATAAAGAAAAAGACCAGTGTGGACAGGTGCATGGGATATAGGAAGTACATGGAATTAAAATTACTGCTGAAATTACTTAAAAATTGAGGAACCTTGGCATATGAAAAATGATTATTTCAATAAAATGAGTGGGACAATGGAAAAAATAAAAACAAAAATAAATACTTTAAAATCATATTGCTATAATCTCTGTCATCTATCTGTATGTATGTATCCCCCACACATATTATTTAATATTTAGTGTCATGCAAAAGTTTTCAGTTAAATTTATTGTGTCTGATCTGTTTATTAGAAGCCAACATGATGAATGATGCAGATTAGACTATTTAGATATTCAGGGAGCTCCTGTAATCAATTTGGAAAGATTCCCAAAATTTAGTGATGTTTTAGAATATCCACAGCACATGAAAAGCCCATAGCATAGTTTCATTAACTTCATAAAACTTTTGGCATCAAATTATCTTAGATCTGAATTTTTAAAGTTATAAAGATGAAGATAGCCATGAAGAATATCTAAATTGAGATATATAATATAATACCCAAGTGAAAATGTTTCCTATGACAATATTTTACAAAGAATAAGGGAACTAAAGTGTACTCTAAACAAATATTTAAAGAAAAAGAAAGGATACAAATAGAAAAATCAGTTGTATTTTTAAATTATGGACTGAAATTAGAAAACAATAATCTCACTCTTATTTCCCCCTAGTCTGAGGATATTGTCATCAAAAATGTTTCTAGAAATTAATGGAATTCCACAGGCTCAAGATTGGTCAGCACTGCCTATGGGAAAATCAGAAAAAAAGAGCCTGTCTTTATTTTTAAAATTTAATCGTTATTTCTCCTATGATTCTTCTGAAACTTAATCAATACTTCAAACCTCAGTAAAGCCTCATCTCATCTTGACTCACCATTTCTATAGATGTACATAATAACAGTTGTTTTAGAGAACATTTTTTTCTAAATGTTCATGCTGCTAAATTACTGTGGAAATAATTTAATTCAAAGAGTAGTTGCACTTAGGAAAGGCAGAGTGCTCAGCTGGCATTTAGTCAAAAGCCTACTGTAGTAGCTGCTTCTTTCAGGCTCCATTGTAATCTCAGCCTCCTCACATATTTAATGGATACTGGAAGTAAAATAAATATAGGTTTATTTGATGAGTGCCTCTTGGGGTTTTCAAATGAAAGGAACAAAAGGCATCCTAGTCTTCATTGCCTCATCAACTATTTCCAAAAAAATACAGAGAATGAGATTGTTGAATATAACTTTCCTTTATTGCAAAACTGAGCTATATTGTTTTTGAAATATTAACTTTCCTATTCCATAATGAGTTTTTACTTTAAATTAAAAAGGATCACTTCACTTCAATTTCATTGATTTATTTAACATGATTTTGTGGTCACAGAAAATTGCACTCTTGTGTTCTGATTCTCCCAATCTTATTTTTTTTAAGGATCAACTATTCTGAGATGAAAGTTTTACCTTATATATTCAACTAAGCCTTAAAAAAAAAAAAACTTTAGTCACTTGCTTTTTTTCTGTATTTAACCAAACACAGAAACAAGTTCTACAAACTTTCAGCCCTTTATATATCAGGTGGTAGGAAGAAATTCAGATCACCATGTCTTTGCTCAAATGTATAGGCAATGCAGTCACTAAGAGCAAGTCACCCTGTCCAAGGACAATTTGTAACCATTCTATTTTCTTACATCATTTTGAATTTCAGACACATACCTTAATTATATCTATCTTGTTTCAGTAATGAGAAAGGAGATCTGAAGACAGAAGAAATATTATGCAGTTTCGCAGAGATATCAACAACGTTGGTTGCCAAGAGACAGTTTTTCTCAAGCTCCCAAATGAAATGGAGTCTTGGGCACCAAAAATTGTCACAACACATTTTAAGAAAAGCGCACATAATTCTGACACACGAATGAAAGTTTGCCAATGAATCAAACAGGACTACATGAAAATAAATTTGATATTGTTGCACATTAATTACAACATTTTAAAAATTAAAGATTTTTTTGGCCTTCTTTCTCTTCCCATCTCTATTACCTAGTAATGTCTAACCTTTGTGTGCACCTGGGCTAAAGACTTAATGTATAATAGAAAATCTTATTTGATATACAAAATGACCTAGTGATGAAGATACTATTATAATTACCATTTTACAGATTAATTTTGCCGAAAATCACACAGGATCATAGTGTCATTCATGAGGAAGCATTGAATTCAATTGAACAAAGTTGATTTTCAGAATTCAAACTCTCAATTACTTCATTGTATTGATCAGACTTGCAAAGACATATAGCGTTTTACAGATACCATTTTAGATTAGTAAATAAAATAATTGTTGAATAAAATTTATGAATTTCAAAAGATCTGCTAAATAGTAAATACATTCTCTTTATATTATAGTTTTGAAATTATAACAATAATAGATTAATGTATTTTCATGTAAAAATTGGAAGTATTAATATGATGAAAAACCTTTTGAAAATATTTCCCTGTACAACTCTGTGCATTACTCATGGTCAACATATTTAAAGCAAACAATTTATTTGATCAAAGGTTTGTTAGCAGAAATTCTGGAGATCTCTAGGGAATTCAGGAATGTACCCACAGCGAACTGTACTAGGCTATTTCATTACTGGATTTATTGTCTGTTGCATTGCATACATTACCAAGTGTTCTTGGACAATGTGGGGTGGTCACTGGTAGATGTCTAGATTATACCAAGTATAGGGCTACTTTTATTTTATTTACTTGGAGAAATGTGTGCTTCTACAGAGTTGAGTTACTCTAAGTCACTCAGACATTACTATTTGCAATTGTGCATATGCTGATGTGGCACTAAGACAAGCAAGTATCCTAACTATTCTGATGTCATATATTATAAGATTTGCTAATATATTCTTCTCCTTTGTAGCTTGATATTTGCTGGCTGAACATACAGGAAAAAGCTGATACTTATTAACATAAATTTAAGAATCTTTTAATCAAAAGAAACTGTAAAGTAGAAGTTTCAAGAATATGTAAATAATTCTGACAAGTAAATAAACTCCATCACAAAAGGGATGTTTACCAATCACAATAAAGGGAAATTAGAAACCACCTCAAAAATGTAGAAGAAATTAATTCATATAATTGGTTATGTTTTTGAAATTAGATAATTCTCTGGTATGTAGGACTGAATTATAATGAAAGAGGAATTTAAAGCCTGCAAAATGGAGTCAATGAGCTAATCAGAGGAAACTATAGAATTCTAACTACAATTATTAACAATAAGAAAGATTGAGAACAAGCTAAATTTCCACTAACTGGAAAAACACAATAAAAATAGAATAAAAATGAGCACATGTGAAAATATGGATGGAAAATTTAATTCAGAAATCAGATATTAATTTCATATAACCAAATTAAATTGACTGATACATTTAAATAACTTAATTATTTTTAAAAAGAAAATACATATAATCCCCTTCACCAAAAAAGAAGCCAAAATTTATATATTAAAAAGAAAAAACACTTGGGAAATAAACAGCTCATTTTGAAATAACCCATGGTTAAATAAAAAGTCTCAAAAGAAATTAAAAATGCATTGAACTAAACAAAAATGAAAATGTATTACTTCAAAATTTGTGTGACACAGCTAAAGTTACATTGTGTGGAAAATCTTTAAAAGCATATTCATACATTTGAAAAGAGGCAAGGTTTCAAATTACTAATTTCAACTCCCACCTCAAGAATCTAAAAAATGGACTGCAAAAATAAACTCAATTAAGTAGAAGAAAGGAAACAATAACAATAAGAACAGAAATAAATGAAATTAAAAACAGGTCACAGATATAAACATTAATAGAACAACTGCTTCTTTAAAAATATCAATAAAGTTACAAACAAATGAAAAAACATTTTATTCTCTTAGATAGAATCTATATTGTGAAAACGGCCATACTGCCCGAAGTAATTTACAGATTCATTGCTATTCCCATCAAAGTACAATTGACATTCTTCACAGAATTAGAAAAAACTAATTTAAAGTTCACGTGGAACCAAAAAAAGAGCCAGTATAGCCAAGACAATCTTAAGCATAAAGAACAAAGCTGGAGGCATCATGTTACCTGGCTTCAAACTATATTACAAGACTACAGTAACGAAAACAGCATGGTATTGGTACCAAAACAGATATATAAACCAATGGAACAGAACAAAGACCTCAGAAATAACACCATACATCTACAACCATCTGATCTTTGACAAATGTGACAAAAACAAGCAAGGGGGAAAGGATTCCCTATTTAATAAATGGTGCTGGGAAAAATGACGAGCCATATGCAGAAAACTGAAACTGGACCCCTTCCTTACACCTTATACAAAAATTAACTTAAGATGGATGAAAGACTTAAATGTGAAACCCAAAACCACAAAAACCCTAGAAGAAACCTAGGCAGTAGCATTCAGGACATAGGCATGGGCAAAGACTCCATGTCAAAAACACCAAAAGTAATTGCAACAAAAGTCAAAATTGACAAATGGGATCTAATTAAACTAAAGAGCTTCTGCACAACAAAAGAAACTATTATCAGAATGAACAGGCAACCTATAGAATGTGAGAAAATTTTTGCAATCTATGCATCTGACAAAGCTCTAATATCCAGAATCTACAAGGAACTTAAGCAAATTTACAAGAAAAAAGCAACCACATCAAAAGTGGGCAAAGGATATGAACAGACACTTTTCATATGAAGACATTCATGTGGCCAACAAGCATATGTAAAAAAGCCCAACATCACTGATCATCGGAGTAATGCAAATCAAAACCACAATGTGATACCATCTCACACCAGTCAGCACAGCGATTATTAAAAAGTCAAGAAACAATCAATGCTGGTGAGGCTGTGGAGATACAGGAACTCTTTTACACTGTTGGTGGGAATGTAAATTAGTTCAACCATTGAGGAAGACAGTGTGACGATTCCTCAATGATTTAGAGCCAGAAATACCATTTGATCCAGCAATCCCATTACTGGGTATATACCCAAAGGATTATAAATCATTCTATTATAAAGACACATGCACACATATGTTTATTGCAGCACTATTTACAATAGCAAAGACATGGAGCCAACCCAAATCCCCATCAATGATAGACTGGATAAAGAAAATGTGGTATACACCATGGAATACTATGCAGCCATAAATAGGAATGAGATAATGCCCTTTGCAGGGACATGGATGAAGCTGGAAGCCATTATCTTCAGCAAACTAACACAGGAACAGAAAACCGAACACTGCATGTTCTCACTCGAAAGTGGGAATTGAACAATGAGAACACATGGACACAGGGAGGGGAACAGCACACACCGGGGCCTGTGGTGGGGTGGGGGGCAAGGGGAGGGAGAGCATTAGAACAAATAGCTAATTCATGTGGGGCTTGAAACCTTGATGATGAGTTGATAGGGGTAGCAAACCACCACGGCACGCATATACCTGTGTAACCTGCACATTCCATACATGTGTCCTAGAACTTAAAGTAAAATTAAAAAAAAAAAATTAATAAAGTTGATAAATTTCTATCAACATTGGTAACAAAAAAGAGAAAAGACATGAATTACTAATATCAATAATAAAATAGAGAATATGACTATGAGCCATGAAAACATTGCAAGAATGATAGGAATTATTATGAACAACTCTAAATGTACAAATTTAACACTGTAGATTAAATGAACCAAGGTATTACAACTCATTCAATCTCAAATAGATAATTTGAATAACCCTAAAAAAATAAAGACACTGAAATTATAATTTAACTCACCCCTTCAAAAATAAATATCCAGGCCCAGATGGTTTCAGTGGAGAATCCCACCAAAAGTTTAAAGAAAATTAACAATTCTACATAAAGTTTTATAGGGAATATAATAGGAATTACCTTTATTAGTTTATTTCATGAAGTTTGTATTTCCATGAACCAAAATCACTACCAAAAAAGAAATCAAACACACATGAAAACTATAAATCAATATCTGTCATGAATATAAACACCAAGCTCCTTAAGAAAATATTAGCAAATAAAATTCGGCCATGTATAAAAGGAATTATATGCAATGACCAAATGGGGTTTATTCTAGCCATGTAAGCAAAGCTGATTAAATATTTGAAAATTAATCAGTGTAATCTACCATATTAATAGTCAACAGAAGTCGTGTTATATCATCAAATCAATTGACAAGAAAAAAGATTTTGACAAAGTAGAGCATCTATGAAAAAAAAAACCAGAAAAACAGAAATAGAGAGGAATTTCAACAGCCTGATAGCAGGCAGCTACACAATTCCTAAAGTAATATATTCAGAGATGAAAGAAAATTCTTTCTCTTTCAGACTGGGAACAAAGCAAGTATGTCCACTCTCATCACTCTTACTGGACATAACTCAAAATTCTAGCCAATAAAATCAGTCAAGAAAATAAAATAAAAGCCATGAAGATTAGAAATAATAAATAAGGGGTTGGGCGTGGTGGCTCAAGCCTGTAATCCCAGCACTTTGGGAGGCCGAGGAAGTGGATCACCTGAGGTCAGGAGTTTGAGACCAGTCTGGCCAACATGTCGAAACCTTGTCTCTACTAAAAATACAAAATCAGCAGGGCATGGTGGCGCATGCCTGTAATCCCAGATACTCATGAGGCTGAGGCAGGAGACTCGCTTGAGCCCACGACGTGAGGTTGCAGTGAGCCCAGATTGTGTCACTGCACTCCAGCCTGGGTGATAGAGCAAGGCTCTGTATCAAAAAAAAAAAAAGAGAGAGAGAGAAAAAAAATAAGGGCCAGGCGTGGTGGCTCCCACCTATAATCCCAGAACTTTGGGAGGCCTAAGTGTGTGGATCACTTGAGGCCAGGAGTTCGAGACCAGCCTGGACAATATGACAAAACCCTATCTTTACTAAAAATACAAAAATTAGCTGCGCTTGTTGGGGCACACCTGTAATCCCAGCTACTCAGGAGGCTGAGGCACGAGAATTACTTGAACCCAGGAGGTGGAGGTTGCACTGAGCCAAGTTCATGCCACTGCACTCTAGCCTGGGTGACAGAGCAAGACTCTGTCTCAATAAATAAATAAATGAATGAATAAGGAAATGTTCTCTATTTGCAGAAGAGATAATTATTTCAACAAATAATCCCAAGGAATCTATTAAGTGTATCTTAGAATAAATAAATAAATTTGGCAAGGTCACAAGATAAATGGTAAGCCTACTGAAATCAATTGTGTTCTTATGTATGAGTCACAAAAATTAAAAATGTAATACCATTAATTACCACTTAACAATAAAAAGAAAGAAAGAAATATTTATGTGTAAATCTAACAAACAGGTACAGGAAATCTAGGCTGAAAACTATGTAACTAATGAAAGAAATCAAACAAGATCTAAATAAATGGGGAATCACGTTTTGTTCATAAAAAACATAAAAATGTAAATTCTCCCCAAACTGATACACAAGTTTAACATGCTTCTTATCAAAATCCCTGGAAGATTTTGGTAGGCATAGAAAAGATAATTTGAAATTTTATGTCGAAAAGTAAGGGAACAGGAATAGCTGAAAATAATTTTGAAAAAGCACAATTAGATAAACTGATTTTAAGACCAATAGGATTATACAGCTACAGTAATCAAGACTTATGTAAAAATTAGCATGAGGACGATACATAGGCAAATAGGCCAGAATATAGAACCAGAAATACACCCACACAAATATTCCCAATTAATTTTAGACAAAGGTGCTAAAGTAATACAATAGAGGAAGGGTAGCCTTCCAAGCAAATATTTCTGGACCAATTAGACACTCATAGGCAAAAAGTGAGATGCGACTATACAAAACATTGACTTGAAATGGATCTAATACTTACATATAAAATTTAAAACTGTAAAATTTTTTGAAAAAAAAAAAGAAATTTCTCTCGATCTATGGCTCGGGGAAAGGGGTTCTTGGCTCTTAGACTTGATGCCAGAGAACCAGATATAATAGGAAAAATTGACTAATTGAAATTCAGCAGAATTAATTTTTTTTCTACTTTGAAAGACTCTGTTATGAGTATAAAACAATAAGCCGCATAGTGAGATAATAAATTAGCAAACCACATATCCAACAACTGGTATCTAGACTGTATAAGCTTTCTCAAAACATGAAAGTTCAAATCAAAAATCCAATTGGGAAATAGATAAAAAAGACATGGAGAGACACTTCAAGGGAAGGAATGTACAGATTTCATATTGATAAAAAGTTATACAGATAATCATATAAAAATGTATTCAGTCTGGGTGTGGTAGCTCATGCCTATAATCCCAGCACTTTGGGAGGTCAAGGAAGGAGGATTGCTTGAGTCCAGGAGTTCGAGACCAGCCTGGGCAGCAAATGGAGATCCCATCTCTATAAAAAATCATTTAGCCAGGCATGATGGCAGTTGCCTGTAGTCCTAGCAACTCAGGAGGCTGAGGCAGGGGGATCGCCTGAGCCCAAGAGGTCAAGGCTGCAGTGAGCTGTGATCATGCCAATTCTCTCCAGCCTAGACGAAAGAGTGATACACTGTCTTGAAAAAAAATGTTTTCAACATTATTAGCCATTAGAGAGTTGCATATTAAGACTATAATGAGGTGTCACTACATTCCTATTACAATGACTAAAAATAAAGTAGTGACAACACCAAATGCTGCCCAGGGTGTGTAGAAACCAAATCACCTATGCATTGCTCATGGGAATATAAAATGATAGAGGTACTCTGGAAAATAGCTTGGCAGTTTCTTAAAAATATAAACTTACAACTACCATATGATCCACCAATTGCACTCCTGGGCATTTATTCTAGAGAATTGAAAATGTGTATTCACACTAAAATCTGTATACAAATGTGTACAGCAGCTTTGTTCATAACAGCCACAAACAACACAGATGTCCTTCAAGAAATGAATGGTTAAATACCCATACCATGCAACAACCTGGATTAACCTGTAGAGGATTATGTTGAGTGAAAAGAGCCAGTCCCAAAATATCACATACTGTTTGACACGGCATTTATAGAAATAGAGAATAGATAAATGGTTTCCAGGGAGCTAAAGTAGGATTTTTTTTAAAAAAGGCAACATGAAGAATCCTGTCATGAAGGGAATGTTCTGAATCTTGACTATATCGGTATCAATATTCTGGTTGTGCCGGGTACGGTGGCTCACCCCTGTAATCCCAGGACTTTGGGAGGCTGAGGCAGGCAGATCACTTGAGGACAGGAGTTCAAGACCAGCCTGGACAACATAATGAAACCCCCGTCCCTACTAAAAATACAAAATATTAGCTGGGTCTGGTGGCTTGCACCTGTAATCCCAGCTACTCAGGAGGCTGAGGCAGAAGAATAGCTTGAGCCCAGGAGGAAGAGGTTGCAGTGAGCTGAGATCATGCTACTGCACTTCAGCCTAGACGACAGAGCAAGACTCTGTCTCAAAAAAAAAAAAAAAAAAAAAATTCTGGTTGTGATCTTGTACCATAGTTTTTCAATGTTACCATTGAAAGGGACTGGGTTAAGTATACACAATATTTCTCTGTATAATTTCTGACAACTCTATATGAACATATAATTATCTCAAAATAAAAAGCATAACTTAAAAAAGGTATAATAATCTCAAAATTATTAGTGGCATTTATCACTACAATTAACCAATGTACATATTTAAGAGTGCATATGGTTATGAACCTGAATAAAATATAAATTATTTTTGAAAGCAGATCAATAATATACAACAATTAATAACGGATAATAATTCTATGAATCTAATTCATTAACAGAGCATGATTTGTGGTCATCATGGTGATAGAGGAACATAGAGTATTGTGAATTCCTTATTTCCGTTAGCTAAGACACAGTAGGAAACTCTTCCTCTTATTTTGAGGATATGATTGCAAAAAATAGAGACAATGTTAAAAATCTTAACAGTGTTCACTGATTGAATGAAAAGCAAGACATATGCATATGAAAATATGAAAAAAAGAGAAAACAAACCACATAAAAAAGTGTATTTTCAATAAGAATCAAATGTAAAAACAAAAATTATAGTAACAGTTAAACTATATAATATATAGTATGTATTAGGCTCTGTTTCAAATGATTAACATATACTAATTTGTTTAAATCTTACAACATCGGTATGACATTGATATTGTTATCTTTGTTGTTACTGTCACATACTTGCCCAAGATCACATGCTAGTGTTGTAGGTGAAATTTGAATCTAGGCAGCTCATACTCTGCTACTGCTTCTCTATTAAACAGAAGGATGGTTGACATAAGACTAAACACTTTATACTGATTATAAGAAAAATGTCAATATAATAAGCTCTTCCAATTAAATTAAAGCCTCTTAGTTCTAACTACAAAACAAAACAAATGCTAGTTGGGAAGACACCTAAATTATAAATGTGAAAAATCAGAAAACAGTGTATAAGATATATATAAACAAAATGGAATCAGACAATACTACAATAGATACATTAGGCAAAAAGTATTCAAAACAAAAAAACAAAGAAGATCGTTACTAATACTTTATAATTAGAAAGGGTAAAAATCACAACAGAGAAAGAACTGCTGGAGACATTTCCAGTATAAACATTATGTCGTTGAATCATATAAACTATAATCAGTAGAAATAGAAGAACTAAACAGATAAACAGTAGTGCTGGAAGATAGTTCATCATACACATAGGCAAAAGTAAATAATAATATCAACAAGTTTTTTAAATAAATTTTTATTCAGAAATCTCCCAGTATTCTGTGGCTCTAAAGAGGAAAATGTAATAGTTAAGCTAATCCAAACAACTGGTCTCCTTAAAAAATTATACTTCTGAAAAATACTTAATTGATATTCTAGTTACACACACATTTCAGATTTTTTTTTTTATTTGAGACAGTGTCTCACTCTGTCACCCAGGCTGGAGTGCAGTGCTGTAATGTCGGCTGACTGCAGCCTCTGCCTACCAGGTTCAAGGAATTCTTGTATCTCAGACTCCCGAGTTTCTAGAGTTGCTGGGACTACAGGTGTGCACCATCATGCCCAGCTATTTTTTCTATTTTCTTAGAGACAGGGTTTCTCCATGTTGTCCAGGCTGGTCTCGAACTCCTGGCCTCAAGCAATCTGCCTGCCTCGGCTTCCCAAAGTGCTGGGATTACAGGCGTGAGCCAGCACACCAGCCTACAATCAGTTTTAAAGACTCTGTAAATCAATCTCCCCAACACAAATCTACCATGGAAAATAGTCAAACTCTATTAATGTGTCTGCCAAAGGGGAACAAGTAGCTAATGTGTGTGTCTCATTGTTATGCCATGGTGTGCCCAGCCAGTTGCTCCTCACTTGCTCCTTCTTAACTTCCATAGAGCATCTTTTTTTTTTTTTTTTTTTTTTTTTTTTTTTTTTTTTTTGAGACGGAGTCTCTCTCTGTCGCCCAGGCCGGACTGCGGACTGCAGTGGCGCAATCTCGGCTCACTGCGAGCTCCGCTTCCCGGGTTCACGCCATTCTCCTGCCTCAGCCTCCAGAGTAGCTGGGACTACAGGTGCCCGCCACCGCGCCCGGCTAATTTTTTGTATTTTTAGTAGAGACGGGGTTTCACCTTGTTAGCCAGGATGGTCTCGATCTCCTGACCTCATGATCCACCCGCCTCGGCCTCCCAAAGTGCTGGGATTACAGGCGTGAGCCACCGCGCCCGGCCAGAGCATCTTTAAATCAATGTCTGGGATCCCTAAAGAGGACGGACCCCAATATAGAGTTTCAGAAGAAACTTTGGATCTACATTTCTGTATTTACCGTAGTCTATTCATCCAGTCTCCTTAATGATGTGTATTTGGTTTGTTTTCAGACTTTTGCATCTACATATAATACTGTATTGAAAAACTTGCAAACACATCATTTTGCATTTTTGCCAAGATATCTTTAATTTTCATCTCCTTCAACTGTTTGCAATTTGGTAGGTCTTATCAGGAAATGAGAATAAGTTACACAGGAAATTAAGAAAATTGGTTTTGTTTCTTTTAAAATTTTTTCTTAAGTGTTATACTTCTTTTTCCTTTTCTGTTATGGCCACGGTAATAAGGAGTTACAAGAAAGGGAAGAAAGAAAGAGAGAGTGAAAAAAAATGAAAGAAAGAGAGAAAGCAAGACAGAAAGCAGGAAGGAAAGGAAGGAAGGAAGGAGGGAAGGAAGGGAGGGAAGAAGGAAGGAAGGGAAGCAGATGGAGGCATGGGAAGGGAGGAAGGAAGGTTGGAAGGAAGGCAGGAAGGCATGGAGGGAGGGAGGAAGGAAGGGAGGGAGGGAAGAAGGAAGGGAGGCATGGGAAGGGAGGAAGGAAGGTTGGAAGGAAGGCAGGAAGGCAGGAAGACAGGGAGGGAGGGAAGAAGGAAGGAAGGAAGGAAGGAAAAAAAACCTCATTTTTCCATTTAGGAGCCTGTGGAAGGGCATAATACTAATATGAACTGATTGTCACCCGTGACAGAGTCTAGCTAGCTACTTATCATTTTACTGGACAAAAAAATAAACTACCTTTCTCAACCTCCTCTTTTGCCCAAGTGGTATCTACTTGAATGAATGGAAGTGTTACTTGAAGTCCTGTTTTATAAAATCGTCTCGTGTGTGATCTCTCTATTTATTCTCCAGTTCAGATAGTCTCAAAGTGTGGTCCCCAGATGAGCAGTAGCATCACTTGGGACATTGCTAGAAATATAAATTCCTGGGCTCCACTCCAGATCCATGGAATCAGAAACTTTCAGAGTAGGAAAAAATTATTTAACATGCTCTTTGGGTGATTATGGTACACACTAGTTTAAGAACCACTGTTTTACTCATAAGTTAAATGCAAAATCTCTGAGGCCCTAAAGAAAGAGCCACATTGTAGAAGGTACCTGGATTTCTGAATGCCGTGTGGTAGACTATGGCTCTAATCAGAAATATTTTTTTATTGGTCGTTAACCTTAACAAGAGGGAATGTGTCACTTCTAACAAAAATACATTTGTAACAATAGGAATACAGGAGTGACATCCTCAGCCTTTGGTGAGCTCGACTAACTCTTAGTGTCTGTCAACAGTGCTCCTTTTGACATCACATTATAGTTACAGGTGGGGATAGGTGAACAGCCATCTCCTAATGTATAATAAAGAAATAAAGAGGCTAGATATCTGAATATTATTTGACATAATGATTTTAGCAACACACGATTTTAGTTGATTCTAACCATTTCTTTGTCAATTTTATTCATTTTTCTTTTATTAAAATTTGTTTCTGTAGAAATGGAAAGCTCTCCTTGGCCAGTATACATTGGTCAATCCAAGCAAATGATACAATACTTCTCTTATTACTACAGAGAGGTAATAATGACAGTTTTTCACAGAACTCTGAGTAGAAGGCTGATGCTCTTTTTAAAACATTGATTGGCATTACGAGAATGTCTGATGATATAACAGTAAAAAGCTTTAACAAAAAGAATAGGAGGAAGTAGAGGAATAATATAACTCCTTATTTTTTGCTGAAATATACTTTGGATCAGAGCCTAGGTGTGTTTCTCTGCTTATAAAGACTAATTTTTGTTATAAATGGTGAGATAGACATGCCATCTAAAATATTTGCAAAGGCAGATACCAAGCTTTGTTAGGTACATTTTTTATTCCCTGCTGGAAATTGTTAGTTATTTTCTACTTGGCTGTCCCACAAAATACTATAATAGGTGTATTTTCTTTTTTATAACAGGCTCCCACATGCCACCAAGTCAGAAAGTTCTGTACAGGACTGATTATCATGGATAATTAAGTATTGGATTCAAATTACATTTGGTTCAGTAATTACCTTGCTCCTGGGACTTTTGGTAGAATATATCACTCACATAGTTAACAGCTACTTCACAGAACTTGGTGAATTTAGTCTCATTTTGCATGATGATGTACTAATCACTTTTAATCAGTGATTCAAGAAAATTCTGTCTTATTTGAGCTAAGTGTAATGAAACACACCACCTTTCACTTAAAAGTAATTATCATTAATCTTTTATTCAAAGTAAAAGGAGAAAGGCCATTGCCATAAAGTTGAGAACATTTAAAATAAAAATGAGCAATTGAACTGTATTGAAGAAAGAATTGTTGAATGTTCATTGTGAGGTGTATCATTTGGCTTAGCTGCCAGGAAATAATCCTTAAGAAGTAATAAATTACAATTAGCTTGTTAATCCAAGAAGCCCTAATATGCTGTGCTCTGATTTATATAATTACATTAAGTAAAGCCACGTCTATGAAGCACTAACAGCTCTAAATATCCAATATAATTATTAAAAAATTCTCCTGAAACATCTCCATCCTTCAGAACTGAGAAAAAATATCTTAATAATGGAATGTAAAAGGGCTATACATTTGATATTCATCAAAGATCAAATTAGAAAAAATAAAAATACTGCTAAGGGAAGAAAGGCTAAACACCTTTAAACATCACCAGCTTTAAAATAAAAAAAAACAAAGAACACATTTTTTCCCTGAGTTTTTTCATAAGGTTAGTTTAAGAAAATAGTACTTTAGAGATGAGTTTTCAAGAAAAAATCTAAATGTTCTTTTCAGATATCTGCAAACACAGTGAACACGGCAGTTTTATTGGATTCCAGTGAGATAAAACCCAGTAGGAAAACCTTTCTTCTTTTGAAGTTTACTACACTTGACTAGTGTCTTCTGCAGGCAACTTTTCTATATAATATTGAATTTGGAAACAAGTGTCTTTATTTGAAAAGATTCTGTCTTTTTCAAACTCATTGTCTTCTTAACATCCTGTGAAGCTTAGAAAATATTATAATATGCTTAGGTATTTCCCTAAATTGAAAACAAGCCAAAATCTGTCAGTGGCTCCATTTCTAAAGAACTTGTTTGTTTGCTTGTTTTTCTGTATTAGGATCTGCCCTTTGGATTAGGTCTTGAGTTCATTACTTTTACATTTGCATGGGAATCATTAAATCATAAATCACAATTTGTAAAGTTTTGCAAATTGATTGTCTACAATGGTATATTGCATCAAAAAGTAAAACACAGGACAATTGCCAATCCTTTAATTATTTTCTAAATGCTCTGCATTTCATGGAGACATGTTAATGAGAGTTACTAATTAAATAAAATTAAAAGTTAATTTGAATTAGAAAGCTTGCATTATGTGTTTTTACAAGTGGGATCTAAAATGAATATGTAATACTCTAAAATGGAAAAATTGCTAATTGAAATAAATTCAACAGAAAACAGTGGAAGAAGTAAGCAACAGTAGGGTGAAAAAAATCCTAAAACTATATAGAGGAAGAAACTTCATGAATAGTCAAATAAAAGATGAAACATAGTTCATTAGCAGTTAATCATTTGGGAAAACTTTTTCTCATTTGTTGATTATTGTGGACATCCTCTCATTTATGACATGAATTTTGTTTTATGCATATCTTTGCATTTCAACAGTGCTGAGTACATAGATTTTGAAGTAGCATTGTTTTCAATAACAATTTCTTACATTTTCTATAGGAAGTTACATTATACTAAGTCCTTTCATGTGTATTACTTCATTTAATCTCCATAAAGCCAAGATGTCTGAGAAAATGATTGTCTTTCATTTGAATTCTTATCATTGTTTTAAAATTTATATTTAGTTTCTATCCTGAATGATGGGATGACTGCTTAGTCTTTTCTAACAACTGAGGTCATATCAACAACAAATCCAAAATGATGTGTGGGATGGATACTTTCCTGTAGCTTCTTGTTCTAATCTTATATTTCTAATTTAATATTCTCATGTGTATATAGCTAAAAAAGAAACTAGGTGGTTTCATGAAGTGTTGTAATGATCTCTGGACTACAAAGTAGGAGATTAAGGTTATCCTTCCAGATCTTTTAAAATCTAATTTAAATCCTCAAATAACTCACTTGTTTAATATTTTCTACATGCTTAGTTGCTCCCTTACTTGATAAACGCTTTATGTTATTACTGAGTTTCTTTTAGTTTTAAAAACCTATGACTTGAAAACTACCTTTGTATCTTTTAAATATGTGTTCCTTTATTAAAGGGAACAACTATTAAGCTACTGCTAAAAACATATGTTGGAAAAATTAAAATTGTGAACTTTCACCTGTGCATATGAAAAATAAATAACAGAGATAAGAGTCTGACAGTAATTTAGTCTAATGTAACCCATAATTATATCTTGCTTGGCTTACAGATATTTATCAAGCAATTTTACTTAAATGCCAATATTTCAAAGCTTTGAGATTTAACATTTAAAATGTTTATATTTAATATTTCTCGTGAAAATTTAGGAGGCTTAGTTAATATCTGCTCAAGTCTGTTAGTGACTTTACTTAAGGAGAGGCATATATTATCCAGGTTGCCACAGTTCCCACCATGCCTTATTGTTAGCCCCCAAACCCCCTATTCATTTATATTATCTGTCAGTCCCTTACAAGCAGTAGGTTTGCCAACCAACTATACTTTTTAGAAAATAGGTGACCCACAAATTAGAGGATTAGGTTTGCAAACCAAATATCCTATTTAGAAAATAAGACTCCCATATTTGTCTATTTTGGCTTTTGTTGCAACTAAAGAGCTTCTGCACAACAAAAGAAACCATCATCAGAGTGAAAAGGCAACCTACAGAATGGGAGAAAATTTTTGCAATCTAGGCATCTGACAAAGGTCTAATATCCAGAATTTGCAAGGAACTTAAACAAATTTAGAAAAAAAAAACTCCATCAAAAAGTGGGCAAAGGATATGAACAGCACTTCTCAAAAGAAGACATTTATGCGGCCAACAAACATATGAAAATAGCTCGACATCACTGATCATCAGAGAAATGAAAATCAAAACCACAATGAGATACTGTCTCACACCAGTAAGAATAGCAATTATTAAAAACTCAGGAAACAACAGATGCTGGCGAGGCTGTGGAGAAACAGGAATGCTTTTACACTGTTGGCTAAAATGTAAATTAGTTCAACCATTGTGGAAGACAGTATGATGATTCCTCAAGGATCTAGAATGAGAAATACCATTTGACCCAGCCATCCCATTACTGGGTATATACCAAAATGAATATAAATTATTCTACTATAAAGACATATGCACATATATGTTTGTTGCAGCACTATTTACAATAACAAAGGCATTTAACCAACCCAAATGCCCATCAGCAATACACTGGATGAAGAAAATGTGGTACATACACACTGTGGAATACTATGCAGCCATAAAAAGAATGAGATCATGCCCTTTGAAGAGACATGGATGGAGGTGGAAACGATCATGCTCAGCAAACTAACACTGAAACAGAAAAACAAATACCACATGTTCTCACTCATAAGTAGGAGCTGACAATGAGAACACATCGACACAGAGAGGGGAACAACACACACCAGGGTCTATTGGGGGGTTGGGGGCTAAGGGGAGGGAACTTAGAGGATGGGTCAATTGGTTCAGCAAACCCCCATAGCACACATATACCTATGTAACAAACCTGAGTGTTCTGCACATGTATCCTGTGTTTTTAAAAAAGCAATTAAGAAGAAGAAAATAAGACTCCCCTAATCAGATGTAGTAGCTTCTTCAAAATATTTTTAAGAATGAAGAGAGCTGATATTGGCCATTTGACAAACACATTACACATATACATGAGCATGACCCTAAGGAAAAATTATTTTAAGGTATAGAATATAGTATAATTTTTAAAAGATTTTTGTTTCATATATAGCAACCACTCAATAAGTATACCCCTGAAAACAGAAAATTTCTAAGTGAAGATTTCAAAGGGTCTTTGTAGCAAAAGAAACATGAAAATTTCAGAAATCTTAATGTTTCTATCTTAAAATAAATTCTGTTTTGTAATCAGCAAAGAAGATTGCCACAATTAGGTGACTGAACTGTGGCTAAACTAAAAGTATAGGCATATTTGTGCTAAATTTGTAGCATTCTTAAGGTATCATAAAAATGTTAAAAGAATTAAGATTATATAATCATAATTCATTTACACATCCATTGTTCTTTATTTTTACAATAGTTCCATGTGCAACTCCCAGGAGTCAGGCACTCTGCTAGAGATACAACGGTGTGAAATTGTTTCTCCCCAAATGCAAAGGTTTCTGAGAATCCTTAAGAAAAAAATAAGTTAAAATTGGGAAAATTAAGTTCTTAAATGTAAAATTATATTGTATTAATTCATTCTCATGTTGCTGTAAAGAACTGAGTAGTTTATAAAGAAAAGGGGTTTCATTGACTCACAGTTCTGCAGGGCTGGGGAGGACTCAGGAAACTTACAGTCGTGGCTGAAGGGGAAGCAAACACATCCTTCTTCACATGCCAGCAGAAGAGAGAAGTACCGAGCAAAAGAGGACAGGCCCCTTATAAATCATCAAATCTCATAAGAACTCACTATCACAAGAGCAGCATGTAGGTAACTGCCCCATGATTCAATTACCTCCCACTGGGTTCCTCCCATGACACATGGGGATTATGAGAACTACAATTCAAGATGAGATTTGAGTGGGGACACAGCAAAACCAAATCAGATATTTACAGGAGCCAATGCCTGCACCTATGGAAACCTTTTTTTGTATTTTTACAAATACCAAAAATAAAACTAAATATTGTACACTTCATCAACACATCATCAAAGACATCTTACATCTTAAATTATTATAACTAGGCACTATGCAATTAATTCCCAAGTGTTCTCAATCATCAATTAGAACATTTCAGAATACCTCTTTCATGGCTTTTATTAAGACATTAGCAAATTACTTATATATTTAGCAGACACTAGGCACATGAAAAATGTTTTTAAGTTATGTTTCTGTGTTTGATTTCTCATCACGTATTTTTTTCACTTCAGTTATTATGTCACTGTACTCTGAGTCAGACTTGGAATTATTTGGATTACTGGCTTAAAGGAGAGAACAGTAAGCCATCTACTGTCCTTGAAAACATTTTTGATTTGTATATTAAAAAACGAAAAAAAAAAACTGCACAAAAGCACAAGTAGTGGACTCCTTTCCACATTTCTCATCAACCTTCCTCCTTTGCAGTAAAGCATCATTAGAATGGTTAGCTTTTCTTTCTACCATCTTCCATTATATTTCCCAAGTTTTAACTGAAGAACTACTGTTTATATATTATGTCTTTTCTTCCACCGTTATCCCAAGACCCAGTCCCTTAATTTTATAGTTTCCACAAGAACAACATACAATACTAGACTCAATTTTCTTATGGTCTTATTCTTATTACCAAATAAGAATATATTCTTATTATATATATAAGAATATATTCTTATTACCAAAATATTATACATCAATTAACTCACAAATCCTATAATTTTCTATGAGGGATAATCACAAAAAAGATGGAATTATCTTATGAGGTAAAATACCCACCTTAAGAATCTTTATCCCTGAGGAATCGCCACACTGACTTCCACAATGGTTGAACTAGTTTACAGTCCCAACAACAGTGTAAAAGTGTTCCTATTTCTCCACATCCTCTCCAGCACCTGTTAATTCCTGACTTTTTAATGACCACCACTCTAACTGGTGTGAGATGGTATCTCACTGAGGTTTTGATTTGCATTTCTCTGATGGCCAGTGATGATGAGCATTTTTTCATGTGTCTTTTGGCTGCAGAAATGTCTTCTTTTGAGAAGTGTCTGTTCATATACTTTGCCCACTTTTTGATGGGGTTGTTTGTTTCTTTCTTGTAAATTTGTTTGAGTTCATTGTAGATTCTGGATATTAGCCCTTTGTCAGATAAGTAGATTGCAAACATTTTCTCCCATTCTGTAGGTTGCCTGTTCACTCTGATAGTAGTTTCTTTTGCTGTGCAGAAGCTCTTTAGCTTAACTAGATCCATTTGTCAGTTTTGGCTTCTGTTGCCATTGCTTTTGGTGTTTTAGACATGAAGTCCTTGCCCATGCCTATGTCCTGAATGGTATTGCCTAGGTTTTCTTCTAGGGTTTTTATGGTTTTAGGTCTAACATTTAAGTCTTTAATCCATCTTGAATTAATTTTAGTATAAGGTGTAAGGAAGGGATCCAGTTTCAGCTTTCTACATATAGCTAGCCAGTTTTCCCAGCACCATTTTCTAAATAGGGAATCCTTTCCCCATTTCTTTTTTGTCAGGTTTGTCAAAGATCAGATAGTTGTAGATATGTGGCATTATTTCTGAGGGCTCTGTTCTTTTCCACTGGTCTATATCTCTGTTTTGGTACCAGTACCATGCTGTTTTAGTTACTGTAGCATTGTAGTATAGTGTGAAGTCAGGTAGCGTGATGCTTCCAGCTTTTTTCTTTTGGCTTAGGATTGACTTGGCAATGCGAGCTCTGTAGTGATTCCTCAGGGATCTAGAACTAGAAATACCATTTGACCCAGCCATCCCATTACTGGGTATATACTCAAAGGATTATAGATCATGCTGCTATAAAGACACATGCACACGTATGTTTGTATGTTTGTTGTGGCACTATTCACAATAGCAAAGACTTGGAACCAACCCAAATGTCCAACAACGATAGACTGGATTAAGAAAATGTGGCACATATACACCATGGAATACTATGCAGCCATAAAAAATGATGAGTTCATGTCCTTTGTAGGGACATGGATGAAGCTGGAAACCATCATTCTCAGCAAACTATCACAAGGACAAGAAACCAAACACTGCATGTTCTCATTCATAGGTGGGAAGTGAACAATGAGAACACATGGACACAGGAAGGGGAACATCACACACTGGGGCCTGTTGTGGGATGGGGAGAGCGGGGAGGGATAGCATTAGGAGATATACCTAATGTTAAATGACGAGTTAATGGGTGCAGCACACCAACATGGCACATGTATACATATGTAACAAACCTGCACATTGTGCGCATGTACCCTAAAACTTAAAGTATAATTAAAAAAAAGAATCTTTATACTTGGGAAGCAGAAGTAGATGACTTCAAATACTATATATATTTTAACAATAAAATATTTCATAAATGTAAACAAGTGACAGATTCATGTGTATCTTGCCATATTTTTGTCACTGTTTTTAACTGGCATATAGGGATATGGCTGTAGAGATATGGAAGGATAAAATATACTTTTATATATTAAACTTATATCCCATGACCTTCCTACATCCATTTTTAAATTTGTAATTGACATAAATTATGCATATTAAATTGTAAAATTTGATATTTTGGCATCTGTGTACACTACTGAAACCATCACCACAATGTGGAAAAGAAACGTATTCATTGTACTGAAAACTTTTCTCATATCCCTTGTAATCTCTCATTCTACCTCCCAGACTCCTCCTTCATATCCAGGCAACAACTTGCATTTTCTAGGGTTCTATTTAAATAAAATTTTACATTATGTACTGTTCTGTTTATAACTTTTTCACTTACAATAATGTCCTTTATATTTATCAATGCTTTAGCATAATATTGATAGTTCATTGTATTTTATTCTTGAATAGTATTGCATTGTATGGATATAACACAATCTGTTTTTGCATTCATCTCTTGGTAAATATTTGTTATTTTTTTCCTCCAGTTTTTGGCTCTTACAAATAAAGGCTCTATAAACATACATTTACAAGTCTTTGAATGGACATATGCTTCCATTTCTTTTGTTTAAATACTAGTCAAATGGTTGAGTCATATGGCAGATGAAGATTTAATATGGTTGTACAATTTCACACTCTGATTTACTGTGTATAAGAATTCCATCTGTTCTACATTCATGACCTCTACTTGATATGGTAAGTATTTTAATTTTAGCTATTCTAGGTTTATAAAACACTAGGTTTATAGTGTTGGATTGTTGTGGCTTTAATTTAAATTTATTCAGTGATTATATTGAGAATCATTTCATGTCTTTGTCATCTTTAAATTCTTTGGTGAGTGTTTGTTCAAATTTTTACCCATTCCTTAATTGATTGTTTTCTTATTATTGAGTTTTAAGGGGTCTTTGTAAATTCTGAATTTAAGACCTTTATCACATATGTGGTTTTCAAACATTTTTCTTTCAGTCAATGGCTTGTCTTTTAATCTTCTTAACAGCATCTTTTAAAGAGTAGATTCTTCTAATATTAACTCAGTGAGACTGGTAATATTTCAATACTAAAACAAATACATTACAAAAATAATTATAGACAAATATCACTCATGATCATAGATGCAAAAGTCTCTAACAAAAGTATTAGCAATAAAATTCACATATATAAAAAAGAAAATATACCATTACCAAGTGGAGTTTACATTAGAAATGAAAGGAGTCCTTGGTTGAATGGTATTCCCCGCAAATTCCTATATACATAAAATTTTAGAATGTGACCTTGTTTGGAAAGAGGGTCTTTGCAGATGTAACTAGTTAAATTAGGATGAGGTCATACTGCTTTTGGGTGGGTGCGGAATTCCGTGACTGGTGTCCTTAAAAGAAGGATATGCAGAGACGCAGACACAAGTCAATGAAATGTGGCCATTTCCACAGAGGGAGGAATTGGAGTGATACCACTTGCTGTAGAAGAAGGAACACTAATTATTGCCAAGAAGCTACCACAAGCTAGAAAAAAGGAGGCAAACACTCTTCCTGAGAATCTTTAAAGAGAATGATCTTGTTGATAATTTAATATTGAACTTGTAGCCCCAGAATTGTGCTAGAATTTCTGTTGTTTTAAGCAACCCAGTTTGTAGTAGTTTGTTATAGTAGCCCAAGGAAACTAATATATAAAGATAATTCAACATTTGAAAATCAATGTGATTTATCATATTCACAAGTGAATAATTAAAGCTATATAATCATCTCAATCTGTGCAGAAAAGGCATTTGACAAATTTGTGATTAAAAATTCTCAGGAAACTAGAAAAAGAGGGGTACTTTATTTTCCTGTAGTGGGATCTTTAAAAACTTACAGATAACATCATAATTAATTGTTCAAGACAGAAGGCTTTCAGCACCATCCCCACCTCCAAAGACTACTGACCAAGAAAGGATGACCTTTCTTACCACTTGCTGTAATTTGAATGTTTGTCCTCTCCAAATCTCATGTTGAAATTTGATCTCAATTGCTGGATGTGCAGTCTACTGGGAGGTTTTGGATTATGGGGGTGGATCCTTCATGAATAGCTTTATTTCCTTCCTGGGGAAAGCAGATGAGTGAGTTCTTGCTCTATTAGTTCTTGCTTGAGCTGGTTGTGAATAAGAGCCTATCACCTCCCCTCTCTCTCTCTTACTTCCTCTTTCATGATGTGATCTCTGCAAATACCAGCTCCTTTTGTCTCCTTCCATGAGTGAAAGCCTAAGGCGTTTGCCAGAAGCTGAGCTAACACCACTGCCATGCCTCTTGTGTCCTGCAGAACTATGAGCCAAGTAAACCTCTTTTCTATATAAATTACCTAGCCTCAGATATTCTTTTATAGCAACACAAAATGGACTCAGGCATCGCACTTATTCAATGTCATCTGGAAATTGTAGCCAGTGCAAAAGGCAAGAAAAAATAATAAAAGGCATACATATTAGATATTATGAAATAAGAAAGAGGAGCAGGAATATGGTGGAGTAGGGCTCTCTAGCCATCATCCACTCACAGAAACATCAATTTTTAACAGCTCTACACATGATAAAATACCTTCACAAAAGCTAAGGAAACCAGATAAGATATCTCAGCACCTGGTTTTAGCACAATAATTTAAAAAGATGAATTGAGGAGGATAGCAAGGACAGTTTTATGTTACCCATGGCACCCCTCCCACAACTCCAGGCAGCACAGCACATAGAGAACTACTGTCTGCTCAAGGGAAAAGAGAGAAGTGAGCACAGAACTTTGCCTTGATCCCTAACACTGGGCCCACGTCAGTAAAACTTAGTTCTGGGCAGAGGCCCATGGACTCATATTCTAGGCCAGTACACATGGATTGAACTGCTAGACCTTCTCTGGCTCCAGGCACATTCACACAGCCCCAGGCTTTAGGATTGTGCAGTAGGCTTGATGTCTACTGGGCTGATGTCAGCAGCACTGCATTCCAAGCAGCCCTCAGCATCAGACAGTACACCGTGGTTCCAGGCATCTGACTAACCTTAGCATCACATCTGCCATAAGAGGCCCAGGATTCTTGCAATGCTGTACCAGGACTTGATGGTTTTACTGCCAAATTCTATGAAACATTTAAAAGAACTCATACCAATTATTTTCAATTCTTCAAAATCAAAGAGAAGGGAATACTTTCAAACTCATTTCACAAGGCCAGCGTAACCCTGATAGCAAAGCTAGAAAAAGATGCTATAAAAGAAGAAAATAGCAGGCCAATGTCTCTGATAAAACTAGATGTGAAAATCTTTAATGAAATATTAGCAAACTGAATTTAATAAAACATTAAAAAGATAATTCACCATGATCAAATGGGATTCATCTCAGGAATGTAAGGATAGATAATTCAACATAGGCTAATCAGATGTCATATATCACATTAATAGAATGAAGGACATAAACTATATAATCATTTCCATAGATGCAGAAAAAAAGTTTGACAAAATTCAACATTCTTTTATGATAAAAGCTCTCAATGACTTAATTATATAAGGAATGCAATTAAGGCCGTATATGGCAAACCCACAACTCAGCGAAAATTAAACAATTTCACTCTAATATCTGAAAAAAGACAGGGATGCCTATCATCTCTTCTATTTAGTAAAATACTGGAGGTCCTAGCCAGAGCTATAAAGCAAGGGAAAGAAATGAAAGGCAAGGGAAATAAAAGAAATCTAAACAGGAAAGGAAGAAATTAAATTACCCGTATTTTCAGACAACATGATTATATATGTAAAAAATCTCTTAAGACTCTACTAAGAAGCTCTTAGAACTAATAAGCGAATTCAAAGTTGCAGGATACAAAATCAACATACAAAAGCTAGTAGTATTTTTATACACAAACAACAAACTATCCAAATAAGAAATAAAAAAAAATCCATTTACCACAGCTACAAAAATAATAAAATACTTAAGAATAAATTTAACCAAGGAGGTAAAAGATTACTACAATGAAATCTATAAAACATTGATGAAAAAATTGAGAAAGACATAAGTAAATAAACAGATACCTTTATCTATTAAATAAATTAATAGATAACTTGTGTTCATGGAATGGAATAATAAATATTGTTAAACTACCCATATTACTCAAGCTATCTACAGATTCAATACAACCCCTATTAAAAAGCCAATGACATTTTTCACAGAAATAGAGTATATAAGCCTAAAATTCATATGGAACCACAAAAGACCTCAAATAGCCAAAGCAATTATGATCAGAAAGAACACAGTTGGAGGCATCACACTACCTGACTTCAAAATACACTACAAAAACAAAACAGCATGGTATTGGCATAAAATCAGACACATAGGCCAATAAAACAGAAAAGACAGCCAGAAATAATCCAAGCATTTACATTCAACTGATTTTCAACCAAAAATCAAGAACACACAACAGAGAAAGAACAGTCTTTTAAATAAATGATGCTCAGAAAGCAATATCCAAATGCAGAAGAATGAAATTAGACATTTGTCTCATCCCATAAACAAAAATTTACTCAAAATGTAGCAAAGGTTTAAATGCAAGACCCAAAACTATGAAAGCACTAGAAGAAAACAGAGGAGAAATGCTCTATGACATTGATCTGGGCAATAACTTTTTGGAAATAACCCAAAAGCTCGGGGAATAAAAGCAAAAATAGACAAATAGGATCAAACTAAAAAGTTTCTGCACAGAGAAGAAAAAAAATTATCAGAATGAAGAGACAATCTATAGAATTGGAAATATGTTTGCAAACTATATGTCTAATAAGGGGTTAATACTCAGAATATGTAAGAAACTCAAGCAACTCAATGGTAAGAATACAGATAGCCTAATTACAAAATGAGCAAAGGACTTCAATATACATTTTTCAAAAGAATATGTACAAATGGCCAATAGGTATATGAAAAAAAATCTTTAACATCACTAATGATCAGGGAAATTTAAACTAAAACAACAGTGAGATATTACCTCACATCTTTTAAAATGACTATTGTAAAAAATAGATAACAAGTGTTGGCATGGAAGTAGAAAAAAGGTAACCTCTCCACATTAACCATTGGAAAATGAATTAATACAGCCATTATGATAAACAGTATGAATGTCCCTCAAAAATTAAAACTAGAACTACCATGTGAGCCATCAATGCCAATACTAGGTGTATATTCAAAGGATATGAGATCAGTATATTGAAGACTTATCTGCACTTTCATCTTCATTGCAGCACTCTTCACAATAGCCAAGATATGGAATCAACCTAAATCTCCATCAATGTATGAATGGATATAGAAAATGTGGTATATAAATATATATATATAAACACAATAAAATATTATTCAATCATAAAAAGGAGGAAATCCTGCTATTTCCACCAATACAAATGAACGTGGAAAACATTGTGTTAAGTGAAATAAGCCAGACAGAAAAAGACCAAAGGATCTCACTCATATGTGTTATCTAAAAAGTTGATATCATAGAAGTACAGAATCGAATTGTAGTTACCAGGGGTTGTGGTGACTGGTGAGGAGAAGGGAAGGGGTCAGGAAGACATTGGTCAAAGGATAAAAACTTTCCATTGGAATAAACCCAAGAGGTCTATTATACAACATGGTGACTATATTTAATGATATATTGTATTCCTGAAAGATGCTAGGAGAATAGATGTAAAGTGTTCTCACCACAAAAATGATAAATATGTGAGATAAGCCATAGTCATTCCCATATATATACATATAGGAATGACTATATACATATATACATGGAGAGAGAGAGAGAGAGAGAGGAATGACTATATATATATATGAATGACTATATATATATATGAATGACTATATATGTATATATATATATATATAGGAATGGCTATTTTGAACATATATATGCTTCAAAAAACCATGTTGTATATAGTAAATATGTATAGTTTTTTCATTGTAAAAAATAAAAATAAAAAAATGTAGAAATAAAACTCTCTTTTCACAGCAGATTTGCACATCTCTATAGAAAATTTCAAAAAATTTACAAAAAAATCCCAAAACTAGTAAGTAAATGTAGTAAGTTTGCAGGATCCAAACTCAATACATGAAAGTCCAATATATTCCCACATAGTGTACAGTGGTATCCCTATATGCCAGCTGAGTTCAATGGTATAGGGTGGTACAACTATGAAAAAATGTTATTATTTCCTAACTTATTTTTACTTAATAAAATATCTCATGCATAAAATGTTATAGAGACTAATATAGTGAATGCCCATGTGACTCAGCCATGCACCTTAAGATACAATATATTACAGATTCAGTTAAATGCCATGGTAAATTCCTCCCCATTCCTATTTTATCCTTTCTCAGAGTTTACTACTATTTCAAAGTTAGAGTCTACCATTTCCACATTTTAAAAATAATTTTGCTACATAAATGCTTATAGACCAACAGCAAATAAAATTGTTTAACTTGTAATAACAATTTATATAAATGTTTATATATATATAACAATTTATACTGAATTTTTCCTTTTTCAACTAGATTATTTTACTCACTATTATATTGGAGAGTTTTAATAATATGGATGCAGATAGCTTTGTTCATTTATTTTAATCAGGTTATAGTATTTAATTGCATGAATATATATATACAAGTTATATATCTGTTCTGTAGATAAGCTTTAAGGATTTTTTTTCCAATTGTTCACTATTGCAAAAAGCGCTACAGTGAACAGTCTTTGACTTATTTTGTTCTGCACATGGGTAAGAATTTCTCTAGAGCAATTATTCTCAGAATGTGAGCACTGACCACTAGCTTGCATATCACCTGGAAGCTTTATGGAAATGCAAATTATTGGGCCTGACCTCAGCCCTACTGAATTAAAATCTTTGGTGATAAGAACAGCATTTTGTGTTTTAGCAAGCCCTCTGGTTTGTTCTAATGCAGACTAAAGTTTGCTGACCCTTGCTTGGAATTACTGCATTGAAACACACACATACTCATTTTATCATATATATATATATATATATATATATATATATATAATTCTTTATTTATTGGTACTATCTGTTTATATTCTAGCTATTTATATATGAGAGCCCTGTTTGATTCATATTATCTCCAAGACCTAATTGTCAATTTGGTGTGTGTGAAATGACATTTTCTTTTAACTTACATCTACCTGATTCTAAGTAAAATGGAACTTTTTTAATACATGTGTTAGCCATTCAACTTTTTTCTTGTGTGAATTATTCATATTATTTGCACATATTTTAAAAATTGAGGCTTTTGGCTTTTTCTTATTGATTTTTGAGATTCCCTGTTTAATTTGGAGAATGATTTGTATTCACTTATTTTTGTTACTTATATTTGTTCTTAGTGCTTCCTAACTTTTCACTTTGTTAATGGCATATTTTGATGTTACATTGAGTTTCTTACCATTAGATTACAAACATTTTTCTAAGTTAACACATACATCTAATACACTTTATGGATATAACTATGTTAAAATTTATTAAAGCATTCTTTTACTGACAGATGCATAAGATCCCAGTTGCAACAGATGACGCACTCAAGCTGAAGATAATTTAATAAAAGGATTACTTACAAAGCAGTTTGAAACAACAACAAAAAAGGGATAGTAACTCTAGGAAGCTGGTATCACCAGGAAACCTGAATGGGCGAGAGAAGGGAGCAAATCAGAAACCAAAGACAACAGCACGAAGAGTGATTTTTGATAACAGCTGAGGCCTTTGGTAGAGGGACAAAACCAACCCCTGGAAATGTAGGAAGTCTGGGAAATAAATGTCATGGGCCTGTGCTTCTCTTTTGATTTTCTTCACTGTCTAAAGGTCTCCAAGAAATTACCTAATGTAATTCCCGTAGGTCAGTCTTTTACAGCACAGAACAAGGGAGAAGAATAGAGAAAGGAATTGGCGTGTAAATGGCAGATGACTATCCCATTTTTAATTTTTTTCTTCATTATACAAACAGTGTTGCAATAGCACTCTTGTTTATTTCCATATAATATATTGGTACTTTTATATTGCATGATTTACCATCAAAATTGGGATTGTGGAGTCAAATGTATTCTGTCTCTCTTTCCTTCAGTTTAAAGAGATGATTGTGCCACTGTGCTTCGGCATGGACAACAGAGGGAGACCCTGTCTCTGAAACAAACAAACAGTAATGTCAGATTTCTTACCCTAAAAAGTCGCAGTTAACACTCTGATACGCAATTTATGAGAATATTTGTGATATTTTAAATTATTCCAATAACTTTTTTAAAATTTGTGGGTGATGTTGGCCATAGTTCATTGACAATTCACATTTCTTCTTATGTAAATGACCTGCGCAGATACTGTTTGCATTTTTAAATTAATTTTTTCTTATCATTTGCTAAGTGTGTAGGCATGTTACTGATATTAACACTGTTGATTACCATAAAAGTTGCACATATTGTCTTCTGGTTTGTGGTTTTGCTTTATTTAAAGTGATGAATGTATAGAAGAGAAATGCTGAGGAAAGATATCTAATATTAATGTTTCAGGTGATTTTGTTATCTATTGGATTCTAGCTATAGATATTTCTAATTGGCGTAACATGACTCTAGCCTACACTATTTAGTAGAATAAAACTTTGTGATGTCAGTGAAAGAGAGCAATTCAACTTTATTAGTACTATGGTCTGATGCCTAGAAAAATAATATTGGACTTTTGTAGAACCGACTAATGGAAGTGAAAAAGAAGCAATGAAGTTTTCATAAATGTCAAGAGGAAAGTATTCTCAGTATACCATTTCTCATTCTGAGGGCATTAATGCCAGAGCGATTTGTTCTATAAATCAGACCCCAGTCTAACTCTCATTTCAAAATGCAATTAATAATTGACAGCTAAATAGGGGCGGAAATTTTTGGATTATTTGTAGGACATCTCTTGTTGCATTGTCTTACCTATAATTTTCACTGAGGTCAACAGGAGTTTTTTGCTGATGTGAGGAAAAGAGGCTGAAACATCTTCAGTCACTAAAATTTTCATGTTTACTAAATGAATTATTTTTTCTCTCTCTCCAGAGAGTTCAGTCAGTTCATAAAAAAGTGAAATAAGGTTAAATTAAAAATAAATCCTGCTGAAAAAGTCAAAAGTAATGAAAAGATGTACATACAATTTTGCTATATTTAATATACTTCTTGGGACTAAACAATATATTTGCTTTTAAGATTCGTGATAACCAGAGAAAATCAGAAAATACAATGACATTAATAGCTCTTTATTTTGAAAAGAAAGGAACTTAGCATGTTCTCTGGAAAGATAAGAATTTTCCTGTAAATGAATTCTAAATAAGTTTGAGATGGATTTTTTTTTTTCTAGTGAGATTGTACCTTTAGCATTAGTCCTTAAAAATCACTCCCATTTTTATTCTTTGGCTCAGTAAAATTATGGAATTATTTAAACATTTCAAAAGGCCATCTTCTGTTTATCTGAGGAGTGTTTATTAAGATGCCTTTGTTTTTTGTGGGTTCCTTTTAAGCTATTTCAGTAATATTGGGAAGAAGACAAGGTTAAGGAATTTCAGAAATGCATCATTTCTATGTTCATCCAGTTGTTAAGAGAAGAGCAGAAGCAAAACAAGTACATACAATAATTATGTAATGCTCCAAATAAAATCTCAAATAGGATGCATTTTTCTTACTGAAAATATGAATGATGCTCCTTATTTTGGACATTTTTCAGCTTTTCCTATTACTTCAATGTTTGCATTTATAGAGATGTATTTGGAAAAGCTAATTGATACTTATTATTAGACAACACAATTAGCAGACAGGAAAGCATAAAAAAGATTACAAAAGAATGAATTTTATGCTGAGTTAAATTACATGGCAGGAGGTGAAATAAAAATAAAAAGGCAAACACATACAGATGAGGTGTAAAGATTAAGCATTAGCCAGAGTAAAGGTGTTCATAAGCCAGAAGAAGAACACAGAGTATTTGTACATAGTAACAGCCTATTCACACTGTATTTGTTATGCAGCATTTTCTTTGATCATTATTTTCATAATACTCTTTAAAATAAGTGTAGAATAAAAAGAGAAGAAGAATAAGAATAATCTTATTCTTACTTATTAGGTATCAAACAATTTTCTTGGTGATTTACCTGCAATTATCATATCTAATCTTTAATAGTCTCTATGAACTGAGTGTTGCCATTATTCTTATTTTATACATAAATACACTTAGAGAGGTTAAACCACATACTTGAGATCACACAGATAGTAAAAGGCAAAGCCTGGATTTACTAACTCCAGAACGTGGATGCTTATTCACAATACTGTACAGTTTTCTCAAAAATTCTTCCTGGCTGGAGATTGTATTCCATTTCAATCATGTTTTCTTATTCAGTACTCATCAGTCTGCCGATTGCGCGTTGTTATCACTATATTATAGAAGAGGAACTTAATAGGGGTCCTTTCTTTCTTGCCATAAAGCAAGTTAGATAAGCCATAGATCCTACTGAATCATAGAATAACCATAAAAAGATATATCTACTATTCTAGTATTATGTATAGAATATGAAGAGAAGAAAATTTAAAAAGAAAAAAGGAGAAGCTTGTAAGAGGAACTACACCTGCTATTACTGATTTGGATTAAACAACTAAATAGAGAAATTACTGGGCCAAGGCAAATAGGTTCTTCTTTTGAGTTTCTATAGCGATTCTGTATGTATTACAAATATAGCACTTAAATTGAATTGCAGTAATTTATTTATGAGTCTAGAATCTGTTAAAACAGTGGAAAGGACCATACTTTTTTAAAATTGTAAATTCCAGAATATGTTAAAATGTCAAATATATATAAAGTACTTTATAATACTGTCAATTATATAATTGACTGAATAAATTAATGAATGACAACGTCTAGAATCAGTAGATCTTTGATGTCTGTGTTGATACATTAGATATTTATGTCATATTATCAAAGACTGAGAATGGATAAGCTAGATGGGAGTCTTAATGGGTACACCTAGACCAAGACCAAGCCACAGAATTTACAAAAGTATCCCAGTAAGGACAGGTAACAATATGGGTGTATCTTGGGCAATAGAAATTAAAGCATGGGTTATCTTGACTCAATCTGAAGGAATTACATATGGAAAGGCATGGGTAGAAAAAAAGAAACTGTGTCATTCTCATGATTAAAACTAGGATATAAGTTGCTAGCCAGATGAAAGAGGTATTTGGGGAAATTTTTCCCAAATGAATACATACAAAATTAGATAACACAATATAATATGATTACTCTCTGGAAACCGACTTGGAAACAGCGTCTTATACAGGATATGAGAGGAGAGTTAAATAGCCAATTGTGGCTAATATGGATTCCAATATCATCTTTGAGTAATGTTTATTTATATACCCTGTTATTCATTCATCCAAAAAAAAATTTAATTGACATATCGCTTAGTCTTACACACCATCCAAACTGCTGGAAATACAACAATGAACAAAATAGAAAAAGAATGCCTCATGGTCTTAACTCTAGTGGTGAGAGATACACGGTAAGGATAAGTATAAAGAAAACATCGATATGTCAGATCATGATAGATGATATAGAGAGAAATAAAGTAGATGAAGGGGATAGGGAGTATTGGAGAGAAAAAAAGATAATTCTAATATAATTAAGATGTTTAGGGAAGGCTTCAGTGAGGAGACTTGTATGCAAACCTCAATAAAAAGAGAAAACTAGCAGCACAGCCCTCTGGGTTAGCAAATGCAAAAGTCCTGAGGCAGAAACATGGTATCTCTGAGGACAAGAACATACTAGAAATGCTGATGTGGAAAGATCTAGGGAAAAGAAGGCAGATATAAAATTATCAAGAAACTAAAAGCCAAATCTAGTTGAGACCTGGGGAAGAATGGGTTGTGCAGAGGCCTGCAACCCATTGTCTCCTTTTACTGAGAAACATCTGTGGAAAATAAGATTAACCAGTCAAATCTGCTTGCAAAGATGCCAGTAACAAAACTTTCTGGCAAACAAACTATCTGTATTTGCTAGTGAGAGAATCCTTGTCTATGGAATGCTTTCAGCAGAATGTACCTACTATATAAAGAATTGCAGAGAATAAACAAACTTGGAATTGATTTATAGGGCATAGTTCTAGGAAAAAATGTCATGAACTTGAGAAGAATGTAGAGATATTTCATTAACCAAATGAAAGACTGAGCAAAGCTGCATATTTTACTTGGGGATTTCATATATTTATCTGCACCAGAGAAAATCCTGTTGTAGTGAGAAAGGACATGGGGAGCTGTGCCCTAGACCTTTCCTTGCTTTACCTGTGCCTCACAATTCCTTTTGTCCTTGAAAGCATTAGTAAAGCTTGACGCTAAGACCCCTGATTCACATGAGTCTGATTTTTCCAGTCTGACCTGTTGTGTTATCTAAGGACTTTAGAGCAGCTACTGTGAGGATTTTGACTCTTTCTCTGAATGAGATGTGAAGTTACTGGAGAGTTTTCAACAGAGAAGTAAAATCATATGATTTAAAATTTAAATTGGAGAACAGACTGTAGAGAAGCAAATAAACAGGGAAACAGTATTGCAACAATGTAAATGGAAACTTGTGGTGGTTTGGATCAAAACTGTAGCAGTAAATGTGGTAATAAGTGATTGATTTGGGGGTACTATGGCATAGTGGCTATCCCGGATGACGAGATTCAAATTATAGCTCAATAGAAGAAATCTATAAGTACCATTGTTAAATAAACAATACAGTCATTCTAGAGAAGGACACAGAGCTATAACAGCCAGGAAGTTAATTCATTAAGATTAAAGTGACAAGAGATGATATCCTAAAAGACATATTTGAGAAAATGTGGACAAATATTAAATACTAATATTAGTACTCAGACAGTAGTAATAATGAGCAGCAGACCTGAAGGAGAATTCTGATGCTAGCGTAGGTTCAGTTTCTCTTTGCTCACTTTCTAATTTTGTGTGTGTGTAGGAATGGCACAGAGTGAGTTTACACTTGGAAAAATAATTCACATTTAAGTTTAAGGTCATTTATTTTTATTTCTGAATATTCCATTGGATGAACACACCATCATTTGATCATCCTTTCATCTATTGATAGACATTTGCAATATTTTCAATGTTTAGTATTACAAATAAAGGTGCTATTAACATTTATGTACAAGTTTTTGTGTAGACATATAGGATTTATATTCCTTTTCAAAATGTGCTCTTATCTCCCATGACCACCTTTTCATATTTTGTTTGTTGATTTAAGAATGACTTTCATTTTAGGTGTCTATTTTAGATTGATCTTAGGGCTGCTTCTAACTCCCCTCTTTTCTGTGATGTTTTTATATGGGCTGCACTGACTCTCCATGCATTGAGAGAGTGCTTTCCATGATTACAGGTAATTTAAAGATTGGGCATTTTCTACCTTTTAGTTATCCTGTGTGTTTTGCCTCATTTGTTCTCTTTATCATTTTTTGAAGGGTGTGTTGGAAGATTTCAATTAAATGTTCAGCATTACTTTGGATACCAACTCTAAAGGTGTAAAGAGGCCAGTCACGGTGGCTCACACCTGTAATCCCAGCACTTTGGAAGGTTGAGGTGGGCAGATCATCCGAGGCTGGGAGTTCGAGACCAGCCTGGCCAAAATGGTGAAACCCCCTCTCTACTAAAAATACAAAAATGTTAGCCAGTGTGGTGGCGCACGAATGTAATCCCAGCCACTCTGGAGGTTGAGGCACGAGAATCGCTTGAACCTGGGAGGTGGAGGTTGCAGTGAGCTGAGATCGTGCCATTGCACTCCAGCCTGGGCAACAGAGTGAGACTCTGCCTTAAATAAATAAATAAATAAATAAATAAATAAATAAATAAATAAATAAAGTACAGAGAGGGAGAGTGTGATAGGTGCTATTATTCCCCCCCACACACCGGCCCCCCCGCAAAGATATTAGGTCCTAATTTCTGGGAACTGTAAATGTCACCTTATAAGCAAAAAAGGACTTTTAAAGATGTGATTAAGTTAAGAATTTTGTGATGAAGAGATTATCCACTTGGGTCCTAAATGTAATCATAAGAGAGAGGCAGAGCAGTATTTGACAAACACACAGAGGAAAAAGGTGTTGTGAAGACAAAGCAGGGGGAGATTTGAAGATGCTGACCTTGAAGATTAGAGCAATGGTCCACCATAAAAGGAATGCCGCCAGCCACCGGAAACTGGAAGAGGCAATAAACAGATTTTCCCCTAAAGCCTTAAGAGGGAGCACTTTGATTTTGGCCCAGTTATACTTATTTGGAATGTCTGGCCTCCAGAACTGTGAGAAAATAAATTTCTGTTGTTTACCACCCACTCGAGGTAATTTGGTACAGCATCCACGGGAAGCTAATGCAAACACTTTTTTTAAAAATGTAATTACCTTTCCTAAGGCTTGAAGATAGTAAAGAAAATGCAAAAAAAAAAAAAATGTAAACCTCAGATATTAGTATCTATCCCCTTAATGGCCACTCAACTTGATCATTTATAGACAGTTATTACAGTTTTCCTCCATCTACATGCTGGTATTCCGTTACAGAGAACCTGTCCTATCAGACAATAGGGGATCAATATATATGATACGGTTTTGCACTGTGTCCCAATCCAAATTTCATCTTGTAGCTTCCATAATTTCCATGTATTGTGGAAGGGACCCGGTGGGAAATGATTGAATTATGAGGGTGAGTCTTTCCCGTGCTGTTCTCGTGACAGCAAGTAAGTCTCTCGAGATCTGACAGTATCATAAGGGGGAGTTTCCCTGTCCAATCTCTCTCTTTGCCTGCTGCCACCCACATAAGATGTGACGTGCTCCTCCTTGCCTTCTGCCATGATTCTGAGGCCTCCCCAGCCACGTGGAACTGTAAGTCCAATTAAACCTCTTTCTTTTGTAAATTGTCCAGTCTCAGGAATGTCTTTATCTGCACCGTGAAAACAGACTAATACAATATATTTGAGAGATGTTGCATGATTGTGTTCTCTTCTGGTATATTCTCTAGCTCCTATTCCAGTACCCCAACATTATCTCATGGATTATATAAGAGTCACCCAAAACAAACCAGCACAAGAAGGTTGCATCATAATCATCTCTTCAGAGAGGCACCCTCTACTAGTGAAGTGACCTATCAACATCATTGTGTAGAAGGATGAATTTAATAATCTGAAACACCTGTACTTGGGTTGTTTTACTGACTCGGGTCTTCATTAAGTAAATAATTAGGTGACACAATTTTATGTTTAACAAATCATCCTCCACTAGGATCAATTAAGAAGTGTATATCAAAGACAATTTCCAGTTTCCACACTTATTACCAATAAGAAATCAATGATATTCTAATCTAGCTGAAGACCAGCATGGTTCCACTATAAGAAGTATCCTACTGCTTCTTCTTTCTCCCTTAATTCACTCATAATACAACTAGTATTTAAGAAAAAAATAAGATTAAGCAGATATGACTAAAACAAATGAAGAGAGACTTATGTGTGTGCATATGTGCGGAATTCCCATTTATTCATGTTTGTATTTGTAAAGAAAATCCCAAAAATATAACAGAAGAAAATAAGATGTGGCTAGCATGCATGCAATCAAGAAATAGTTCCAAAATACTGTAAGTATGTGGGAAAATATAGTCACCTTAGTGTTTAATAATAATTTTCATTTAGCTAATGTTTTTAGTCTATTCTCTAAAGAGAATATCCTATCTCTAAAGAGATAGGATAGGCAATACCATTCAAGACAGAGGCATGGGCAAAGACTTCATGACTAAAACACCAAAAGCAATGGCAACAAAAGCCAGAATTGACAAATGGGATCTAATTAAACTAAACAGCTTCTGCACAGCAAAAGAAACTATCATCAGAATGAACAGGCAACCTACAGAATGGCAGAAAATTTTTGCAATCTATCCTTCTGACAAAGGGCTAATATCCAGAATCTACAAAGAACTTAAACAAATTTACAAGGGAAAAACAAACAACCCCATCAAAAAGTGGGCGAAGGATATGAACAGATACTTCTGAAAAGAAGACATTTATGCAGCCAACAAGAATATGAAAAAAAGCTCATCATCACTGGTCATTAGAGGAATCGAAATCAAAACCACAATGAGACAACATCTCACGCCAGTTAGAATGGTGATCATTAAAAAGTCAGGAAACAACAGATGCTGGTGAGGATGTGGAGAAATAGGAACACTTTTACACTGTTGGTGGGAATGTAAATTAGTTCAACCATTGTGGAAAACTGTGGCGATTCCTCAAGGATCTAGATCCAGAAATACCATTTGACCCAGCAATCCTATTACTGGGTATGTACCCAAAGGATTATAAATCATTCTACTATAAAGACACATGCAGATGTATGTTTGTTGAAGCACTGTTCACAATAGCAAAGACTTGGAATCAACCCAAATGCTCATCAATGATAGACTGGATAAAGAAAATGTGGCATATATACACCGTGGAATACTATGCAGCCTTAAAAAATGATGAGTTCATGTGTTTGGCAGGGACATGGATGAAGCTGGAAACCATAATTCTCAGCAATCTAACACAGGAACAGAAAACCAAACACTACATGTTCTCACTCATAAGAGAGAGTTGAACAATGAGAGCACATGGACACAGGGAGGGGAACTTCAGACATCAGGACCTATCAGGGGTTGGGGGGCTAGGGGAGGGATAGCATTAGGAGAAATACCTAATGTATATGACTGGTTGATGGGTGCAGCAAATCACCATAGCAAATCACCTATGTAACAAACCTGCATGTTCTGCACTTGTATCCCAGAACTTAAAGTATATATATATATAAAAAGAGAGAGATAGGATGATAATTCATAATACATGGTTAAATAATACATAATACATTTTTGTTCCGTGTATAAAATATGATTATTTTATAATAAGGCTCAGAGTTTTATTTGGTTTGATAAGAAAACACCAGAGATTGCAGAATGTTGTGCTTTCCTTAATATTTGTGTTTCTAATATTCTTTGAACTTTATAATATAAAGTCTTTTTGTGACAGGTTAAATTTAATGGTAGTAATAATATGAATTAACTTGAGGACAGGAAATCACTGGAAAACAATTTAAAATTATTACTAATGCATTAAGTAATGTGGTAAAATTATCAATCATTTGGAAATTAGTCTAAAAAATCATTTTAGAAAAATTTGCAAATTTTGAGTTCAAACGTAGCCTCTAAATATTTGATCCCATAAGAAATTATTTGGTGTGAACTGATTTTACTAAGAGTTCAACCATGTATAATAATAATTATTGGAGGTAGTATTTCCTTATTAATATGAGAAAGCAATACATTTTAAGAAGTGAATAATTTTATTTCTAAGCCTAATAGATTTGCCATAAAATGAGTATTCAGTTACCTTTTCCATCTTTTCTCACAAAGCTAAATTGAATTTAAAATGAAAACTGAAAAAAAGGGGCTCAGAAATATTTGGTAACCATTAGGAACCTGCAGAAAGATTTTTCAGGTTTTTTTCTTTCCCTTGAAAGCCCAGGAAAACTAAGTTAAAAGCTCTGTATACTGAATGATTTACATCCTGTTGTGATTCAGTGACTTTAAGTGTTAACTGAAGTTTTTCTTTGTGAGACATAGAATAGACCACGAAGAACTTTTTGCCAGTTGTATTATGTAGTGCACCATTACTCCTAAATGCAGTAGCATATTTTACTTCTTGGCATTTATCCTATTTTCTTTTTATTTTTTCTAAAAAATAAAAAAGGATATCATAGCAGCTATTATTAAGTATAAATTAGATATATGTTCCTAGTCATATTCTTTCAAACAACCAAGCCTTTTTTTCCTATTTTCTTTTTCTTGTTGTTTCATTTCTATTTTGAAGAAATAATTGTAGCTTTACTTGTATGGTCTGAGGCCAGACTAAAGAGTGTGTATTTCTCTGAATATAACAACAATCATCTATTTATTTATGTAGTAATTCACTTAGTTTTGATATTTTATTCAATTACCAGTTACTGACTGCATACAATGTACCAAAAGGTCTTCGAAGTTCTAGAAATATGGATGGACAAGCTATAGTCTCTATTTCCAAGAAACTGAGTTTATTATGGTAGGCAGATAAGGGAGCCCAATTCTATTGCCCAGAGTACTGTGTCAGAGGCATATTTGGTTTGATAGGGGAGCACTGAAAAGCTTCCAACTTAACTTGGATATTTCAGAAAAAGTCTTTTAGAAAAACTAACATTTTATATTTCCATAAGGGTCTTGATTTTTGTCATCAGCACGACCTGCAACTTATTTTGTAGGTAATCATTTTATAAAATTATTTCACGAAGAACGAGCTGATATCCTCTGTTTTTCTATTTCAGGAAGAATTGTTTCTTGTCCAATGTTCATGCTTTAGGATGATATGTGGGAAGTGAGAATTGAGAGGTAGAATTACTCATGGGATGAACTCCTTCCTATCTACCTGTGTTCCCACAGATGCTTAATAAATGGAGGCAGAAAAAAGCCCCTATATAAGTGATTATATATTTTGTGCTATTTTATTTTTGTTTAATTCTGTGGCAAATATTTTTATGTACATGGTCAATAGAAACAATAGCTCAGCAATAGAAGTATTCAGTACAAAATATTATTGTGTCTAAATATCAAAATTGCTGCAAAAATTGGTATTAGAAATTGAAATCAAACAAGTGAATTAATCATTAAAATGAAGATTTGGACATTTCATGCCAATCATTATTCCTGGTAGCAAAGCTTCTTCAATAAAAATTAATAGTATTCGGTAATGCAAAAAAAGCTTTTGTTTTTCCTTAATTGTAATGTTAATGGTGCCTTCAACAACTATTGTATACATGAATTTTCCAGTACCTCATTCCTTATCTTTGCTCCTCTCTTTATAGAATATAGAGCAAATCAGCTATGAGCCATTTCAATTTTCTGGCGTCCACACTTATAGACATTGATGCTATAGGTCCTCACTTCCTTTCCTCTAGTCTCTGATGATAAGATGTCCCTCATGTCTCACTCAAGTCAAACACCAATTTAGACTTTGATTCCTCTCTGTCTGTACTTCTGAGATTTTGCTATCTTAGTTATCCCTTTTTTCTGCAAAATCGTTAAGTGTTCTCTTCTTCTCTTTTGACTCTTTTTCATTTAGCATATGCTATAGTTTGAATTTTTATTCCCCCAAATCTCATATTGAAATATCACCCCCAATATTGGAGATAGGGCCAAATGGAAGGTGTTTGGGTCATGGGGGCAGATCCCTCATTAATGGCTTGTTGCTGTTTGTGGTAATGAATAAGTTCTTACTCTGTTAGTTCTTGTGAGAGCTGGTTGTTTGAAAAGTCTTCCCCCTCTTCTTCCTCTTTTCACTGTGTGATTTCTGCACATGCCAGCTCCCCTTTGCCTTCTGCCATGAGTGGAAGTTGCCTGAAGCCCTCCCTGGAAGCAGACACTGATGCCTCACTTCCTGTACAGTCTGCAGAACCATGAGCCAAATAAACCTCTTTTATTTATAAATTACACAATCTTAGATATTCATTTATAGCTGCACAAAAGGACAGAGCGAGCATATAAACATGTTTATACACTTTTCCTCCTAACAAAAATCAACAATAACAATCACTTAACACTAAATGCATGCCTCCAGCTACAGTTCAGTTTTTCAGCTTCCCTCCTTACAATCTCACAAAAGTTGTCTACTTTTGCAGTCTCCAGAACCTTACTTCTGGCTGTGCTTTATCCCATCACAATATGGCTTAAGTCTTTGTTGACTGCCATATTGCCAAACTCAACATTATAAAAATGAAACTCTCTCTTGCATTTGGAACTTTTGATCATTTTCTCCATTGTGAGCATTTTTCTCTCCCTGACATTTTTACTTACTTGGTTTCCAAGACACCTTCACATTAACCACTGTAATGGCCTCCCAACTTTTCTCCAAGCTTTTATATTTACATGTGTCATCTGTATTTTCTCCTAAGGCATGATGCAAATCTTATATCGACTCCCCAGGGTAAATCCAACAGAGGCTTCTCATTATCTGAAAAGCAAAATTCTAACACCTTAAAATAGAAATTCAAGTCCCTCTAGATTTGACCCTGCCACTCTTTCCAGCCTGAGCTCCTCATTTTTAAGAAATATTCCTGGCTCCTCACGTTTGGTGCTCTCAGAATTTCATCTTTGATCTATGATTTTCCTTAGTCAAGTACTGTCCTGAATAACCTTATCTGCTCTTAGGGTTTTACCACTTAGCTAAACACTTCATAGTCACCTCAAATTCACCATGTTAAAAAATGGAATAGTCTCCTCCCATCTAAATACGTTCCTTTTGGTTCCTTTTTTTTTCACTAGTGTATTCATCAAGATAAATTACTTTTATAACAAACAAATGTCAAATTAAATAAAATAAAGTTTAATAGATATCAATACTGAATCTGTAGCTTCTCTAGGCTTTGCTGCTTGGAGTCATTCAGGGATGCATACTTCTTGTATGCCATGCTCTGCCCTAGGATCTTGGAATACTCCTCAGAGTAATGTATCCAGATGAAGAGAATGACTGCAAGATTCCAAATGAAGGTTTTATGAGTTGGAAACAGAAGTAATAAATAACATTTCTAACTATATTCCGCTGGCCAGTACACAATCATAAAACCACCCTACCTACAATGAAGGCTGAAACCTGTAGTTTTTCCATGAGCCATGGAGTAAAAGTGAAGGGGTACACTGAACACACAGAACTTCACTAATGTAACTGCTGCATTCCAAATAGTTTTACTGTTTTTACTTCCTAAATAAGTCTCAAATATGTTGCCACCATTATCCTTATCGTAACTAAACTTATTCTCATGGATCAGGCCCCATCATTTCTCAGAAGAACTGCTGCAATAGTCTCTAAACTGCAATCTTCGTCTTCTGCTTTAACCCCTCCAGGCTACAAGAATAATCAAAAAAAGATTCAGATTTCATATACTAAACAACGCTGCTTAAATCCATTCAGTGACCTATCACATACAGGGTAGAACTGTCATAGAGTGGAAAAACAAGGTTCTCTTAAAGTGAAATTTGCCTTTTTCAGTTGCTATCACTCTGGCCACACACTGCTTTCCATTTTAAGCTCAGCCAAGAGTAAAACACTTCTGGACCCTAAACAAAGGTATTCCATTCAGTATCTTTGTTCATTATGTTTTCCCACCTTAAACATGTTTCCCTCCTTAATCCATCACTCCTAAGGATGAGTTAGGAGCATCTCATCAAATCTTGCATAATCTCTGGTATGCATTTGTCAATCAGTGATTTACTTCATTGTGTACAACAATCTGAGAAAGTGCTTAAATAATTCTTAAAACTATGAGATCCCTGATAAGTATCTTTCTCACTTTTCATTTTGAGCTCTGGCAGAATTCTTGGCATGTAGTAATCATCTATAAATATGTGCCAAATAAGTAAACTACTCTTAAGCAAAGACTTACTTTGAACTTCCATTTCTGGTTTCTGTACCTGTGTTTCTTGTTGACCCTATTAATGTATGGTCATTCACTTCCATAGGGATAGTCTGAGACTGCCTCTAATCCAGTGGCTAGAGTTTCATTTTACATGGATAGATAACAAAATAATAAATTTGGGCCTATTAAATTTTCCATTTTGTACCCTGTCCATATGATTGGACATCCTGACACTGTATGAATCTCATATGATACCTGAACACTATATTATAAGCCCATCAAAGCTTTCTTGTGTTTGACTCTTATCAAATCAGTTCCTTCTAACCCATACCTGTCTTGTAGAATAGTTTCCTGCTTGTTTCTGTTTTATTCATCCAATTCCAGATACTACTGTGTGTTCACTCAAGAAACCAGTAATTTTTTACAACAAAGGCTATTTCACATTCTAACAATAGACACTTAAGACACAGGCATTTCTGCCACACAGTGGGATCAAGAATACAGCCATGATAATAGTACAAAAAAATACAGAGAAATTCAACTGGAGTAACAGAAGAATGTGGGCAGCAATCTAAGTGGAATTTCCTGTTCTTCAGTGAATTGTAAAATTATTTGTGACCTGTGTGAACTGTGATTTACAAAGCAGCCCAAAAAGTATTGAAAGAAAAGTACTGTCGAATCAATCATTTTTCATTAAATCCTTATTTCATTTTTCAAAATGGTAGAGCCAAAGCTTCTTCCAATAAACTGATTGATAGCTTTCAATTTATGATTCAATACCAAGTACATTAGTTGTACTTGAACCTCCCAGAGTAAATCAATTTTTATATTGAGTGCCATTGACTTAAGTTAAATTATTGAAAGAAAGGATACAAGTGTATAGCTTAAAATGCCAGGATGATTAAATAAATACTGGTAAAATATTAAGAACCTAGAATTGTTTAATTTGAAGTATAACTTGATACCTTTTCTAATATGTAAAGGGAAAATGGAGAGCACTAAATTATTTAAATTTAGGAATACTGTGAAACTATTATTTACATTGTGGCTCACTTGTAAGAAATATTTATAGAGTTCATTTGAGAGTTTTATTTCTTGATGGGCAAAAAAAGGAAAAATCATATATAATATTTTATTTTTATTTTTCAAAGTATGAATTTGATAATTTGGTTTTTGGTTAGTTACAATAAATAAATCTACATTCTGAACGAGATAGAGTTTGCTTCAACTCAAAAGACAAATCCATTTCCCAAGGTAAGTATTAATGTTTGGTCAGTCCTACTACAAGCACTAATATTTGCTGTTCATCTTCTGTCAATTATCTTTACAAATATTATCTCTTCTGGGATTTATAAATAGATCCTTTGAAATCAAAATGAATCAAGATGCATTAATTTTGTTTCATACATTACAGATTTTTAAAGATACTCATTCTTGAATTAAAAAATATAAGAAAAACAATCTGATTCTACAATAAAATATCTAATTTCATTAATGATAACTCTTGGTGTTAGAAAACAATTTATCAATGTTACTTTTTTTTTTTTTGAGACAGGGTCTTGCTCTGTCACCCAGGCTGGAGTGCAGTTGTGTGATCTCAGCTCACTGCAAACTCCGCCTCCCGGGTTCAAGCGATTCTCGTGTCTCAGCCTCCCAAGTAGCTGGGATTACAAGTGCAAGCCACCATGCCCCGCTAACTTTTGTATTTTTAGTAGAGACGGGGTTTCACCATGTAGCCTAGGCTGGTCTTGAACTCCTGATCTCAGGAGATCTGCCCCCCTCAGCCTCCCAAACTGCTGGGATTACAGGCATGAGCCATCACGCCCAGCCAACGTCACTATTTTTGAATCCCTAATGATGTAAAGAGTTCAGAAAATGTTTCATTATTGTCAATTTCTGTACCCTCTAAACATACACACACAGACACATACACACATATACACATCCTGAAATATAGGTTATTCAAAGAAGTTGCTCAAAACTTAGAAAATACATACTTATTAATATATAAATTGCTCCAGACTGGCCAACACAAGAGCATTTTATTCACACAACAGCTAAGCTAGAATTGGGTGAAGTCCTTAAAGTGTCTTTGAGCTCTGAGGTTTCAACGGCAAGAGAAGGAGGTGGAAACAGTGCTGAACCTCCAGAGGTTTTATTCTAAGGAAGATAAAGTTATAGGGGGGAAAGGGAGACCCAAGGATTTCTGGTGGCTTTTATTAAAAAAAGCAAGGAGTATCTTCAAATAAACGGGGTGTGAAATAATTATGGATATTATTATTATTATTATTATTTTCACAAACATTAAATGTTTATCTAAAAAGCTTCATGAAGTTCTTTAGAACATAGTCTAGGTGTCTTTCACCTCCTCTGTTCAAGTTTCCTAGATCTTCCAGCCTGAGTTTCAACTGATATTCATCTCCTGTGTACTTCTATAAAAATAATGTTTTATGAACGCTCTCCTTACTTCTCACAGGATGGAATTAAAATGCTATACAATCTCTCTTTCCTCATAGAGTCTGAGGAGAGTCTGAGACTCTCGAGAGCAGAAATTGTGCTTTTTTTCATCCTTGTATCCTTTCCAATAACACTACCACCATTGCCGAAGTATGTAGCAAATGGTAGGCACTCAATAAACACATGCTGAATGAATGACTGAGACACAATCGGAGAATATTAAATGTATGTCAGACTGACTAGTGTACTTTTAATCATGGACCATGGATAATGAAGAGTCAAAAAAGTAGGTGCCACAAATTCAGTTTACTAGTAGGTTCCCAAGATGACAAAAATGTAGCAGATTTAAAAAGGATCTTCTAGTATTAAAAAAGCTAAAAAATAGGCTATAAGATTAATGATAAATACCAATTAATATATTAGTTGGTCACAGTGTCAGGGAGACAGAAGGGAATAATGTGGACAGTAGAGAATATATTCCATGGCTCAAGGGCATGCCTTTATCAATCCATTTTATTGTGGCAATGAGGAAATTTGGGCTTGTACTGCTAGATTTAACAATTTCTACAAAGGGCTAGACGTTGAATCCATAGCAATTTTAATATGTTGGCTTTTTAAACATATAGTATAAGCCAAAAAAAAACATAGTCTGTGAATCTGTAGCAGTGGCCATCAGAATTTTAATCTGCTCTTAAGCGCTCTGAGTAGGATGGAAAGTGCTAAATGAGTACATTAGGAAGTTTACTTTCACCCCAGGTAGGAGGCTGTTTGAATATTCCAGGCTGAAGCGCAAGCACATACAAATCCATTTTCCAAAAATTCCAAGTCCAGAAGCATGACAACAATGGATTATAGCTAATCATTTTGTAGTCTTCTACTATATTTGCCTATCCCAGGGGCATCAGGAAATACGATGGCACAGACTAAATCAGTTGAAGTATTAGTATCTCTACATTTCAAATGTTATTTTTGTTCCCCCTTTACTTGCAACACTGTTACTGAGTTACCATACCTTACTACATTTCCCATACTTCTTCACTATTTTTGTTCCACCCAGCCTGTTCTTCTTTTGCAGCCTCCCTAGAATGTGACAGTCCACAGAAATATCTGATTTCAAAGAGATGCTTGCATTCTGTACTGATGCCATCTAGAATTGTAAATGACCAGTGTCACACTGCTAAGTGGAGAAAGGTAAGGAAATTTGTTACAGGTCTTTATGTTTTTTAATCTCTTACAATCTTTTGAAGAAACATAAATGTTTTATTTTCAATTAATGTTTTTGTTACTTACTTTTGGTTCCATCTGTGCAAATCAAAATGCATTAACATTCTTGAACAATAGTACTGGAATGTTTATGCAAAATTGGACACAAATAATATTGCAAGGAATAGAAAAGAAGAATGAAGGAACTCTTCCAGAACACTGCCAATGACTCTGGACTTATCTACATGGATTTGAAAAGAAATCTTGCACAAATAAATGAACTTCTAAGAAAAAAATAAGGCTAAGCTGCTCTCTGGACTGATTTATATGCCATTATAACAATACAAAGACAAATAGATGCATTTAAGTTAGCCTAGAGACTTATTCTTCACAGATATCATCAGAAAGTATGTATTAAGTCCCTATTCTCAAATTATTTCAGTATATGAAGTATTTTTCACATTTTACAAATAAAGAATTAATATTTCAGAAAATAACCAAAATTTACTAAGGATATTTGAATTAGTTAAAGCAGAGTTTATTTACTCTGGTAGTAACAGTACTTTTTTAAACTAAATGTGACTGTAATTGGATAATCCTATTTTCTAACTGGCGTAGGAAATGCTTCTGTCTTAAATATATGCATTTGGACACTATTTTTGATTATATAATATCTGATACTGATATAAAACTGGTATATTATAGTATGCCGTGTATGTGGTTAACCCAGTAACAAGTCATGAAACCATTACTTAGTAATTAGTAGTATTCCTATGAAAGAAATGAGATACAGGCATTATTTCTTTTTATTGCAGCTTTGCATAATTAAAATATGCAATTTGATCTATTAAACTAGTAATTAAACACAAAATACTTGATATATAACTGGTTAACCCAGTTACAAGTCATGAAACCATTATTTAGTAATTAGTAATGTTCGTATGAAAAAAATGAGATACAGGCATTATTTCTTTTCATTACAGCTTTGAGTAATTAAAAATATGCAATTTGATCTATTAAACTACTAATTAAACACAAAACACTTAATATGTACCAGAAAACTTGTGCTCTGAAATTGGATAACTGTTCATTGTCTGATCATTTCTCTCACTGTCTCTTCTCCCAAAGCGTGAAAGAAGAATCCCATCAGTACATTCACGATAGAGGAAATAAGAAACAATGAAAGCCACAAGTAAGTCCTGAGTTGATCAACAGTATTGCACTTCTCCAGGCAAGTAGAAAAATCTAATTTGTGTTCTACCTCCATTCCAAGCTTCTACACTCCACTTTTGAAGATATATACAATTAGTAAAATAGCCCCAAATAGTCAGAAAAAGAAAGGGGGCATTGGTTTAAATGCCTAGATTATTGAAATTATAGAAATAGGGCATTTCTAAAAAATCAAATAGTTTTCTCAACTTCTAACTAGATAATCTGTGTTTATGAAGATTCACATACCTGGGAAGAAAAAAGAAGTAATGTATTCTTATGCTTTTTGAATTTAGTTTCAACGTACTATAAAATGAAATTGCATCATTTTATTCAGTTTGTCACTCCCCCCACTCCACTCCACTCAAGACTTTAGCACTATCTACAATTTCAAATACAACCTAATACACTTATTAAGACCTTCATATACTAGCCCTTGCTTCTTCTAAAATAATACTCAAAATGGTAATACAATTAATGGCTAATACTTTTCCTAGACATTGTGCTAAATGTGTCACATGATCTCATTTACTTCAAAGAGATAAAAAGGAAACTGAGATAGAAAGAGGAGATAACCCAACTTGGCCTTATTTTCAGTTGCTGTTTCTACAAAGTTGAGCCCAATACAAGGTTATGTGTTCAGAATCTGTGTTCCTAACCCTCAACTATATATTTCAAACTTCACAGTATTACAGCACTCCACAAAACTCCCTCTCTCCTCCCTCTAAACTAAACATGCACTTAGTATGAACTTAGTTATAGAATGTGTTCATGGTCACTTAGCGAAGTATCCCTCCTGTTTCAAAGCATGAGCTTCTTATTCACAGCTATTCCACTCCAAATGCATATCTCAGATGTAAAAGGCTTCGTATTCACATGGTACTTAGTGTAGCGATATAAAGATGATTATCTCTCAATAAATATATTTCCTGAAAGCATTAATAGTAAAGACACAAATAATCCATTGTAAAACAAAGAATGTTGTCACGAACATTTGATTTCTTGTTTCAAAAGATAGGTTTGCTGCCAGACAGATTTCCTGTGCCAGATTTTTCATCACCAACAAAATTTTCAAAAAGATTTTCATTCACTTTCTGACTACCTTTGGCCTATGTCCAAATTCTTTCTTAAGCGATTCCAAATTTAATTTTAACGTCAAGTGCTGCAGCTGAATATAAGGAATGTAGAGCTGGAGCAGAAATTCACCTTGCAGAGAAATGAAATTCATTTTAATTGGGAGCAAAGGAAGGAACTATCCTGAGTTTGCATGCTTTATCCAGTCCTGTTCTAACTTTTTATGCCTGGTCTTCTTGCTTCCTTAACCCTTAGACTCAGACCCGTCCACACTCTTGGGGCTCATTCTAGCTTGACCGTGATACTAAATGTGAGCCCTTCTTAAGAAAGTTGTAGACTCACTAAAGTTCCAGTCAAGTTTATTGCATGTTGTTCCAACACCTTTACCAAAATTCTAACCTCATCATGCCCAAACTCCCCTTTTTTCTCTATAACCTATTATTTGCAGGGCATAAATGACTGCCAAATTGAAAGGCTGGTCCAAGGATGAATATCTGCTCTGGACGCTAGGCTGGCCTAACCTAGTAGCACAGTTGCTATTTCTTTGTGTTAGCCCATAACAGGCATGTAGGTATCATTTCAAAGATGCTGAGTTACATAATTGTACTTACAGAAAAGGAAGCATGGTGTAGTGACTGAATGGACTCTAGAGTCAGGCTGTTTGGGCTGAATTCTCAGCTTTGATACTTACAAATTGTTTGACCTCAGACAACTTATTTAGCCTCTTAATATATTGGATTTCTCAACTGCAAAGTGGGAATGATAATAGGTCTTACCTCATAGAGTTTTGGGGGATTAAAATGAGTTAATATATGTCAAGCATGTAAAATAATGCTAGCATTCAACAGTGTAGCTATGATTGTTTAAGACTTGCTGAATGAGTAAATAAATAAATAAGTAAACTATTGTGTAACACAATTTTTCTTGAAGTCCTAACCTCTACTACAATAAGTTAAAATGAAATCATTAGACTGGGCCCTAATCTAATATGACCTGTGTCCTTATAAAAAGAGGAAATTTGGACAAAAAGCAGTTATAGAAAGAAGACCAAGTCAAGATACAGGAAAATATGGCTATCTACAAGCCAGGGAGAGAGGCCTGAGAAGAAACCAACTCTGCCAACAACTTGATCTCAGACTTCTAGTCTCTAGAACTGTGAGAAATATGCTTCTGTAGTTTAAGCCACCCAGTGTGTGATACTTTGTTATGGCAGCCCTAGTAAACTAATACAAAAAAAATAGTGTTTTCTTCCTCTAATCTGTGTTTTTTTGGTAAATGATATCTTCATCCTTACAGCTGTTGAAGTAAAATACCATAGGGTAAATTTTTATTTTCCTTTTGTCTCACTGCTTGCACCTGGATCCAAACAATTAGCAAATTCTCTTCTCTACCTTGAAATACATCCAACTTCAACTGAGTCAACTCTACCTCTTAATTTTAAGCCACCATCTTCTCTCTGTGTTCACTTCTATCCACTCTCATATCACCTCTGTGAAACTTTTCTACATCTGCATTGATGTTTCCCTTCTTCATATATGCTAGTTTCATTCACAATCTGAGAACTTTTCACTTACTCACTAATTATTTATTTTGCCTACAATTATCTGAGATCTTTTTCTTTTAAATCTTCACCTCATTAAAACTTTTGATCATTTGGGTCTTAGCTAAATGGGCTCACAAGGAGAACTTTTAAAACCTCTTGATCTGCCATACCTGCCAAATTACTTTGTTTTGTTTTCATATATTTATTATTTTTTATATTTGCCTATTTAGGATTTTGTTGGTAAAGAATGTTTATTGGATTTACTAGAATTGGCAACTTGTTTTCACAGTTGAAAACAAGAGATATTGAATATCCCTATATTCTTTTTCTTTGTTAATGAAATGAAAAAGGAAACTCCTATAACTGAAGGCAGACAATTCTCTTTCAGGTTTACTCGAAGGCAGCAAAATTGGCCCTACTCCCAACCCTGCAACATGCACCATTTCCATAAACAATCTACAGAGATGGCTGAGAAAAAGAAAAAGGGGTACTCTCCTTTACCCCTTCTCCAAAGCCCGATGAAGTAAAGAGTAGAAATCAAGAGTGTCTACAAGAATTGGGGATTGGCATTGATTCTCCACTGTGTGATTACTCATGCTTTATGGCAATGTGCCTATTTAAAGGGCAGGTAATGACTTAGCAAGAAGGAAGGAGAGAGAATGTCAAACTCACCTGAAGTCTTACCAATTGGTGTGGCAGGTATGTGGCTGTTTCCCATGAGTGAATACACTATAAGATTATTAGGCTCTAGCTGTTTTGCTTGTATCTAATCCAGGTGACACCAGCATTTAGAGACTATGAGGTGTACTGGGAGCTGAGATAATGAAAGAGGTAGCATTAAAGTAATATCCCCCAAATTATGGCAGATCTATGGTTAGAAGCCTAAGAATAACATGTGAAAACCTCATGTCAGAGCCTGACAATATACCAGAATTTGGATACCTGCCATACAGAAGGTACCAGCCGCCAAGGGGTAACTGTCAGAAAAGTGACAACAATCACAAGTTGGGAAAAGGACTTGTCTCTTTGCCCCTCACTCCTCTCTGTGCCCAATAATTTGGATGAGCTATTGCCTACAGAATGAAAGGAGAGTTGTAGGGCTATGAATCAAATATGAGACAAGTTTTAAATGAGAAGAAAGTAACATTTAATAAGCAAAAATGCCCAGAGAACTATGGAATCATCCCAAGAAAGGATTAATAAACAAAAATTGGATTCAATAGAAAACACATCAGAGAAAAAAGTTAATATTTTTATACCATAGATGTGAGAGTCCTTAATGCACTAGTTACAGCATATTAGTGCATTATGTACATTCCATGTGACTCTCTTATTACCACTATACCCACAATGCTTAGAACTGGGTCCTCAATAATCGAGTATGGGTGGCTAAAGGACTTTTCATTTTATGTGGCAGAGGATAATAATAAAAAAAGAAATAATAGAGGAAGAAACTGGCTTTGGTGTTCTAGACATATTAGGGCTGAAACCCAAATATTCAGTTACCTGTTTTGCTTGGCCTACATCCATTTTCAGCAGTGCACTCAAAGTCTCCAAAGAAATTTGCAGAGAATTTCTTCCAGTAGCCCCAAGAGTTCTCAGCATAAGTACTGGAAAAACTCACTAGCATGGAGGATGCTTCTCTCCAGTGGAATCAACAGTGGCCTCTGCTGATTCAGAGACTTCAGTGTTCCACAGTGAAACTAGATTGTGATGAGAGCAAATATGGCTGGAAGGCAACACTGCTCAGGTGGTTAGAGCGTGAGTTCTGTAGTATCAAGGAGCTTTTTTCTCAGTGTGTCTGTCAGTGGAGAATTTGGGGGAAAGATCAAATCAAATTGCTAAATAAAACATAAAGCCCCACAGAGATGGAAGCCAGCAATATGTGTATGCTGTGGTTTGGGTGCCCCCTTTACCTTCCAGAATGTCTTTGAACTGCATGTTGAGCTGGTTTCACCTGGGTGAAAACATGAGGGAAAAGGAAGTAAGGGAAGGATGGACAGATAGTGGTAGAGACTGATGACCACTTCAAGTAAGTGTGCTATCAGGAGAATAACTCTCCCATGTCTTCATAGGAGTCAGTGAACAGTCACCTGTTGTATAGAATCACCCATGGGCAGTCACTGGTTACCAGCAGCAGCACCAACCAACCACCTGAGAATTACACCAATGGTCAGTTAGGCAAAGAGACATCTGCCTCCCTCTCCTCTTCCCCAACACTTAGATTTTACTTATCACTGATTCTTGCATAGAAATGGTTCTGACTGGTGAAAACAAAGAGAAAAATATGTTGAAGGAAGTACCTATGAACCTAATTATTATTTTACTCATTTTTTTCTCCAAAGTCTATTGATAAATAATGTTTTCAGTGTCAACTTTGACTTTATTTTCAATATACAAAGTCAAACTAAAAACTTTCGTATTTCAGGTTGAAATTTATAGTGTAACTCTTTACTTTTAATGGCTTCCAGTTGTTCTATTTTGGTTTCTGGCAGAAATCCTTTTGGTATGTTACATAGAAATATAGATAGATAAAGGAAAGCCAATTATCTTTTCTTTACAGAGAAATATCCTGAATGCTGTAAGTTGAGGGGAATGGCAGGGTATGTACTGGTATGACTGGCCAATACAGAATCTAGTCTAGCTGAGATATGGCTTTTAGTAGGAAGCCTCATAGGGAACATGATGGAGGAAAATCCTTTCATTTATGGTATCAAGAGATTTTCATTTTAATCCCAGCTATATTTTACATCAATGTTGTCATGCATTCTATCTTCTCTGGGCTTGAGATATACAAGATGAGGATGCTGATTTAGCAGAAGTTCAAGCATCCTTTCCAAGGTGAACATCTATGACCACTCAGTGTTGAGAATTACTTCAGACTATTATTAACACTATTATTAACCAAAGGAAGGACCCCCCTGATTACTGATCAGTTCTCCAGTCCATTGGGAAATCCTTCTAAAGGCCATTTCATTTCAGACTGAAATGTACAAATGTATAAAGAGTGGAAAAGACATCAAAACTAAAAATACTATGTTAAACTTTGTTCCATATAGGACAATACATCAAAGATTAAAGTTAGGTTGAAAGCAAAGTTCTATGAGGATAAGAACGGAGTCTGTCTTATTTATTGTTTTATTGTCAGTGCTCAGCTCAGAATGACATTTAAGAAGTGTTTAAATGACTATTGGCTGAATTATTAAATGCAGATAATTGGTTACAGTGAAAAAAAAAAAGTTTGTGGGAAAAAAAACTGCGTAGCTGGATTCCTGTGATCCCACATCATCCCAACCCTGTAAGTTCAGGGTCCAGGCCAATATAAACATGAGACAGAATATAATAATGCAGTATCTGCCTCAGAATCTAGGCAGCAAGACCCACAGCACTTTGCCCCTTGAGTGACCACTGCATTACTTCATTGGATCCCCAGTCCTTCTTGATACCAGAGTGAGTAGGAGTTATTTAATTCCAGTGCTGACTACTAGCCTTCTCTAGTCAAAGCTGACCCTCTGTTGCAGACAATTCACCTCTAATCCCTCATTTCAGAGTCTTCTCTCTCCCTATTGTTATGAGTGCCACTTACAGTCAGGTTTCTGCTTTAATCACTGCTTTATATTCTGACTTAAGTCAGTTGCCAGCTTCTACCGTATCCCAGTGGTGATTGTACACTTAAGTAGATTTCTTAGAGTCCCATAATTATGTAAAGACGCCCCTCACCTAAATCCCAATCCAAAGGCCAAGGCCCCATTATCCATCATCAGCAGTTTCATCCACACAATTTTATCTTATTACCTAGAATTCTGAATTTGCACATCGGCTTTCCCATCCTGTTGCTCTTTTTGGAGCTGCTTTCTATGCAGAATTCTTGCTGTCTTGCTCTTCTGATGGAATCTCCACCTATGGACAGGGCTGATGGGCACAGTAACCTAAATCTTCCTTAGCTTGGTATAAATAAATTATTACATTTGCCAGGTTGTCCTGAGTTGTAATAATAAGTCATTCATTGCACCTATACGAGCAACTAACATCGCTTTTCATTTTTAATCTATGTGAACATGATCTGACAAGAATATTAAATATTCAGACCCTAAATTTTCAAATGATAAACCAGTGGGAAAGTTGTTACTAGAATTTCTAATTTTAAAAGGAATGTTCCATCATATTATTTTTGAAATATGTAAGTAAAAAAAACTAAAATGCACTCATTATCATAGTCTTTAAAATGATGTGTAAAGAACTGAAAGTCTCCCTTTTACTAATTCTATTGTTTAGAGAAAATTATTGTTAGTATTTATTGAGCCCTACCATGTTCCAGAAACTGTTCTAGGCCCTGAGGCTAGAGAATGACCAGAAAAAATTAGGTGCCTTCACAGACCTTATATTTTGATGAGGAATACATACAAGCAAAGGGAAATTAAGAAAAATAAAAGATAAATGATAAGGAGAAAAATAACATTAGGTTAGATACAGGAGCTGTTGGGGGAGAACATACTGAAATATTGGATTCAGTGGCCAGGGAAAATGTCACAGAAGAATCGATCAGACCATCCATGCAAATCTCTGGCAGAGAAAATTCCAAGCAAATGGAATGGTAAGAGCAAAACTCTGAGTTGGAAGTCTGATTAGCATATATGAGGACAGCAAGGAGACTTGTGTGGATAAAATAAAGGGAAAGGAAAGAAAAGAAAGTGACAGAATTGCTCGGTGGGTATGGGGTGGAGGAGAACCAAGGATCCATATCATAATAAGTACAGCCACTCATTGCTTAAGAACAGTGATATATTCTAAATGTGTCGTTAGGCAATGATGTCGTTATGCAATTACTATTATATTCTTGTGAAATCATAGAGTGTACTTACACAAATATACTATAGCCTATTCCTCTTAGGCTACAAACCTGTACAGCATGTTACTGCACTTAATACTGTAGACAATTGTAACACAATAGTATTTGTGGATCCAAACTTATCTAAATAAAACAAGGTACAGTAAAAATATGGCATAAAAGATAAAATATGTTACATCTGTATGGGACACTTACCATGAATGAAGCTTGCAGGACTGAAAGTTGCCCTGGGTGAGTCAGTGAGTAACTGATTAGTAAATATGAAGGCCTGGACATTACTGTACTATACACTACTGCAGAATTTAGAAACATGGTACACTTAGGCTACACTAAATTTATAAAAAGTTATTTTCTTTCTTCAGTAACAAATTACCCTTAGCTTACTATAATTTTTTCTTTTTAAACTTTTTACTTTATAAAAATTTTGTTTCTTTTGGGTAATAACTCTTAGCTTAAAACACCATTGTACAACTGTACAAAAATATTTTTCTTTATATCTTTATTCTATTGCTTTTTTCCATTTTTTTAACTTTTTAAAGTCTTGTTTACATTTTCAACTTTGTCACTGAAAATGAGCACACACACACACACACACACACACACATTAGCCTAAATTCAAGGATAAATTTCTTTGAATTTCATCAAACCCAGGGTCAGGATCATCAATATTATTGTCTTCCACCTCCACGTCTTATCCCACTGGAAGGTCTTCAGAGACATAGCAGGCAGGGAGCTGTCATCTTATATAATAACAATAACTTATTTTGGGATACTTTCTGAAGGACCTGCTTTAGGCTGCTGGACAGTTAACTTTATTTATTTTTTATAAGTAAAAGAAGTACACTCTAAAAATTATTTTAAAAGTACTCTAGTAAATACATAAACCATAAACATAGATTTATCATTATCAAGTATTATGTACTGTACATAATTGTACTGCTATACTTTTCTAAGACTATCAGTGCAATAGATTTGTTTATACCAGCATCACCACACACAGGTGAGTAATGCATTGTGCTATGACCTTACAAGGGCTGTAACATCACCACTAGGTGATAGGAATTTTTCAGCTCCATTATTGTCTTATGGAACCACCATTGTATATGTGGTCTGTTGTTGACCACAATATTGTTATGTGATGCATGATGGTACTTTGCTTTTTCCTATGAAGTAGATTTTAACAATAGATTAGAGAACATAGAGAGAAGAGTGGAATTATCTCCCTCTAGTTTTGCATTTTCATGTTGACTGTGTTAAAAAAAAGACTTAAAAGGAAAGAAGGTGGATATGGGAGATGACAAGGATTTGCAATAATTCAGGCCAGCTACGGCTTGGAACCAGTGTAGTACTAGCCAAGTGATTGAATTTGGGGTATAATGTGAAGGTAAAAGCCATCAGGATTTGCTAATGAATTAGATGTGGGGTATAGAACAAAGAGGGGATTTGTGAATACCTCCAAGTATTTAAGCCAAAACAACTGAAAAGATGGAGATGTCATAAAGTGAGATGGGAAGACTGTTAGAGCAAGTTTGGAGTGGTTTAAGAATCTGAAGTTTAACTTTAGGCATGTTAACTTTGAGATGATTATATGTCATTCAAGTGAAAATATAAGTAGGTTATTGGATATGAGTTTGGGGTCAGGAAAGAGATTCAGAATGGAGATATAAATCCAGGGATCATCAGCATGGAGATGGTATTTAAGGACAGTGAGTGGATAAAATCATCTAGGAAGTGATTATAGATGACAGGAGAAAAGATCCAAGAACAGAGCCCTGGCTGATTCTGAAATTTAAGGAGCTAGAAGGAATAGACACTAGCAAAGGAAAACAGGAATAAACGCCTGAGATGTAAGAGAAAAAAGTAGGTGAATATGGTGCTTTGAAGCTAAAAATAAAAGGGAATTCAATAAATTTATCCTATGATTATTTAGAGATATATATGTATAAACAACTATATTTGTGTGTGTGTGTGTTTCTGTGAGGGATAGTTTTTATTTTACAAAATGAGATCATGCTATCCTTAATTATCTAAAACCTACTTTAAAAAATAATTTATTGTCAAAGAAATTTTTGTATCATCTGTACTCTTAAAATTAAATGTTTTATCTTCAACTTTTTGACTTTCCAGAAGCATTATTATAAAAAAGTAACATAATGAACTTAAAGTACAACATGGTAAAAATATTTCTGTGAACTTTAAAGTAATTTTTTTTCCTGAATTGGAAAAAACTACTTTAAAGTTCATATGGAACCAAAAAAGAGCCTGCATCGCCAAGTCAATCCTAAGCCAAAAGAACAAAGCTGGAGGAATCACGCTACCTGACTTCAAACTATACTACAAGGCTACAATAACCAAAACAGCATGGTACTGGTACCAAAACAGAGATATAGATCAATGGAACAGAACAGAGCCCTCAGAAATAACGCCGCATATCTACAACTATCTGATCTTTGACAAACCTGAGAAAAACAAGCAATGGGGAAAGGATTCCCTATTTAATAAATGGTGCTGGGAAAACTGACTAGCCATATGTAGAAAGCTGAAACTGGATCCCTTCCTTACACCTTATGCAAAAATTAATTCAAGATGGATTAAAGACTTAGATATTAGACCTAAAACCATAAAAACCCTATAAGAAAACCTAGGCATTACCATTCAGGACATAAGCATGGGCAAGGACTTCATGTCTAAAACACCAAAAGCAATGGCAACAAAAGCCAAAATTGACAAATGGGATCTAATTAAACTAAAGAGCTTCTGCACAGCAAAAGAAACTACCATCAGAGTGAACAGGCAACCTACAAAATGGGAGAAAATTTTCGCAACCTACTCATCTGACAAAGGGCTAATATCCAGAATCTACAATGAACTCAAACAAATTTACAAGAAAAAAACAAACAAACCCATCAAAAAGTGGGCAAAGTATATGAACAGACACTTCTCAAAAGAAGACATTTCTGCAGCCAAAAGACACATGAAAAAATGCTCATCATCACTGGCCATCAGAGAAATGCAAATCAAAACCACAATGAGATACCATCTCACAGCAGTTAGAATGGCAATCATTAAAAAGTCAGGAAACAACAGGTGCTGGAGAGGATGTGGAGAAATAGGAACACTTTTACACTGTTGGTGGGACTGTAAACTAGTTCAACCATTGTGGAAGTCAGTGTGGCGATTCCTCAGGGATCTAGAACTAGAAATACCATTTGACCCATCCATCCCATTACTGGGTGTATACCCAAAGGACTATAAATCATGCTGCTATAAAGACACATGCACACCTATGTTTATTGTGGCACTATTCACAACAGCAAAGACTTGGAACCAACCCAAATGTCCAACAATGATAGACTGGATTAAGAAAATGTGGCACATATAAACCATGGAATACTATGCAGCCATAAAAAATGATGAGTTCATGTCCTTTGTAGGGACATGGATGAAATTGGAAATCATCATTCTCAGCAAACTATCGCAAGGACAAAAAACCAAACACTGCATGTTCTCACTCATAGATGGTAATTGAACAATGAGAACACATGGACACAGGAAGGGGAACATCACACTCTGGGGACTGTTGTGGGGTGGGGGGAGGGGGGAGGGATAGCATTAGGAGATATACCTAATGCTAAATGACAAGTAAATGGGTGCAGCATACCAGCATGGCACATGTATACATATGTAACTAACCTGCACATTGTGCACATGTACCCTAAAACTTAATGTATAATAATAATAAAAAAATAAATAAATAAAATAAAATAAAATAAAAACAAATAAATAAATAAAAAGAAATATAAACTAAAACAAATTAAAAAAGTAATTATTTTTCTCTCCTCTTTAGTTAGCAAAAATTCTGGTTGTAGAATTCTTAAACTAAAGAAAAAGCAAACCAAGGAATAAGGGAATAGGAACCAAATTTTTAAAAAAATATCAAATTGCTCTTATTTCTTACTATCACTATTAGGAAATATCATTGGATGCTGATTTTCTTTTTTTAGAATTAGAAAGTAAGCTTTGAATACAGCAGTTAATTTTTTGAAGGAAATTATGAAAACAACTGATAGTTTCTGCTCATTTTTACTGGAGATAAAAGTAGTTTTTATTTTCTTTTTTTCTAGGATTCTAGCATCTGTTGGTTTTACAAAGACAAATTACATGGCATTGTTTTCAAATCATCTAAGAGCTCAAGGATTTTTATTAGATAAGAGAGATGAAAATTAAATAACAGTAGTTACAATGTGTAAATATTAACACATTTAAGACAGCAAGAATATGGTATACTACTTCACTCTATCTGGATAAACAATAAATGCATTGATTATATTCTATTAAGAGTTAGCAGTAGGCAAGGGATTCATCTCAATGCTCCTCAGATTTTCCCAATGTGTGGGCATATTTTAAAAAGTGAATTAGCTATGTCACAAGGCATTTCATCTATGAAAACATAATTGAAAATCAAATAAACTTTTCTTGAACACTACCATATCACTGACTGGATATTATAAACTGTAATGGACAATTTGTGCCTTGCTTAATATTTTAGATCATTCATCGCTGTTCAGAATGGAGTGTTTAGAAATATTCATTTTAAAGTAATTCTGTCAAAGGGAGAGAGAAAATTCTTATAGGGCATTTTTGAGGGCTTTATAAATTGAAGGTAAGTAAAATGGCAAGCACAATTTTTCAGCCAATAACTCTTATGAAGCAAATCTTATAAATATTAGACATGCCATTTAATAATTGCTGAGTATTTGTGATAGAACTTAAAACAACATTCAAGTCTCAGTATGAAAAACTGTCACTAAATAAAAATAACAGAGGTGGATGAACTTAGTCTTTTGTTCTTCCTCAACTACCCATTAAATATCCTTCTGCTTCTTCATTTATAACTTTATATTTTGAAAAGTCAGCAGGATTGAAGTAGATTCCATGTGCAAAACTGCTTGTTGAACAGATTCTTAGTAAGCAAGTAAAAAGGGATTGCATGTCGCGAAGATTTCTGAACTGGCATTCATTCAGATCAGGCATATAATCTCAGCTCTGTGGCTAATTAACTGTTTAATCTGGTCATTTGTGTCCTTATATACTATGTTTCCTTTTCTATAAGATGAAGAAGACAAGCCACAACTATGTACACATTCATGAGAACAAAAATGAGATGTTAAAATGAAACTTTTAGATTAAAAGCCAATTCAATTAATGCATTCTTTTCTCAGTAAATGCAGGAGATACTCTGTAGCTTTGAAATTAATAAAATTATGAAGGTATATGAGTCTTGCTTCTGTTTGTAGAAACTATGCTCATTTTCTGTAGACTCTTTTTTTTCTTTCCTACAGAGATAGTTTCTGTTTTCATTTGTTCTTTTTCATCAAAGGATTTTGTTTTGTTTTCTGTTTATGCTTTTCCAACATTTACGTTAAAACTGCTTTCAGTTTTCATAATTCTTTCCTTGCTTTATATTTTTGTCCTTTCCTTTTGTATTTCCTCTAAATTGATTTTCTTCAGCATCAATTGTGCTCTTTAGAAGTAATTAAATATTTTAGTTTCTCAATGTCATTCTTGGAATTAAGTTGTTATTTTTTGAGGGTGGTGGAATTTTATTTGTGTGTGTGTGTGTGTGTGTGTGTGTGTGTGTCTCCTACATCACAATAGATATTTCTTAAATGACTCTCAGCTCTGTCTCCACTTGTTGATCATCTTTGTTTTCTACAAATGATAATAGGCCTTCCTATCTTGCCAAAAACACAGAAATCATGTACTCTAAATGTCCTTGTATTTACTTTAGAAAACAATTTTCAAAATTAAGTTCTTACTCTTATTTTTCATGATAGCTCTTGACTTTTTTAAGGTCTCATTACATTTGGGCTTTTTTGCTAGCTTTGTTTAATGTTCGGTTATCCTTGGATGGAATGTGATGATTCTGGACCTAGAATTTTCCATTTGGCAGTGTTGGTAGCACTGAGTCCTTAGCTATCTTACCGGGTGCTTATTAGGCTCTATTATAATCCTCCCCACTTAGATCTAAACCAAGAGGCTATGTTAATGCACAAGTATCATAAATCACTTTGTGATATCCAAGAGAAATGTATTAAAGTGGGCCTGTTGGACTGAGGTTCAACCTCAGTTAGGTTCTCTAACCTGGGAGATTTCTTGTTCTTTGATACAGAAGAAGGATATGAAACACCACATCTGAAAACATATAGTGCTTCTAGTGCCCTCTCTCTTTCATTTCCAAAAATAAATTTTTACTTTTGCAATTATCATCACATGGTATAATTGCTTTCTGTGTGTAGTATCCTATTTCCTGCCATGTTACCTACTGAGTGGTATCGTTGAAGGGATCCAGGCAGATAAAACCTGATGGGAGTTGTTTGGTTGGGAGACTGGCTCTATCTCCAAAAATAGTTCCTAAGCATTCAGGAGTATGAATGACAATTTTGTATTTCATGGAGTTAGGAAACCACAGAATAGTGCTGTGATCAATGCCTTTAATTTTTTTTTTAATTCTTAGGAAGCAAGTAGAGGTGGGGAGGGAAGTAGTTCTCTGTGGTGTTCTGTGGGCCTACCTCATTTTCTAGCACTTCACAGATGCAGTGTTTTTTACCAGTTGATGGTTTGTGGCAACCCTGTGTCAAGCAAATCTACTGGTGCCATAATTTCAATAACATGTGCTCACTTCTTGTCTCCATGTCATGTTTTTGGTAATCCCCACAATATTTCAGACTTTTATTATTATTATATTCATTATGATGATCTATTAGCAGTGATCTTTGATGTTAGTGTTGTAATTGTTTGGGGCACTGCAAACTGCGCTCATACAAGATAGTGAAATTGATTGACAAATGTTTGTGTTCTGAGTGCTCTACTCTACCAACTGGCCATCCCCCCCTATTCCTCTCCCTCTCCTGGGGCCTGCCTAGTCCCTGACACACAAGAATTTTGAAATTAGACCAATTAATAATCCTACTGAGTCCTAACTAACAACCTTTAAGTGTTCAAGTGAAAGAAAAAGCCACACATCTCTCACTCTATATCAAAAGCAATAAATAATTAAGTGTAGTGAGGAAGGCATGTCAAAAGCTGAGAGAGGTTGAAAGCCCAATCCAGAGCAAGGACCTAACTCACTCCAATTCTATGAAGGCAGAGAGAGGTGAGGGAGCTGCAGAAGGAAAGCTTGAAGCTAACAGTAATTGGTTCATGAGGATGGAGGTGTGATGGGTATTCCGGTAATGTATTTCTCAACACATCTTCATTAATAATGCACGAAGAGTGAACCCTTGGACTTTGCCAACTAGTTTTCTTGTATTTTCTTCTGCTGTTTGCAGTTTTTGACATTTTAGGGGATTTTTTTTTTGTAAACTTTCATGGGTATTCACTGTAAAGTTGAGAAAAGGCACACTATGCACTACAGAATACCTACATGTGAATCAAAGAGTTTTTGAGGCCCATTTGAAATCAAGGAGACTATTCTAGATTGCTAGTTATATATGCCTATATTTCCTCTAAGCCTCTGTGACAGTTATTAGATTGGGCTATAAAAATTTGAGAGTATATTGAAAACACATAAAGAAGCACTTTCACAGAGAAATGCAAGGTCATAGCTATAAAGAACCAGAGTTTCAACTTTTATATTAGTCTAATTCTGAGTTCTTAAACAAAAATATACTGTTCTAACTATAAAATTTTAAAGGCAAAGGGAATCGGGAAAAATGCCGTTTTAAACATTCAAGGAGTAATTTCAAAATTTTGCATATTCATATTAAGTTCTGAATCCAATTATAAATAATTGCTTAAATATACTAGAGAAAAGAAACTTGAGTTTCAAATAAAGAAATATTCCCGCTTTATCACCAAATACATTATAATGTTAATCATGAAATCACAAATCATGGAATTTTAAAAGCCCCTTAGCAAACAGATAAAACAATCAGATAAATTTTGATAAATTTAAAAATCTGATGCACTCACCCCTCCCATACCCAGAATATGATAACCCTTCCATAAGGTATTTACCATGTTGTATTGATCATCACAGGAATATGTTTTTCTGTTCAAACTGGCACAGAGGTCATTAATTTCTAATCTACATAATTTAATTTTGCAACTATCATATTGAATATATAACATCAAACTACAATCTAGAGATTTTTGATCTCCCATCCACTTCATTAAAAATGTATTATTTAGATTAGCCTCTTGAGTTTAGATATGATCAAAATTATCAACAATTATATTATCTTGTCAAATGTTACATTACTTTTAAATGGAAGACCCCAAGACCCTGACTCAGACTTGCCAAAACATTATGCAGTCTAGAAAGACAGACTTTATTGGTTTTGCTTCCTAAGTTGACTAAGGCTCTAAACTTTTCTGATTTTCCTTTATATATGATGTTAGGATAGTTTTTAGCTACTTTGTTATATTTCAACTTTTATTTGTCCTTAAAATCACAAAATGAGTGTTCCAACTCGAAGCATAGCAGTTATCCATGCATGCAGAAAGAAGTGGAAGTAAGTAGGAACAGGAAGGGCTTTCTTGAAATAAATTACCTTGTGTCTTATTAGCCCAGAAACATATCATATGACGACCCTTAGTTGCAAGTGAATCAAGAAGCAGGGTTTTCTTTTTTTTAGCAAGACACATTGCCACCTCAAGAAAATCTCAATCCATTACTGAATATCTGCTATATAATTGATAATGAGCAACCAGCAGTATCTGCCTCATGTACACTTCCATTACTGTTGTATTAGTGAATATTTGTACAAATTGTCAAGGGAAGGGTAGCTAAATTATTGAAATACATTATTATATCTGCTGCAAGTAGTAAAATGATTTTCTTATATTTTTATTTTCCCACTTTGTAATGCTTTTATCTTATAGTACCTATTTGCTTTTTCTTGTAAGTTCAAGTTGCTATTGATAATAAATTTTGATCTCTTTATAAATATCATTAATTGATAAATGATATTCTCTTATAATTGGCATTTTTCATTCTATAAATTTATCATGCTCTTCTAGGACAAATGAGTGGCACGTTTGAATCAAACTGCTCATGATATTATTAACTTGATAAGGTCATACATACAATTCAGAGTGAACTCTATCTTGCAAGCTAGAAATGTATTTTTCAAATAAAGATATTTCCAACAAGAATTTATAGAGATATTAGAATACAGTTTACAATTTTTGAAAATAACTTGGCTATTAAGCTATTCTCCTAATTATTTATCTAAAATGATTAATAAATGTTGAGCATCAAGATAGTGGCATATTCTCTGTAAAGTATATGGACTGCAATGATTCCATGCTTCCAAACTAGTACATATTTATCCCCTAAAGAACAGCCAGATTAGGGGATATGGTTAATATTTTATTGTGAAATTTGAAATGTTTAATCAGAACTTCAGGCCGACTAGGTGAAATATTGAAATGAAATTATCCCTGTAGACAAGAGATCTCCTCAAAAAAGAATGGCACAATACAATGGCCAACAAAGACCTAAAAGAACAGCTTCCAAAAGCACTCATTATAAATCTTTTTCCATAAAGAGTTATTTTTATTTTCTCCTTATGATATCACATATCTAATCAGCTCTCAAAACTTAGAAGGTAGCTCCTCAAAAGAGGGACATAAGTAAAAATAATCTAACTTAATTTCTTTTCCTAGAAGAAAAAAAGGTTTTAAAAGAGATTACTCTTCCTGGACAAGGCCTGATGCTCAGTATTAGAAACCTCGTTACAAATGATGAAGTACGAATTATGGATCAGTGTCTTATGAGAAGCTTTCTAACATCTGCTAAACAAGAATATGCTGTCACTCAAATAATTCAACTTATTTTATCTATTTGAGATATCTTCCCAAACAAGGTGACCCAATCCTTCCAATAACTTCCACAGTAATCCTGTTGGACAACAGATCTCAGTTCTTAGGGTTCATTTCCCTTATTTTCTGGGCCTCTGCCCAGTGCCTGTTACAATACTCACATGATTTCTCCTATTTTCTTTCACTGCTACCTTTGAGGACTGTATACCTATTTTCTAATGATCTAAGAAGTTTGGGATTATGTCCTTCCCTTCACAGTACTGTCTGGATTCTGAGAAGAATTTTCTCTTCTGTCACATGAAATTTTAACCCAGGACCTTATTATTTGCTTGATTATGTCTTAAGTCCTATTCATTTACCCAAAGTCTACCTACAACCGTGACCTGTTTTGTATCTGCCTTGACCAAAAATCTCATTTGATAATCCAAGTGAGATACCTGTTTAAATACCACCTGTATTTGCGACTTACTTTTTTTTTTTTTTTTTTTTTGACGGAGTCTCGCTTTGTCGCCCAGCCTGGAGTGCAGTGGTGTGATCTCGGTTCACTGCAAGCTCCGCCTCACGGGTTCAAGCCATTCTCCTGCCTCAGCCTCCCGAGTAGCTGGGACTATAGGCACCCGCCACCATGCCCGGCTAATTTTTTTTGGTATTTTTTAGTAGAGACGGGGTTTCACCATGTTAGTCAGGATGGTCTTCATCTCCTGATCTCGCGATCCGCCTACCTCGGCCTCCCAAAGTGCTGGGATTACAGGCGTGAGCCACCGTGCCCGGCCATTTATAATTTATCTTAATTTTGATGATTTATTGCTTCTGTCTACCACATCCAGTAGTTTATTGACCTATTAACTCAACTCTGTTTTCGGATTTCAGTAAAAATTAGATCTTCAGAAAAAAGATGGTCCACACATGTATTTGTTATTTTTGTCAACTTCCTTCCTCCAATTATATATTCATGAATAGACCTGTTAATAATTTTTTTCATGCTATTTGCTTAGTTACCATGCCAATATGTTTCTTAAAAAGAAAATCATTTTTCTCTCATAATCCATATACATGTAGACATAAATATATTATGAATACATAAACAGTAATTTTGCCAATATTTAAAATTGTTTTATGAAAGAGACACTCAAAATGATGTACGAAGGATGAGCTATAATTTACTAGAATAAATTTAATAAACTAATGGTCAAATGGACAGACAATGGGATTATTCAATTTAATAATCACAGTGGTTGTGATAGGAAAGAAAAAACTGTAGTGATTTTTAACAACATTGGTAGATTAATACACACGTTGATAGATTGTGTATGTATTAGTCTGTTCTCATGCTGCTATGAAGAAATAGCTGAGACTGGGTAATTTATAAAGGAGAGAGGCTTATTGACTTACAGTTCTGCATGGCTGGGAAGGGTCTGGAAACTTAACATCATGGCAGAAGGGAAAGCAGACACGTCCTTCTTCACATGGCAGCAGCAAGGAGATGTGCTGAGCAAAAGGGTTTTAGGAAAAGCCCCTTATAAAACCATCAGATCTCATGAGAAATTCACTCACTATCACGAGAACAGCAATATTATATAGCATGGATAAAGTATTTAAAAACACTCATAAGTTTGATTTCACAAATTCACCTTCAGTTTCTTTTTCTTACTAGCTATAATCTTGGTAGAGCTGCTTCTCCTGTAACACTAGAGGGCAAAATTTACATTCTATTGAATATTATATTTTTTCGAATGTAAACAATGGCTTCCAGGCACTGTAAATAACTAATACTTACCAGCTCTTTGTGTTAGTATTCTTATCTGTAAAGTGGATATAATCATAACATGTATCTTGTGGGAGTTCTTTGAGGATTACATGAGATAATATAAGTAAAGTGTTTATTAAAATGCCTAGAATAAAATATGTGCTTACTCATTCAGTGCTATTAGTAAATGCTGCTATTATTCCCAATGATTAGCCATGTACTTGTCATGGGCATGACAGTAAAATAAATATAGGCTATCAAGTTCAACACTTTCCTGTTTTTCTCCATATCTTCTCCAGCATTTTTCATTATTTTTATGTATTCCAAGATTTTATAAGAAAAATCTTTCTCTGAATTTCCAATTTATACCGGACAGAAAGAGTGTGTCTAAAATCATTTACAGATATCATTTTCGGTGTATTACAAACCACTTTCCTGTACCCTATGTAACTTTTGTGTTATTTATCCCTGCCATGAATAGACTAGGTTGTGGCAACATTCTTTGGTATGTGAAATACTTGGGACTATCTAATCCCTTAACCTATTTAAAATTGCTTCATGAAAGAGATGCTTGAAACAATATGGAATCATTTGACATGTGTGCATGCACACACACACAGATACACATACATACATTTACTTTGAAGCACTTTTAACCAAAAATAACAGAAAATGATATATAAGAATTAGCAGAAGGTTCATATGAGGTGAAAATGGTCCACATTACCAATACTACATATTTACTAATTTGTAATTTACCTAAATTAGGCTGGTATTACACTTGCTAAAATTTTAAATTAGTGCCAAGATTTTGGATAGCTTACCAATACTGCAAAAAGTAATTGAATCTTCATCATACAACTTCAGCTAAATGCTATTTATCTAGTTCTTGATTACTCTTGAAACTGGTCCAGTTTTGAGCCAAATTTATGGATATAATATAAATACATTTGGTGGATAAAATAGGAAAGGACACTCATATTTGTTAAGTTTTTAACATTACTATATTTCTCAACTATATCTATTTAAGTAATTCCGGAAAATTAAGAAGTATGTTTTCTGTCTATAATCCATATTGTGTAGACAATACATACCTATGCATAGAATAATTTTTTTTGTTATTGTGCTTTGTCATGCTCAGAAAAATCAGAACTACCTCTACTGTATTCACACAGTCTCAGAAAAGAGAATAATTTAGCCGTTTGGATATTTAGGCATTAATTTTTATTACATACAGTAATAAGGTAATGCAATTTTGCAATTCATTAACGCAATGTAATTTTCATTAATTATTGATGTCACTTTTCTTATTCACACTCAACTATAAAAACTTGAATTTAATTGCTCTGACAAAATATTGATTTAATATATTAAATGAGCAATAGCAAGTATTAATCAAGAGCACATTTTTCTGATCATTTTAATGGTGACTCCTTTTCATCTATGTTGCAGAGATGCTAGAAGTATTTAAAATTGGTTGCTGATACTAAATTCTTAAAATATTCCTTCAATATAACCAAGATAGCTTTAGCAAACTCTCTTGAAGTTTTGCATCATTACTTAGAATAAAAAGGAAATAAGGAATCTTAATTTTACATTGGAAGTAAGAAAGTTAATGAACCATTTGCCTTTTCTAAATTGTACTGATAGTGTGAATTAAAACTAGTTTAATAGCCTGAGCAGAACATGTAGATACAGGGTCATAAAATCTGCACATGTACCCTGAAACTTAAAGTATAATAATAATAAAATAAAAAAATAAAAATAATAAAATAAAAATAAAAAAATCCTATAGCCCACTAGAACTCGTCATTGGATAAAGAAACTGGAGTTTACAAATCCGGGTAGTGATTTTTTTAAATGAGCATGTAATACTATTGTTGTTATATTACAAATCCAAAATATCAAAATATATATGGAGTTCTTGACCTCATGCTAGGTCTTCCAATCAATTTAAGAACTCTCAGAACCATGGATATAATAGGCCTATCACATTTCTATAGAGTAATTATTAAAACTATTAATAATTTTAGATACCAAAATCACGTTTTAAATTATTTTAATAAAGTTTTCAACAAATTTGAGAATATTGAGTCCAACAATGCTATTTTTTCAAACACACCAAAAATATAAACTTCCTAATAAGTTAAATCTGTTTTTTTCTCACATAGTATGTGCTGTCAAAATAATAAAATATGAAAATAAACAAAGAAAAAATAGAACTTTGTGACAAATTATTCATGTTTTGACTAATTCTGCTCTGGAATGACTCCATATTGAAAAAGCAAATAGCAAATACCTAAAGTTGAAAATCAGCATGAATATGTGATGCAATAAATCAATACTTATGAAATAAGGGAGATGCAATTTTTTTATTTGCATAAGCAGTATTTGGCAAAAAAAACCTCAGTTCTCTCAGTCCTGATAGTTTGATCCCAAAGTTATAATTAATAAACCAGTATTTTCATCTAAAAATTACAAAGTCTAGAAGCAAACAGATTTACATGAATGCATATTCCAAAGTGCTATTCTAAATTATCAGTTTTTTTTTCTGTTATACAATCCAATATGCTACTGAAAACAAAACATGAGATATAGCTGATTGAAAAAAAATCATCTTTCTTTTTTTTGGCAACAGACTTTATTCTTGAATCTTAAAGACTTAGGAAAGAAGAAAATGAGGCAAATAAATGAGGTTATATGTCAAGATTTTTTCTCAGAACTGCAAAGTCCCTACAGAATAACTGGACACCTAAACATAATAGTATCACCACTAACATCTTTATTAAAACTGAATGGCATTCTGTTATTCTGAAAAATGGGATACTACCAAAATTCAATTCTATCTGCTATACTAAACAGAGAAACCATTTATAAGATATAACGAAACAAGAATCTCTTTAAAAATACATGAAGGACAAATGTGTTTTCCTTATGAGCTTCACAAATTTGATGCACATTCTAATTTCTTTCTCTTGTAGCTTCCAGGGTTCCATTGATCTTGTGGCGTGGGAGGACTGTTTCGGTGTAAGTCTATTACCAGGAGCTATATGACAACATTAATTAAGTTGTGTTTTGGGAAAATGAAAGCAAGCAAGATGCACATTTGCCTTTCTGCCAATAAACACTTAAGTACAGCAATGTGCAGGAATTCCTGGCACATTAATCAACTTGATCTTTTTCCTTCTTCTTTTGTTGTATCTTTCCTTTCTTTTTGACTTTCTTCCTTCCTTTCTTCTTTAATTTTTAGTGATAGTTTGTACTTTTATAATACAATTGATAGAAGGAAGAGCTATTCAACATGAATGCCCTACAATCTCACATTTACAGAGGAGTTTAAGGAAGAATACATGCAATAAAATTGGGCTTCAGGAGCCACTGGGGCCTATGAACAGCTATCCTTAATAATTTGTCTTTGTTCTACATATGTGGTATTTTGTTTGTGTTTTGTTGGGAGGAAAAAAGCTGTTCTTCACATACACCACTGTTATTATATGAAAGATTATTTAGAGCCACTATTCTGAGAAGGTGATCTCTCATTCCATGATTGGCTGTCTGTCTTCTATTCTCACCCTTATTCCAAATGAGCTTTAACTTCATTTTATAAGTTGCCTTTCTTCAGTAACATCTCTCACAATGATTTTTTTTAATCAGTAAGTTCACAGGATTTTAGGAAACTGTATCTGTGCAATAGGTACAAAGAGTTAGGTCTAAACTCTTTTCATGTGCTGGCTAAGTCCTCAGCAACCTCTCCAATCTTTTGTCCAGCCCTTCCTCCACACCAAACTGTTTATAGGCTGTGCTGTTTCCCTGTGATATTCGTTTTGATTTATTGTTCTCTTCACCACCTTCCATCCCCAACTTTTTTAAGGATTCTCACTTATTTTCAAGATCCATCACAGGTATTTCCCTTTCTCAGCCATCTTAGCCTCTCTCAAGTGAACTAAAGTTTCCTTTTATATTTTTGCCATTATATTTTGTTAATGTCAGCATCACAGGACCTGTCACATTTTATTTTTTCAATTATTTATGTATGGCCTCTGGTTGCACTGTAAGTTCCATGAATATAGGAGCTGTTTCCTGTTCATTCATTTTTTACAGTAGTGTTTATTATGCTTTTTATGGCTCTTACCAAAGAATACATATAACAAATTATCTTCCTATATTTCCTTTCACCTCCCCTTCCCAGAACTATCAAAGTGAATAACAGATATGTGTTGTCACATGATTATCAAGAAATATTTAGGCAGTGCCTACTGTGTGTCAGGGTAAATACTGCTTTTGGTGATATTCATACAGCAGTTAACAAAACAGAATCTCTGTCCTCTAAAAACCTCCAATTTAGTGGGATAATTATGCTATGCTTGAGGATATTTCATTATTAAATCGAGTAAAAAACAGTTTTTGCAATATCAAGTGTACTCAATATTAAAATTCTGAATAACAGCATAACTAGTGGAGCATAATTTGAAGAGAATACGAAATAATTCCACATTGATAAATCTAATGTCACAAATAAAATGTTTTAATCACCAAAACCAATTGAGTTATCTTTTTTTGTTTTATATTAATTTGTTCCAAATAATGTTATGCTTTGTTTACTTCTTATTGGGATTATGGCTTTCTAGTATAGCAGTTTATTTTTCCTGGAATTGTTAATTGTCTTTGATTTTGCTTTGTTTCTTAATTGTTGATATAACAAAAACAATTATCTCCAACATATCACTCAGTTGACTTACTGCTCATTGATAGTAATTGTTAAAATAACAATTTGAGACAAACTTCTTCCGCTTCAAGAAGGCAATAAATCAGAGATTTTTGTTAATTGCTTTGAGTTTTATTGATTGTAGTTTATTGATTATGTAACTTATTTTGGGGTTTTGCTAAAGTATACCTGCAAATAATACTTTAAGAGAGTACAGAGTTCCTTTATCTTGTATTCTGAATATGTTGTTGTTTTGCTCATACTTGGTTGATAGTTAGGCTGGCAATGGAATTCAAAGTTCAAAGCAGTTTTCAATTAAGACACTGAAAATATTTCAGCATTCTCTTTAAATATTTAGTTTTGTATGTGTGGGGGGGAATCTATTATTGTTTTGTACCATATATGCCTACATTTTAACTAAGTCCTTACATGCTCTTAATTTTATTAAATAAAGAATCGTATATCTCATTCTTTTTTTTCTTATAGTACTGGTCACAATATTTCTACTGTATAGATGCTCAAAAACCATTGTTATTGATAAGGAAGATGATTATAATAATATGTATGATTCATAATAATTTTAAGAAAAAAACACAAACCTGTTATCCAATCTCTTTCCTATTTTAAAAATTGTATCCATTCAGAAACCTGGAAGTCATTATACATCTTGATCTCACATATAAGCATTCATTTAATTTTTAATATTTATTATCTTCTGTGTTCTAGAAGCAATTCTATTGACTAGAAATAAAGCAGTGAACTCTTTACTCCAAGTAGAGGGAATAACTGAAGTAAGTTACCTCACTGAGCTAACTTATCTCACTGAGCTTATTTTCCAGTATTCTAACAATAATAACACTAAAATATCCTGAATTATATACTTCTCTGCATTTCCATAGCCATTGTTATCTCTTACTAGTACTACTACAATAGGCTTCCTACATATTACCTCTAATATCCAGCTCCAACAATCCTCAGATCTCACTATAACCTGCAACCCATCAATTTTACCATCTTCTCACTAATCCTTTTCAATCTCTCCACTTGCAATATTCGTATTTCTCCTTACTTTGCTTAATTTCCATGGTACACATTGTCATCAATGCCTAGCACATAGGCTCCCACTATCAAACTCTCAGCTAAAACCCAATCATAGTTCACATTCATCTCTTCATCAGTTCAGCTCCTGGATCCATGCAGCTGAGCATGGCTGGAAAAAAACATATAACTACTTGTTGCCACACTCATTTTCTTTTTCTGCCTCTCATATATGTTAACCAAGTTCTTTTCAGTTTGGGACTTTTGTCTAGCCCTGGAGTCTCCTTCACTTTTCTTAGGATTCACTGCCCCACATTCTCTAGCTCTCAGTTCAAATACCAGTCTCTGTGCAGTTCCACCCTAACTGAAATTTTTAAACAGAATATGCATATTTAAATTTATGTCTGTGTATTTTATTTCATATAATCATTTTTATACAGCATCCTGATCTTTGTATTTCACAAAATAAAACACATAGGATTATACAGGAAACAAATTTTGTTAAAATTGTGCCATTACAGTATTTAAAATTTTTTTTTGATTTGGTAATGTACTTCTTTATTAAGGCCTTTAATAGGAAGAACTAATATTTGCCATAATTTTTCTATAATGATAGGACTAAATAATAATTTGAGATATCTATAACAACACTAATGTAATACAAGATATCTGTGACTTCTATTGGTGAAGTATTCATAGGAAATGCTGTTACTATTAAAGTTATTCATAATTGAAAAGCTGAATTTCAGTTAGAGGTTTTTGAAAATAAATATATAATTTTTCTTAATCTAAGTTCATAGTTTTCATAAATTTTAGAGTCTATGGACCCATGTTAAGAACCATGACTAGTCTAAATCCCTCATTTCATGAGTAATGCATTCTTTTGACAGTCTAATTGTTTGTCCATGTAAGTTAGGTGGGTGAAGGAAGGATTGGACTGAATGCTGACTCTCCCAACCCTTATTCCAGTGCTGACGGGCAAAGTACAGTGCCCAAAATAAGTGAAACACCAGGTTTGGGAGGAAACTCACAATAGATACGGCTGGCAAACATCATGAAGTTTATTTTGATGTAGCAGTGATATGGTAGGTCTTTCGAATTTCAAGTACTGCGTATGAAATTAAGGATCAACATATTTGTACCTGACCCCACCACTGTTAACATCCATCCCCTTCTTTTTATTTATATCCTTGAGCCACTAATCATTAACTAAAAAAAAAGAACAAAACAAAAACAAAAAACTTTAGTACTTTTAAAACATATTTACTTTGTCTTTTGCTAACACTTTTACTATTTAGTCTACTAGACTGCAGGCTTCATAAAAACTGAGACTTTCCATGGCCCTCAAAGCACTGTAGTCCTTGTGCAAATTGTATTACCTGGCACATAGTAGGTGCCAAATTGTATTTGTTGAATGAATGAATGAATGAATGAATGAATTTACTAAATAATAAAATACGTGTTATAGAATATGTCTGTTTGTACTAAAACATTTTTAAATTTGAATACAATATAGAGTGACATATCAATCAGTGAAGTTCAAGATTTCTTACTTGCTAGCTAATAAGAGGGTAATACAAAAATTACAAACTAGCATAAAGCCTACTAATGCATAAATATGGTAATATAATTATTATTCTTAATTATAAAAGTATGAAGAATCATGAGTATTCAAAATCATATGAAGAATAATTTAATAATTTCTTGATGAAACTCTATAAGGAAGTATTCTTATTTTATACTTGCATTTAGAAAAGTGTAAGTATAGAATATTAGGCCTATGCATGATTGAAAAAGCAAACTTTTCGTTTTTTAGAGTAAGTTTGCCTTGGAAAAACTTATCTATTTACATACAAGTAGCTAGTAGCTAGAATCCTCCAAGGAAATCTTCAAATCTTCGAGTAGGTAGGTGGAAGATGCAATGTTTAAAACGAAAAGAGACATTAGGAAAGCAGGTAGGAGGAATGAGTGAAATGATGTAGGCTGAAGCAAAAGCACAGCAGTGGGTTACAAAGATATTTGACCTTGATGTGGGCAGTAAGTAGAAGGCAGTGAAAAATGTGTAATAAGAATAACAATGAGAGATACCTGGAAGAAAACTGAGATTTAAAAGATCTTCACGGTAGGTCCAGGAAAGCCAAATGCACATTATGAAACAGCAGTAGGCCTGTTCACAGCTCATTGAGGGGTAGTGCACACCCGGTCACCTAAAAGTGGGCAAAAAAAATGTGTTTGCCACTGTAATTTAAGGCAATCAGTTCATAGACCCCTTTTTGCATGATGGACACTTTATAACATATACAATTATTTGAGAAGAACAAAAAAAGGCACTACAGAATAAACACTCTTTCTTTTATTATTTCTTATTAAAGATTCCTCTTCATTCTAATGAGAGCCAATAGAATGGTTAAAAGGACACACATTTAAATTAGACAGTCTAGGGTCCAGTTGTGGGTTTCCTACTACTTGCTGCGTAACATTATATAAGAACTTAATCTCCGTAAATCTCAGTTTTTGCTGGGATAAAATAAGTCAATGAATGAATAAACAGGGATTAGCACCAGTCTCAGCACACAGATTATGTGCCGCCATTAAGCATTTGGGTATTTTTTTTCTTTTATTTAAATATATTTTTACCACAATAATGACTACAAAAGCACTGGGTATTAATATTGTTCTTATTGCTGCTATTGCCATTGCTTTTATGATGTATTAGGTCTAAATCTATTTGATTTTATTTGTTAGAAATTTTTCACTCCATTTTGTTCATGTATGAGGACATTAATTTTTTATGTAATGCTGTTTTATTTCATAACTTGTATTTACATTAAAATGGCTAAATATATCTAAGCTTACCTGCAATTTATTAAATAATACAGAGGTTAAAATTGATTTACTCAAAATTTAGAAACAAAGAAAATACCGCTAACCACACAATAGTTCAGGCATACAAAATGATAGTTAAGCAATATTAGGTTGGCTTAATTCTCTCTACACTTCATCAGTTACTGGTAGTTTATTGCTAATCACCATTATATTTCTAATATCTATAAAAAATAGATTACTTTCTGAGTCCTTAATGTTTCCAAGAAGTTCATAGGATTTCCAATAGGCAATTTCATATTTCAAAGAGGTAAATATACTAAAATAGATAATATCAAGTGTAGCATCAAAATAACTGATCTCATTTCAATAAAATGCCCTGCTGCTGCTCAGAAGAAAAAAAAACCTCCCAATTTCCAATTAATCTCACACAAGGCAATCGATACCTAGTCTATGTATTGTTATATATTTTGCGAAAGAGTAAGTAGTTTTTCTAAAAGATTGTATAAAGAATTTTGAAACCACAATTTAATTGTCTCACCTAAACTTTGCTGCTTGCAGTAAAGTATACTTTGGGACAGATTATTTGTATAAGTAATTTACTTATTTATAACCCACCTTGTTCCAAAGAAAAAACTCTAAAATCAGGTTGAAATGAGCATAGTATTATTGATATTTACACTGATAGATGTTAATTTTTGTGCAAAATTATTACAACAATCGGTTTGAGAATAAGAGTAATAGGAAAGTGTTCCATAAGTGGTCGCACAATTATATGGTGATTGCTCTGGATACCATTTAGGGGCAGAAGAAAATGAATAAATGGGTGGATATTTATAAAAACAAACACAAGTAGAAGAAACCTACAGAAAGAAAAGTGTAAAATGTTTACCAACCTACTCAAGGCATTAGACTGTCCTGGTATACACTGAAAAAAAAAAAAAAAAAGAGAGGTTACTTTAATAAAGGATTTAATTTATTTAAATTGAATTTAAAAAATAAAATGAGATTTTGAAAGTCTACATTAGGAATATGCACAAAAGCCTAAAAAACTCATGCCCAAATGTGTATATCAGCGTTACAGACAATAGCCTCAGATTGGAAGTAGCCCAAATGTCCATCAAGAGTAGAATGTATAAATGAATTGTAATTTATTTTTACAATGGAATATTATAAAGGAATGAGAATATTAAAACAATGCTCATAACAATGTAATTTAATCTCAATGAAAATAATATTGAATGAAATAATTCAGGGCATGTCATATGAGGTGATTTAATAAAGTTTTAAAAATCTGCCCATGACAACACACATGAAAAGTGTGCTGTTAGGTTACCCTAAGGGTGCAGGTAAATTAGCTGAAGAGCGATACCAGAGGACTTCCGGGATATTGGTCATGTTTTGTGTTTGATCTGGGTGTTGGTTACACAGACGTAGTAACTTTGTAAAAATTCATTAGACTGTACACTTTCAATTTGTGCACACTTCTGTCTGTGTTTAATTTTAAAAATGCTTAAAAATACATAAGATTGTGTAAATTTTTTAATGGATCCCACTAAAACATCCAGTGTATAATATGCACTGTTGCCTTTGGAAAAGTTAGAATGTTCTAGACTTCTAAATGCATAGCCTCTTCAGAACACAGAGATCATATACTTCATCATTAGTTGACACTGTCAAGAAAAATTGACATTTTCAATGGACTCCTCTCTGGAGATCATAGTATTGACAAGTCAAGTTACATTCTCCTTTTTTTGTTGTTGTTTCTGAGATGGAGTCTCCCTCTGTCACCCAGGCTTGAGTGCAGTGCTGTAATCTTGGATCACTGCAACTTCCGCCTCCTGGGTTCGAGCAATTCTCCTGCCTCAGCCTCCTGAGCAGCTGGGATTACAGGCACCTGCCACCATGCCCTGCTAAATTTTGCATTTTTAGTAGAGACGGGGTTTCACTGTGTTCGCCAGGAGGTCTCAAACTCCTGATCTCAAGTGATCCGCCGGCCCCGGCCTCCCAAAGTGCTGCGCCCAGTTGACAAAGTACATTCTCGATAGATGTTTTGCTACCTAGCAAGATCAGAGTAAAGGCTGTAAAATAAAGTTTCTCAATTTTTAATTTTGGGGTCTTTTTAATTAAATGTGTGCACAGTTTAAACCGTGAGTTTTTATATATATTGTATTTTTGCTTTATTAAGTACCTTTCTTTGACAAATATTTTTGCAAAATAAAACTCAGTAAATAATGTCATTTATGTTTGTTTTGAATGATTTGACAAACTTAGGTGCTGTAAAATTGTAAGGCTTCTTAATTTCGATCCTTTCCTTTACAGAATACAAATTTATCAAATTAAAAATAGGAATGCAATCAAAAGAAACTTCTACAAGTGGAAATATTTTAAGGGGCAATTACAAAAATAAATCTTAAACACTGTGTAAGCGCTCTTCATCTAATTTGTTCCATTCCTCCCTTACTTTTGTGGGCATACATTTCAACGTTTTCCTGTTTGCATGTTTATTTTAACAGGAACTTTGATTCAATAAGAGATTTAAAAGCTAGTCATTTGGTACTCTATTTGTAAATACTTTGATTCAATAAATCAAAGAAATTTTAAAAAATGCAAACAAAATTAGACTTATATGCCAAAAGAAGTTAAAAATCTTTGTAGTACACATATGTTGATTTACAAAGTAGATTTCAAAGGTTCACATATGTTTAAAATCAATTCATAAAAGAAGGCTATGTCACAAAGTCTGCAATGTTGAAGTATTCTTTTGTATTCAACATCAACTTCATTACAAAAAATTATTTTCATCATGTAGGTACAAAAATAGTTGTATATATTGGCACTTCAACTTCTCTTTCAATGGGTGTAATATTATAGCTAGCTTCTACCCAATTATAAATTAGGGATTCATTACAACAAATTCCAAGTACATTTCCATTTCTCAGATTTTCTTAATTAGTAGGATCCTTCATTTGTCTCCCTACTTTGCTCTACCAAATATCATATTCAGACCATCACTTCAAATAAATTATCTTGAATTTTGAATGTTAAATTAGTTGATATTAATGTTCAAAATAATGTCATATGTTTCACCTTTTACCTAATGAATTTTCTAAACCTTTATATAGAATACATAAATTGGATTAAATAATATCATCTTTATCTGAATTAACTTTCTTGATATTCTAGTTGAAATATCTGATGACACCAATATGAAATTTGTATTATTTCGGTATTTGGGAAAATTTCCTACTTAGTGTATGTGTATGTGTTTTGTTGTTTTGTTGTTGTTGCTGCCGTTGTTGCTGTTTTTGAGACAGGCTTGCTCTGTTGCCCAGGCTGGAGTACAGGGGCATTATCTCAGCTCACTGCAACCTACGCCTCGTGGGTTCAAGCGATTACCTTCCCAACCTCCTGAGTAGCTAGCTGAGCTTACTGGTGCCCGCCACGGCACCCTACTAATTTTTGTATTTTTAGAAAAGGCAGGGTTTCACCATGTTGGCCAGCCTGTGTCTCGAACTCCTGTCCTCAAGTGATCCGCCCACCTCAGCCTCCCAAAGTGCTGGGATTACAGGAGTGAGCCACTATGCCTGACCTAAAATTTTCCTACTGTTAATGGCACAAACATAACAGCTTTTGCTTCACTTTTCATATATGAACAAGACAATTGGAATTAAAAGCAAGCAATTTGATCTAAATGCAAAATCAACCTTTACGAAGTAGATTACAAATATACCTGCTAAAGTTGTCTGGCTTCTTATGACTCTCAGATTTTGAAATAAATGCTGAATTTTGCAGCAGTTTCTGGGCTTCATCTGTTCAGTACTATCATTAGGCTACCATAGTAAATGGTCAGTATTATCAGTGTGTATAAGTTGTTTATGATAAACTTTCCCATTGATTCCACTAACTTGTGACACACTGATCAAGTACATCTCACAGGATGCAGCAAAGGCCATAGTAAGAGTGATCAAAACATTGTAGTGGCAGCAGGGCCAAGAACTCCCAATCTTACCTCTACTGGAAGGAGTTAGTTGTATCTAGACACTTAATTCTGAATTAACTTTATTTATCAGTTAGAACTCTGCACACTGTCCTTGAAAGGGAGGTGTTAGTGATCTCACTTTTCTCTAACTTAGAAAAGAAGGAGCTTATCTCTGGTCAGCTCTGATTTACCTTGCTAAAATAAGAACTATATGTAGCACATGCATCTTACACCAGTAGGTCAGACCATGACCAAAGCAGAATGTACAAAATGTTGGTCTACATAACACATTCTGTTTTATTTTAATACAACTAACATAATATTGTATTAAAATAAACACTCTGGGACAGATGCTAAAGCCTATGAAATCTTGGGACCCCAGGTGTACAGTGTAAGACGTCTTTAAGGTACCTATAGTTATGTGTAAGTTGTCATACACGTAATTATTTATTAAAGAATAAAACTTGCAAGATAAAGATTTTTACAGACCAAAATGCAGCGCACTTTTCCCTATCAATCTCTTTTATGGCTACTATGGAGAAACCTAAGCAGAGCATATTGCAAGTCGGATAATTCTAGGTGGATGGTAGAGTAACTGGAAGATGTATTAGTGAGAATTCTCCAAAGAGACAGAACCAATGGGAGATTTAGATAGATTAGATATAGATAAAGATATAGATATAGATAATATATGAAAGGGGATTTATAGGGGAATAAGCTGATGTGATTACGGAGACTGAGAAGTCCCACAACAGGCTGTCTGTAAACTATAGAACAAGGGAAGTCAATTGCACGAATCAGTCCAAGACCAAAAGCCTTAGAACCAGGGAAGCCAATGATGAAACTCTCAGTCCAAAACCAAATGCCTGAGAACCCAGGGCAGGGGGCAGTGGGGTGGGTGGCACTGGTGTAAATCTTAGGGTTTGAACCTGGAGACGCTGGAGTTCTGACACCCAAGGGCAGGAGAAGATGAATGCCCTGGCTCTGAGGGACATGTAAATTTTGTATTCCTCTGCCTTTTTATTCTATCAGTCCTCCAGCTGATGAGATGGTGTCTGCTCACATGGAGGGCGGATCTTTCCCCTCCAGTCCATTGACTTACACTCCAATTTCTTCTTTGAAACATCCTCACAAACACACAGAAGCTTTGCCAGATCTCTAGATATTCCTTAATCCAGTCAAGTTGACACCTAAAATAAACCATCACAGAAGAATAGTTATCATTCATTATTTTTTTCCATTGGCTAATAAATGCCATGCTACCATATTCTGTTCAAATTGATAACAAATTAATAGCTAATTTGATATATAATTTGCCAGATTAGTTTTGTGAATGGTAATTAAATGATTCTTTGGTCTCCAAGTGGAGTTGGCAACTTTTCCATTGATTTAATACTTGGTGTTCAATTCTCCAAACATATGTCACTTGGGGAAATTCTACAGTATAATACCTTGACTATTATCTCTAGTGCCATTGATTGGTCGGGTTAGTAAAACTGAAAACTGATATCCTGATATCCTGTTGAACATCTCTCCCTTTTTGTGTTTTTTTTTTTTTTAGAGACAGAGTCTCACTCTGTCACCCAGGCTGGAGTGCAGGGGCATGATCTCGGCTTACTGCAACCTCTGCCTCCCAGGTTCAAGCGATTCTCCTGCCTCAGCCTCCTGAGTAGCTGGGATTACAGGCATGCACCAACACACCCGGCTAATTTTTGTATTTTTAGTAGAGACGGGGTTTCACCAAGTTGGTTAGGCTGGTCTCGAACCCCTAACCTCATGATCCACCCACCTTGGCCTTCCAAAGTGCTGGGATTACAGGCCTGAGCCACCGCACCTGCACTGGACACCTCTTTTAACCTGAATGTGTGTTTTGTAAAATAGACATACATCAAGAAATTATTATCTTCTAATGGAATGACTCAACTACCAACTATGATTTTTCTCCCTTTGACCTGAACAATTTTAATTGTAACAAAGTGTTTTGGGGCCCATAATAATTGCTCCTATAGTGTTCCCAATAGTGAAACTAATAAAAATCATAGTCTTATATTATTTTGTTTTTTGTAGGAATACCAAAACTTATTCACCAAATAGGCAACTGTTGGTAATACAGTGAGATCGTTTTCACATTTTCATATAATCACTCCTTATTACTCTCATTTCCTCAGGCCGGTCCCCTCCATATACTCCCTATTAAATTTAATTTAAGAAATTAAACTAAAACATGTTTTGCAACTTCTTTTATTTTTCTAAAGGATTTTCATTTCATGGTTGTCATTGTGACATGACAGAATTCAACTGTGAATAATTGAACATTTCATGTTATAATAGTGGCAGTAATATCAGCTGATCACCACACAATCATTTGTTATATATAATCTTACATAATTATATTTGTTCAATATAATCTAGTTAAGATGGGAGAACTAATTCACAAACTTGGTCAATAACTGTATTTTACAGCAATCTAGAAAACTGGCTAGAACCAATAATTTTTAAAATTATAAATTTAAATCTCATATATTTTAAATAAAGTTTTCTATAATCTTATTCAACATCTAAATTATTAAAGCTTTCTGTTGAAATTGCTGGAGGAGTCATGCAGTAACGATTTACTGGGAAACTTCAGGGAAATGGGCAGGCCTAGAATCTTCCTTGGGTTAATGTTCCGATTACTGCATTAACTTCTTTCACTTAAGTCACACCAACACCACAGTTCTAAATCATGAAGTGAAGAGTTGGCTCTGCTCAACAAGGTACATTCCAGTATAACATTTATTAACTCAGGCCTGAAAGAGGAATCGATGTACATCTGAAGAAATTCTTAAAGTTTTAATGTGTTTATTCATTTGGCATAATTCTTCTTTATCTGGCTAATTTCTTCTCAACCTCCAGGTCTTATGTAAAATCCCTTCACCTTATCCATCACACCCAAATGAGATTCCTCATGTGTCTCCTATATGCTGCCATAGCATCCTGTACTTACTCCCATCACAGAATGTATTGGTTTCTGTTAATTACATATTTCCTTATACGTGGCTCTATTAGTCCATTTTCACACTGCTGTAAAGAACTACCTGAGACTGGGTAATTTGTAAAGAAAAAAGGTTTAGTTGACTCCCAGTTTCACATGGCTGGGAAGGCCTCAGGAAACTTACAATCACGGCGGGAAGCAAAGCATGTCTTACATGGTGGCAGGAGAGAGAGAGAGCCAGGAGGGAACTGCCAAATAGTTTTAAAACATCAGACCTTGTGAGAACTCATTCACTATCACAAGAACAGCATGAGAGAAACGGTCCCCATGATCCAATCACTTCCCACCATGGCCCTCCCTCGACACATGGGGATTACAAATTCAAGATGAGTGAGATTTGGATGGGCACACAGAGCCAAACCACCATATCAGTGGCCTTGAAAGTGGAACTCTGTCTTATTCACATTGTATCTCCAACATCTTCCCTAGTGTTCAGCATTAATACATGTACAATAAATATGTTGAATGAATGAAATATTAGTCTGTATTTGTAAAATCATTTTAAACTTCTACTTTAGAATAAGTACCAAGCACAATCCAAGTAAAGTGAGGAATTCTGCATTAAATACAAATGACAAATTTGAATGTTACTCCTATATAGTAAAATAAAGTTAGTAAGTGCTGCCACTCAATTATGTTTTTCTTTAATTTAATTTTTATTTTTGTTGTTTTCATTTTTTTTTTTTTTTTTTTTTGAGACAGAGTCTCTTCTGTAGCCCAGGCTGGAGTGGAGTGGCGCGATCTGGGCTCACTGCAAGCTCCACCTCCCGGGTTCACGTCGTTCTCCTGTCTCACCCTCCCCAGTAGCAGTAGCTGGGACTACAGGCACCTGCCACCACGCCCGGCTAATTTTTTTTTTTTTTTTTTTGTAGTTTTAGTAGAGACGGGGTTTCACCGTGTTAGCCAGAATAGTCTTGATCTCCTGGCCTCATGATCTACCCACCTCGGCCTCCCAAAGTGCTGGGATTACAGGTGTGAGCCACACGCGCCCGGCCTGTTGTTTTCTTTTTATTGAATATATGTGAAGAAGATAAGTGGTCAAAAATTTTGTCACTTAGTCATAGATGGAGTGGAGGCTTACTTACGGTATTTCAAATGAATGCATTTATTATTTAAAATGACTTGAATTTATTTTCAATTAGGAGAATTAAATGCATGCCTGCAATGATATATATATATCCTGTTTGAAGAATGAACTAAAAATGTTAGAAGTACATAGCAGCATATTTACTTGCTTAATTGTTCTTGCCTTCTGAATAATAAAGATGACTAGAAGAATATATAAAATAAGAATGCAAATTAATGCTATTTGTCTTTGTGGTGACATAAAGAATGCATAAGTCATTGACTGTAACCTAATCTAAAAATATATTCACTAAAGAAGGGTGTGGAGGAGATGTGCTATGAACCTAACTAACTATATATTTTGTTTAATTGTATGTTTTCTCAAAATGTTTTTAAAAATGTACTTTTTCAACATATAAAAGGTGACAAGGAACCACAATTCTCCTACCTCCATTTATATTGAAGTGCATTTTTTATAGATCAAAGGTCAAATTCACTGGCATGCCTGGCAGAGGAAATGAAAAGCAAGTTCCAAGAAAACCATTTAGGAATGTTAAGTGCTTCGGGACATACAGTGTGTCCAAAGGAATTTCCTAACAAGGTTCAGAGTACAGTGACAAAGGATGGCACAACACAAATAAAGTGAATTTAATCGAAAGTATTCTTGAAGGAATACTCCTTTCCTTGATGCAATAATCTTATATACAGAGTTATATACATTTCTTTTTCAACTCAGAACAAATTAAATGATATTTTACTTAGAAGCTATACTTAGTCTATACCCACTTTTCTGGGGCTCTAATCAGTCATATAATTGACCAATATTTGAAAAAGCTTGTAGTATCATAAATCAGGTATAGTTTTGAGCTGTCTTGTTAACTGAACACAGAAAGACTTGCTATCAAATAATACTTAGAAATTTTGCTTTGCAATTGTGGGATAAGAAATTATGCAATTTCTATTATTTTTAAAATGTAAAGTTATTATTTTAGTAGACTGTGTAGAATGTCTTATTACTGACCTAGTTTAAGCTCTATAAGTCATTTTAAGTTTATTAATTAATAAACGTGTACTTCTGCAATCTTTAAGAAATGGAACATGCAAATAGAAGCTAAAGACTTTTCACTCCTGACCACCCAAATATATTCATCTAACACAGATGGATATATTGAAGTATATATTAATTTCTATTGCAAAATAAACACATTCACTTGCTTTTGAGATAAACTACTGTACAGGAGAAAGAGAATGAGCTTGAGAACCAATTCCTAGGTTTGAATGGCAGTCCCCCAATTTACTAGCTGTGTGCCCTTGAACAGATAATAAAATACTCTTCTCTAAAAATTGTCTATCTGGCAATGAGGATAAAACAAATCAACCAATATATAGCAAGAGTTGACATTTAATTTTTAATCTCTATTTCCTTTCATATGTAAAACACTGTAATATAAATGTATATTAATGAAACATTAAAGAAGAGTATTATAAATTTTAGCATTGTCAAATTTTCAGACTTTTATGACTCCAACTGTATCCTTACATATATGACAATACAGACCTAGGATAGTTAAATAACTTGGCCAAGGTTACAAGTAGTCGAACTAGAAATAAAGCTTGTTTCTCTAAACCTAAAGTCCAGTATTTTTTCCCAGTTGCACCTTCTTTGGAAGTTGCATTGTCTTTATAAAATTCTTGTGTGCAGCTTCCAGGTTAAGTAATTAGTCTACCAAAAAACACTGCTTTAGAAATGCTGTTTCTAATATAAATAAAATATTATGTCTAGTTCTCTCACTGGTTTACCTAGCAACCAGTTATAGTCAAAATATTTATATTTATTTCCAACCATTTCTTCTTCTGTAATATAGAAACAAAAAGACTGGCTATAATAAAGATTCATAAAGATTTGATTTTAGAGTTATGCATTCACATGCATCCACAGCATGGTAATGATTGAAAAAAATGAAAAAAAGAATAAGTGAGATTCAAGCTGGAAATTACAAAATACCAATGAACTGGAAAAAGACACATTAAGGAAGTTCTTTTAGATAAGACAGCAAAAAGTAAAACAAAGTATTATGTAAGCAACCTACAATATTTTTTTTCTGAAAATCTAAAAGGCATTGACAGAATAACAACATAAACTCTCATCATGTGAAATCTAGTTTGGACATACTGCTCTGGGACATTCATTTGAATGTTAAACATTAGTGAGGGAAAGAAGAATAGAGAAGGAAGTCTTTTCATTTTTCATTCTGTTTATAGATAAATTTAATTTTCTTCAGGCTGAGCGGTAGGATCTAAGAGAACTTTCCTCAAATCAGAAAGCCAATTATATTAGTTGGCAAACACAAAAAAGATTCCATGGCAGGTATTTCTTGGCATGAGACTGCATCAGTTTTTCATTTGTAGAACTCCCTTCAAGACATAATTTTCTTGAAATGTAGCGCCTTCCGTAATATTTATGTAAAAATCATCAATGTAGTCAAAATATTTAAGATTGAAAAAGGATACAGAGTCAATCATAAGAGGCAAAAGTGTTCAAAGAGGAATATATTACAAAACATAAAATGCATTCCATTTCTCTAAGTTTTGGGATTTAAAGTTGAGCTCTAAACATATGCACTTATATGGTAATTAAATACGAATTTTAATTCACTAGGATGGTTAGAAATACATGTGTGCTATTCCAGATGAGAACTCTCAGTCATGTTTAAAAAGTGGGAATAAATGCAATATAGCTTCCCTAAAAGAAAGTGGTAATAACAAAGTTTTGAGGTCTAAAATTGTAATTATAAATAAGTGCAGGATAACAAGTTTACTCGTTTTTCATGTTACTTTGAACAACTACTTCCTGTCTAATTATATGAATTTGGAAAGGTCTTTTGTAATCCAACACTAATGTGTTGCCACTATAATATGAATTTTTCAAAAAGTAGTAATTAGGCCGGGCACGATGGCTCATGCCTGTAATCCCAGCACTTTGCGGGGCCGAGGCAGGTGGATCACGAGGTCAGGAGATCAAGACCATTCTGCCCAACATGTTGAAACCCTGTCTCTACTAAAAATACAAAACAAAATTAGCTGGGCGTGGTGTCGTGTGCCTGTAATCTCAACTACTCAGGAGGCTGAGGCACGAGAATTGCTTAAACCAGGGAGTCGGAGGTTGCAGTGAGGCGAGATTGCACCACTGCTCTCCAGGCTGGCCAAAGAGTGAGACTCCATCTCAAAAAAAAAAAAAAAAAAAAAAAAAGTAATTATTATGAAATGTATCCTCTACTATTTCCCAGGCTTTTTTTTTCATTTATCTAATTTTAATCATCAAAACAACCCTATGAGGTTGGTATGATTTTTACATTTTATGTTTTATAAAGAAAGAAATTGAAGCTCAGTGGTGAGTGAATTACTTGCAGAAAATAACAAAGCTAGAATGAAAGCGACGTCTGTTGTTTGCATTGTAAGTTCACTCTTTCCACTATTATGTTTTAAATACTTCCATTGAATTCTTATTTAAAAAATAGTTTAAGAGGGCAGAGATTACTTCCTCTATTTCAGAGGATTTTATTATAAAGACTACTTTGCTAGAAGTTACATTCCTGAAAAGAGAACAGAGATATTACCTCTGTTGCAAGTACATTAGCAAGTGTAATTACTGCTATGTTTCGTATAGGGTAAGTATATAGTTTCCATTCAATATTATTCTCATTCTCTTTTCTTCATATTAGGTAATTTTGTTTTAATAAAATCTCAGAATCTTGGAGCTGAAAGATGTCAAAATTCACCAAAGCAATAGGGGAATCCACTTCTTTCTGCCTTAGCTTATTTATCTGAAAAAGGAGAATAGAATGCTTACATAACAGGATTTTAGAATGATTGAGTTGTATATTAACATATCCAGAATAATTCCTATTATGTAATGTACACTTCAGAAAGATATTTTTATCTAGGTTGGAAATATAAATAACTTTCTCAGAGTTCAGTTAAGATTTAAAATAATGCAGAACAAATAAATTTAAAAAGTAATTTGGCTCTCTGATAAATCAATGAGTTATAGAGATCTAACGTTGGTACTTCAAATGTTATGTAAATGTATTTCTACTGATAATTATTATTAATTGGTCCAAGGCTTATGATGAAAAAATATGGATCTTATGAACCTTATGTTTCCAGAACTAAACCCTTGTTTGGCTATTTACCAGAACTCGGGAAGTGTTTTAATACACAGAAGGTTCTTCATTGTATTAGTTATATTGATGTGAACTGAATGGCCTTAATAAAAATGATTGTTTTATAATAATATACTTAAAATTTCACGGCATAAAAAGTTTGCATTATTGAAAAATACAAAAGAGAAGTGATCAAAAATAAAACCACATACAAGTTTAAACTATAGAAAAGGAGATTTTGAAAGCGAGTCCTAATCAAATAGGTGCTTTTAAAGCTAATTCTGGATATTTATATTATATTTGTCTCAAGCCTGTAATCCCAGCACTTTGGGAGGCCAAGGAGGGTGGGTTGCTTGAGGCCAGGAGTTAGACCAGCCTGGCCAACATGATAAAACCCCATCTCTACCAAAAGAAAAAAAAATACAAAAATTAGCTGGACATGGTGGCATGCATCTGTGATCCCAGCTACTCGGAAGGCTGAGGAACAATAATCACTTGAACCCAGGAGGCAGAGGCTGCAGTGAGCTGAGATCCTGACACTGCATTCCAGCCTGTGCAACCGAGCAACTCTGTCTCAAAATAAATAAATAAACAAGAAATTATATTTGTCCTTTTACACAACTATAAATTGTAAAACCTCCAATGAAACAACTATTTGCCATCTTTTTCTTTATTTCTGATCTTAAAATATATGTCCAAGAGTAATAAATATAATAAAAGTAGCAAAAGTCCCATAATTAATGATAGAGAATTAGACGTATGAGATGAGGAAGATTAGTCAAAGGCAGATTAGTTGCCTCAATGTGTAATATCATAAGGGTGTCCAGAATTATCTATCCTAAGAAATTATTTCTCTTAATATTTTTAAAAAGCCATGTGTGTTTAGCGATGGGAAAAGAGAGGAAAATTTAAATATGTATTTGTTTGCTCCAGGTTTCTCACACAGCTGACTTAATGAGGCAAATCATTTGACATCATGATAGGAAGGCAGAAAGTGGAGTGTCCATGCCTCCTTCCCAAGGCACACGGTCCTGGGATGTTAACAGTTTTCTCCTCCAGGTATTCCAACCAAGAATCACCAAGGGAACTTGGCTTTCCCAAAAGCCCCTCGTGAAGTTCTCTTAAAATAAATAACCTGGCCTCATTGCCTGACTTGAGCAGTGCCTGTATCGGTTGATTTTAGACACATTAATTTTTCCCAAAAAAAATCTTTTCAACAGTTTTGTATAATACAAAATATTTATTGTGCATTTTATATATTATATTCTGTTTTACAAACTAGATTATATTCGGTGCAGATGGTATTTTTATCCTTCTATTTGTATTTTTATTCTTCTTGAATAGCACCAGCCAATGTAAAGAAGAGAACTTCTCTACTACCTGAGTTCACAAAAGGGAAGACAAGGTGTCTTTTTTCCTTTGGAAAAATGTAAAAACATTTTCCTTTATTCTCCAGAAAGAAGTCTTCTATTTATCTCCCCATTTGTGATTGTAGATATAAAAGTTGGCATCTCATGATAACTCAGCAGAATAGGTTAAAACTACCCCCAACAAAAGCATCAACTAATAAATAAGAGAATAAATTTATATAAGTAAAGGTTACCCATGTAAAAACTGAATATAATATGTAGTTACGTTAGTAGCATTGTGCCAATCTCCTAGTTTTGATCATTGTATTATTGTTATGTAAGATATTGTCATTGAGGAAAACTAGGTGAAGGACACATGGAACTCTGTACTATTTTGTACTTACATGTAGAGTTTACAATTATTTTGAAATACAAAGTTTTTGTTTTCAAAGCTAATGTAATACAGTGATAACATACGTAAAATTAAAATATTTTACTCCTAGGAAGACTCAGTCCACATATTGAGATATCAGATCATAAATCACCATTCACCATAATATTCATGATTTTCAACACATATGTCTTTCTGTTATAGCCAAACTTCTCGATCAATGCTGTCACTAAGTGAGCTTGACATAGGAGAGAAATGACTCTACCTGGGAAACTGCTTAAGTAATCTTTTGTGCTTAGTTCTAAAAAATAACCAGGTGGTCCAGAATATCTTTCTGAAATATTTTGGGGATTGCAGCACCATTGTGTTTTCTTAACTAAGCTCTCTGATCCTTGTTTCATTATTCTGGTTCTGAAATACACCTAATTACCTCTAACTCCCATCGAGAAGTCATCAAAAGGATTCCAGATTTTCATTTATTTTCAAAACACTTTTATCAATGTAAGTGCCAAGAACAAGAGTCATTGTAAAGATCATCTGAGATAATATATGTTAAAATACTTTATATACTCTAAAGTAAAACATATATTAAGGTGCGGCAATTATTTTTGTATGAAGCCTCAATATCTTCCTCAGAATGAATTACGAATGTGATAGAATGAAGTGTCTGTTCTCTTACATTTTGTAGACAAGGTTTTACAGTGCCTAAATGAATTTAGACAATCCTCAACCTGCATAACTCTTGTTTTTCTATGAAAACAGGAATAAAGAATCTGAGATTACTGTGAAGACAATATTACATAATTATGTTAAAGTATCTACGACAATTGTTAACACATACAATGTGCTTAATTACGAGTTTCATTCCCCACCCTCCCTACAAAAAGCTCTCATTTGACAATGACTCCAATATTCCTTAAGAAATGTATCCTGTACATTATTATGCTCCAGTTTTTGAAAACTGATTCATTCAGAGATGTGTTGACTATTTCTGCCTTGACTGCCCAAGTATTAATAGGAGCCTTGAAGCCCAGGCAATGAAACTATGAGCAGCTCAGCAAATATTCTGTTATTATAGTTACACAGTAATGCATTATATTGATTCGAACTTTTACTATCCTGAATTATTAGCATAACTTTATTGTGTGACAAAACTCTACTAGACTGTATTAGCTTCTGATTTTCTCAGTTCTTAGCACAGTACATGACACAAAATTCTCAGTGAAAGTTTGTGAGATGAATGAATGAATGAAATATTTTTCTAATGGGAGTTATGAAAAATAATTCAGTGATTCAATGCATTCCTTTTAATGCAAGTATAAGAACAGGAAATTTTATTTTGGAGTTTACACATTCCAGTGTTGAGGTTTGGAAGATATAATTGTAATATTCTTCTTTACATGATTCTGTGGACACCTGAGAGATAGATATAGGGAACAGACAAATGGAGAACTTTAAATCTGCTAGGCAAGGAGTTTCCTAATACCAAATTAGAGTAAATCATGGACAGCACTCAACATTTTCAAGCCTCTTCTTATTCCTACAGAAGAGAAACTGTCCCACAAAGCTTAATTCATGATCAAGAAGCATCAGGAATACATGCTGCCTTAGGCAGATATAAAAAAAGAAAAAAAAGAAAAACAAAAAACAGGAGAATGAGTGGAGTGCATGAGTAGCTCCTTCCTAAAGCAGCCAAACTCTGAAATCAAATAACGTAACCTCATTGTTCACTGGCACTCATACCCCAGCAAGCCGCTGCATTCCTTTTTGGGGTAGGTTGGACTACATAATCCAGAATTATAACAAAATATGATTACTCATTTACTTTCCCATCTCTCTGACACCTTCAATCAGCAAAATCCCACGCCGGGTTAAAGTCTAATATCCTCCTCTTCTAGGCCTGCATTTGAGCAGAGAAACACGGAGGTAGAAAAATTGCACAGCTATACAGTTTAGATTCATGTCAAATCTGTGCCAAAAACTTTAAGTGAGCATTCAACACTGCCAAACCATCCCATTTTGAATTAAGACTGCTAATGTCTACTTTCATATGAAGAGTCATGCTCTTTGCTTTAGAATCCTAGCCGCGTTATACCTCTTGACTTGCTTTTCCTTGAGGAAAAGAAATGACTTCCCTGATTGGCAATTTTGGAATAAGAACTTGGGCCTGAACAGACAAGCAACTGCCACTTGTGAGGCTGATTATTCTCAGGAAACAAGATTTCCATCGGTTTCTTCACACTGTTATTTTATATAGGCAAGACTGACACTATGAAGAGAAAAAAACTGAAGTTTATGAAGTGGAGCAGGGATTAAAATTATTTTAAGTGTGATTTTCAATCCAGCACATTGGCAAGTAACCTTGTGAAATAGACAAACACACACACACACAAACTAGAATTGGGGAAAGAAAGTAACACTAGAGATTGAGGTTTTTGGTTGGATCTGACAATATGTTTTTTTGAGGGGGAATCAAAAGACAGCTATAGTACATTCAGATAATTTTGTCATTATTTCATCTTTTTTTTGGCGGGGGGAGGAAACAAGAGTCTCACTCTGTTGCCTAGGCTGGAGTGCAGTGGTGCAATCTCAGCTCACTGCAACCTCTGCCTCCCAGGTTCAAGCGATTCTCCTGCCTCAGCCTCCTGGATAGCTGGGACTACAGGCGCCTGCCACCACACCCAGCTAGTATTTGTATTTTTAGTAGAGACGGGTTTTCACTATGTTGGCCAGGATGGTCTCGATCTCCTGACCTTGTGATCCACCCGCCTCGGCTTCCGAAAGTGCTGGGGATTACATGCGTGAGCCATGGAACCTGGCCTATTATCACTTCTTTGTTTGCTTCTTTTTATTATTAAAGATGTTAGAGTACAAAACTATTGAATTTTGAGTAATGTAATTAATCAATACTCTACTCAAGATACAGAGCATGTTCATCATCTCACATCATTCCTTTGTGCCCCTTTATAGTCAATCCCAAATCTCTATAGGCAGCCATTTCCTCTATTATAAGAGTAGATTAGCTGTACTTAATGAACTTTATGTAAATGGACTTATACAGTATATAGTCTCTTGCATCTAGCTTGTTTCTTTTTGCCAGACAAAAAAAAAAGTTTGGAATTTATCTACTGTGTTATGCATATCAATATTTTATTCCTTTTAATGTTAAGAAATACACCATATTTTGAAAACACTACAATTTGTATATACATTTTTCTATTGGATTGTCCAACTTGGATTATTGTCAGTTTGGGGTTATTACGAAGAAAAATGATGTTAATATTCTTTAACAAGCATTTTTTGTGGGCAAATGTTTTTACTTCTCCAACAGGTGTTCAAGTTGTTTGCACGTCTTTAATTAGTTTATCTTTTCAATATCGATACATAGTGATTATTTTATATCCGTCGGGTAGAAATCTTTTGTCAAGTATATGTAAGATATATATATTACATATATTATATGTATAGTGTATATAGTGTTGCTCCTCCCTGAATGCTACTTGCCTCCTTATGTATTAATATGATTTCTTTCATGAGAAGACTTTATAAATCTTGATCCAGTATAAATTTTTCTTTTCTTCTGTCTCTAGTGATTTATCATTACTTCCAGAGAAATATTTGCATACCTCAAGTTTTTGGAGGTAGTCTCCTGTGATTTCTTCTAAAATTTGTATAGCTTTAACTTGTGTTTAGGTCTATAAACTATCTGAAAGTAATATTAGTATGTATCGTGAAGTATAGATTAGGTACAACTTGATCCATTTAGAGAGCCAGTTTGTGCATCATTTGCTAAAAACATTTACTCATCCACCTAATTGCTTTGGTTGAAAAATAATCGACCATACAAGTATTGATATATTATAAAACTGTCAATTCTGGTCCATTTATTTTTTTGTCTAGTCTTAACTATACTTTTTTTATTATCATAGTCTTAAAGTAAGTCTTAAAGTCAGGAAATGTAATTTCGCCAAATTGGTTATTTTACAAGATTATTATCCTTTGAATTTCTATAACAATTTGGGGGTCAGTTTATTATCACATACAATCATCCAGAGCTTAACAACTGGGATCCATTCTGAGAAATGCATTGTTAGGGTATTTTATTATTGTGTGAACATCATAGAGTGTGCTTGCACAAATCTAAATGGCATAGACTACTCCACACTTATTCTATACAGTGTACCTTAATGTTCCTAGGCTAGGAAACCTGTACAGCATGTTACTGTACTAAATGGTAACAGTGGTAAGTATTTATGAAATGGAAACTTTTCAGCTCCATTACAATTTTATGGGCCCACCATCATATATGCAGTTTGTCATTGGCCGAAACTTCCACATGTGACAGATGACTGTACAACAAAGAATGCTGGAATTTGGATTGGGGTTGTACTGAGTTTAAATATCAATTTGGAGATAAGTGAAATCTTAACAATATTTAGCCTTCCAATTCATGAATATGGTATATCTCTTCATTGATTTAGGTCTTCTTTTACTTCTCTTAGCAATATGTTAGTTTTCAGTGTAGAGGTCTTGCATGCCATTTGTTATATTTATTTCTAAGTTTTTAAGTCCATCTTGATGTTATTGTAAATGTGTATATTAATTTTATTATGCAATTGTTTGCAATTAGTATATAAAAATACACTAAGTTTTGCATATTAACTTTGAATATATTTTTAAATTTCTAATTAGTACCAGTACTATTTTTGTAGATTTATTAGAAGTTTATTTGAAAACAATTGTATCATCTGTGAATAAACACAGTTATAATTCACTTCTTTCAATCTTTATTCCTACTGGGTTATTTGTATCATCTCTTCTTTTTTGTAGGTCAATCTGGCAAATTTCTTAACCTTTAAAAAGAAGCAGATTCTGGCTTTTGAAATTTTTATCTACTTTTTGTTTGTTTTTTATTTCACTGCTCTTCTTTTAGTTATTTAATTCCTTTTCTATTTACTCTGGGATTAATTTGTTCTTCTTTCCCTTGTTTCTTAAGTGGAAAACTTAGGTCATTGCTTTAATCCTTTCTTTAATACAGAAATTTAAAAGTATAAATTTTTAAGAAAAGTTTTAACTGAATCTGCTAAATCTTAATGTGCTGTTTTTTCATTATTTTGTGAAAATATTGTCCTACTTTTTGCTCTGTTAAGCTATGGTTTATTTACAAATATATTACTTAATCTTCAAATATATGTGTATTTTCTAGATATTTTGTTGTTAACTTCTAATGTAATACATTGATAATTTTTTACATCAGAGTTTGTAAGATTTTAATCTTTGAACTAATTAGACTTATGGCCCCACAGATGGTTTATTGTGGTGAATTTATTATGATCACATGAAATTTACATATTTGACACTTGTTGTGGTAGTGTTGTAAAAATGTGAGATCAAGATGTTTGAAAGAGGTGTTCAAATTTTTGAAATCCTCAATGATTTCTTTCTAGTGGGCCTTCCTCTCATTCACAGACTCACATATTCAAATGCCTTAAATGTCTAAAATTTATCTTAGACTCAGCATATTCTGCCCAAATATACCTCCCTGGTCCTGCCATCAAGCCTCCATTATTTCAGTAATTTCCATTACCATCCATTCTTCTGCCCCTTGCTCAGGTCAAAACACTACGAGTACATATTTTACTTCTCTTTATACTACATACTTCATACAATCCATCCATAGATTCCATTTTGCCTCTAAACATATTAAATCTATTTGTTGCCATCTCTACTCATAAAACTGCTCTTGCATTATGGTATTTTTCACTAACTGTCCTCCCTGCCCTGACCCTCCCGTCACAGCCTCACATTCCAGAGGAGATGTGGAAGAGGAGCCAGAATGATCTTGTTAAATTCTCCATTGACTTGCTATTTCAACAGAGTAATATATAACTCCATAGTTTGGTCCACAAGACCCTGCATGATGTGGCCTCTGCATTTCTCCAACTCATCCCAAATCACTCATCCCTGCCTTCATTCATCTCCAGATACAGTGGCTTTTGCTGTTTCCCTAATATGTGAGGCTTGAGAGTTTGGAACTTGCTGTTTCTTATACTTGGACCAGGCTTCCCCTAGATTATCTGATTCTCTTATGGCTACCTCCTCCCCTCTAACAAAATATCAACACAAATGTCAGCCACTCAGCGATCTTCTTTGTCTTTCCAAATCCATGTACTCTTCAATGTCACTTCCTCATTATTACACTACTTTAACTAATTCAGAACCCCATTAGTTACCTGAAACTATTTTAGAATGTATTTGTTTATGTAATCACTACTTCTCCGTACTCCTAAAGCGTGATATTGTAAGGGTAGGATTTAAGTAAATAATGTTCAGTGCTCCTGCTATGTACCTTCTCTCTAGTACACTACCTGAAACATAATACAGATCCAATGGTTATTTATTGATTAATTGACTACATCTCTCTGAGTTTAGAAAGGACACCAGAGAATTTGGCTTAATTATCAATGATAAATATTCACTGACTGTCACTAAGTATGTGGCTTTCTCGTGGAAAGTCTTGAAAGGAGAAATTCCTGTAAGTCATTTAGTTCTTTAATAACTCCCACTTTTTCTGCTTACTCTAAATCTCTCCACTATATTTTAAATCAGTTCCTCCTGTCTCTGACCAGTATATTAAAAACAGCTGGCTGCCTTTTTTTATATCTTTTCTGTCATTCAAAAGTCTTCATAAGGCCAGTGCTCCTCTTTCTTTTTTCTAGGCTAAATAATTCTGCCATTTTTAACTCTTCTGGAAGCTCTGAATGCCTACGCCCCAAATCCTTTCTAGGTCTCTCTATTTGCAGCCTTGTCCAATACAACTTCCTGTAATAATAGAAATGTGCTGTATCTGTGCTGTCCAAAACAGTAACCACTAGCCATATATGGCTAAGTACTTAAAATATGAAGCACCAAGGGACCAAGTTTTCAAATTTTATTTAATTATAATTAATTGAAATGTAAATATCCACATGTGGTTAAAGGCTACTGAATTAGCATAGCTCTACTAGAAGCTGTGGAATATTCTGCATACACCTAGACAGAAGCATATTTTGTCTATGACCCATATTAAATATGAAATAGAATATTATTTTTAAAGTTTGTGGGGGAAAAAAACCATTCCAAAACAATATTTGAGGAAGAAATGAATTTAGGTTGTCTTAAACTTTTCACTACCAAATTGATGTTAGAGCATTAATTAGTCACAGAGCAATCTTATTTATGAAAGATGCTGACGTTAAAAATCCTGATATATCAATGGCAGATTAATTATAACAACATCTGTAATTGTCTTCATATATGGCATGTGTTATCTTTTTGATGAAAGGAAATATATATATACATATAACTATTTGATTTTCCTAACTTTTCAAGGCAAATGCCTTCAAACTAGATTTTTCTCTGATTTCATTGAACAATGCTATCTTTAAACTTCGTAATAATGATGACATCCCTTGATGCTATACATGTTTCCAGATTTCAAGGTGAGGCATGTGTATAAATTAGAGCCAGCTGGTGGCCTTTAAATTCAGCCTTTTGTTCCTGGACAATGGTTTTATCGTGATATTCAGTGTCTTACTGATGGAAGCAACAGTGTTCATTAAACAAGCAAGCAAAATCTGTGCCAAATTTCTGCATCAAACATATTTTCATGTTTCCAAATTCCTATATTCTATTTGACTTCAGATTTGGAGGAATAAAATGAGTGTTCACCTTTTGTTTTCTATGAAGGAGAACTGCCTTGATATAAGAAATAAATGTCTCCTTTTGCTAGCGTGTTTAATTGAGCTCTGCTTAATAGGCTCTAAAACTCACTTACCGTAATTTGGATATTAACTATAAAACCAATGTATTTTATATTAAAATTTGAACACTGCTGCTAGCCAAAAAGCATACCTACATGTTTCTATCATTTCTTCTAATTTTTCAATATTTCAGGTTTATTTAAGACAAAGATTAAAAGAAAAAACAAAAAAATCAGAGCAGGAAAAGCCTTCCAGATGTGTTCTGCCTTGTATATGCCCTAGACAGGAAAGCAGAACATTTAATGGGTGGAATGAAGGGAAAGGTGGAGCATCGTATTTTTAGCATTCCTGGAAAATACCATCCCCAAACCTCCTGTTTTTCTTTTCTCCTCTTTGGAGAATCTAGTAATTTCTGACTTAATTTGACAAAAGTGTAACTTGAACAAATTAGCAGTGAAGGAGATAAGTCTTCATTTGTGTCTTTTCTTCCTAGAGTTCTTAATTTTTTTTTTCCAGCATTGCCTTCTTTTACAGATCCTATTTTTTCTACAAATCTGATAGTTTCACACCTTCCCTGAAGTTTGACCAGGGTACTTTCTTTGGGAACTACCACAGAGAAAGCTCTTTAAATGTTTCACAATTTCTGAAACACTTTAACAAAGATTTATTCGGCTGAAATTTTGACTTTCCTGAATAAGTCAAACTAATTCATTTACCTCCAGAAAGTTGCAACTTCAACCAATTTTAGAACCAGAAATCTAAAGATAAATTTATTTATTATTTGGCAATTTTTAATCTACAATATTCAGTTTGCATATTATTAACACCAATTTTATCTTTAAATGCAGTGTAATGCTAGATCCTGTGGCATACTTACATTTTATTGAGCAGAAACAGTTATTAAATATTTTCATCTTAAAAGAATTGAAGGGATATAGACATTAGCTAGTAAAGTCCAGGGAAGTATTTACACGATCCCTCAGTTTTATCTGTCTCCCAAATTTTAGGGTGATTTTAAATCTTCGTTAGCCTTGCTAAAGATTTGTTGATTTTATTCATCTTTTTAGAAAGCCAACTTTCAGTTTTGTTGAAGCTGTATTGTATTTTTCTTTCTATTCATTAAGTTCTGTTCAAAATCTTACAGTGCAATTTCTTCTACTTTCTTAATGTTTATAATTTCTTTCTAACTTCTTAAGGTAAAATCTAACTTCCTTAATTTTCAGGCTATTTTTTTTTTATTCTCCTTTCCAATTTTCACATTTTGCAAGCACTACTCTTTTTAGTGGTGACATGAGATATTTGAACAGTCACACTTAATATAGTTTAATCTTTTGTTTTAACTTTTACCCACAAAAGAAAAAAAGACACTTAAATGTATATAATCTCCTGAACCATCTCCTGGTTTGCATATTGATGGCTTTCAATATTTTATTCCTTTTTTTCTCTTTTGTTCTTATTATGCTTTAAGTCCTGTGATACATGTGCAGAATGTGCAGGTTTGTTACCTAGGTATACATGCGCCATGGTGGTTTGCTGCACACATCCACCCGTCATTTACATTAGGTATTTCTCCTAATGCTATCCCTCCCTACAGGCTACATAACACCCCCCCGACAGGCCCCAGTGTGTGATGTTTCCCTCCCTGTGTCCATGTGTCCTCATTGTTCAACTCCCACTTATGTGTGAGAACATGTAGTGTTTGGTTTTCTGTTCCTGTGTTAGTTTGCTGAGAATGATGGTTTCCAGCTTCATTCATGTTCCTGCAAAGGAAAGGAACTCATCTTTTTTATGGCTGCATAGTATTCCAGGGTGTGCCACATTTTCTTTATCCCATTAAAAACTGGGTGAAAGATAGGAAGAGACACTTCTCAAAAGAAGACATTTATGCGGCCAACAAACATATGAAAAAAAGCTCATCATCACTGGTCAATATTTTATTCTTATCTTGATGCTTTCCTTATTTATCTCCAACAATTAGATATTATTGTTGCTCATGTTGTTATGTAGTCAGTGATATTTTATGTAGTCAGTGTTTGGACTTATCAAAATATTTGCTACTTTCTTTTCTCACTATTTCTTCTTGTATCTCAGGCCTTTATTATGGGAACATGTTCTTTATTCCCAAAATATGTAATTTAGAAGTTTCTTTTTCTGTGGTTCTGTTAGTACTAAACTCCTAGCTGTTTGTTTCTTTGTTTTGTTTTGAAAACATCATTATTTTGTCTTAATTCCTCTATGAAAAATTCACAGGCAATGCAATTCTAAGTTGTCTTTTGTTTTCTCTCAGCTCATTGATAGTATTTACCATTTTATTACTTCCCTTGTGATTTAAATACCTGCTGCTAATCTAAGTGTCATTCATTCTGGTCTTTCTTCACTGGTGATATTTAAGCTCATTTCTATATATTTCTATACGAGTGGTACTCTGCAACTTGATTAGAATGTGTCTAGAAGTATATATCTTTTGCATTTCTCATGCTTGTTATTCACTGATTTTCTTGAATTTGAGAATATTTGTCTGTTAAAATGCTGGATTATTCTCAGCCATCCCTTTGAATTTTGCATTTCTTCACTCCTTATCTTCTCTCTCGTATTAGTATTGCTGTGTTGCAATATAGGTAATTCTTTCAAGTACATCATCCGATGAACTAATTCTTATATCAGCTATATCTAATATACTATAGTAGATTGAGATCCCAAATCCAAAAATCTAAAATCTGGAGTGCTCCAAAATAAAAACTTTTTGAGCACCAACATGCTGCTCAAAGGAAATACTGAAGGATATTGAATTTCAGATTGTCAGATTTGGGATGCTTAACTAGTAACTATAATGAAAACATTCCCAAATCCAAAGAACTCTGAAATCCAAAACGCTTCTTATCACAAGCATTTCAGATAAGGGTTACTGAAGATGTATTTATACTTTCTTTTCATTATCTTATTTTAATTGTATTTTTTAAATTTTCATACACTATAAATATTTCTTTTTCAAGTGTTCATGGTAATTTTTGAAAGCCTCTCATTCACTTTTCATACTGTTTATATTCTCCTGAATTTAATCAAATATTTCAACTATATGTATTTTGTATCCTACATATCTTAATCCCAATATCCCAAACGTTGAAAGTCTAATTCCTTGTATTATTTCTGCTGCCTCCTAGTAATGATGAATATTTGTCTTCATATGGATTTATTATTTTGAGCTCATTATTTTACATCTTTGCCTGTGAAAATTATGTAAGGTCTGGTTTAGAGAACATTCTTTCAGAGATTTTTACTCTTGTAGCTCCTAATATCCAAACTCTTGAATGCATTCATTTATATCCACATCAACTCTGTGTTCAAATTCTATTGCTTTTGTCTTCAAAATATTTCCAAACTTCAAGCACTTCTCACTATCTTCACCATTACCTCCCTGGGTCAAGCTTTCATCACCACTCACCAGGATTATTGCAGTAGCCTTTTAAGTATCTTCCTATTTCAGCCCTTACTCCACTTCCATCTCTTCTTCATATTACTCTGTCAAAACTTCGTGAGAGCACTCCATTTCTCAAATTCTGCCTTTTTAATGAGGCCATCTGAGCAACTCAATGCTCAAAACTCTTTTATTACACAGTTTCTTGATCTTACCCTACTATTTTTTTTTTCCTTTATGGCATGTTTCATCATTTAACATATTACATATCTTATTTGTTTTGGTTACTGACTCTTTCCCCTCACTAGAAATGGAGCCATGGAGAAATTTTGATGTGTGTGTACATGTGTATGTTATAGATAAATATTTGGAAGTCTCTCCTGTGCTGCTATTTATTTATTTATTTAAGGCAGAGTCTTGCTGTGTCACCCAGGGTGGATTGCAGTGGCATGATATTGACTCACTGCAACCTCCGCCTCCCTGGCTTGAGATTGTTGTGCCTCAGCCTCCCAAATACCTGGGATTACAGGCATGCACCACCACGCCCAACTAATTTTTGTATTTTTACTAGAGACAGTGTTTCACCATGTTAGCCCGGCTGATCTCAAACTCCTGACCTCAAGTGATCCACCCACTTAGGCCCCCCCAAAGTGCTGGGTTTACAGGCGTGAGTCACCACACAGGCCTATTGTGTTATTATTTTAGATCTGTGCTAAAGAAAGTTTTTTCCAGTGATTTGTCTGTGCTTACTGTTGACAAATTTCCAAATATATTATTAGTCCAGGAAAACCTTAAATCAAATTTACTTATTGAACTTCTTGGATCACCTTCATTATGTGACTTTGTCCTGAAAATTACAAGTGGGCTCATTTGTTATCATAAAAACTTGGGGACATTTTTCCCTTTGTTCTATACCAAGGTAACTTTCCCCGTAACCCTCTCCATGTTGGGTTTCTGTAGTTTGACTTTGTGGTCACTTTGATGCTGAGGGTATCCAAGTCCAAGCTTTATTGAAGAAAATACTCACATTAGATTCCTCACTCTGATTACACAATGGGCTTGTCATGTGTTCCTTTATCCAAATATTCTTTTAAACTACAGCTCAAGTTTTCCAGATTTCTAAAAGACCTTGGGAAGAAGCAGCTTCTGTTCTCAGTTTAGTTTTCAGTGTATCCAGCTTTTGTTCATGTTCAGCCTGATAATTCTAGTTTACAGTTTTATTTAATTCTGTGAAGCACCAGGTGTTTGCAGTGAAAAAATTATTCAAATACATGGCCAGCCATGTGGCAGAACATAGAAATATTCTTTCACAATAATAAACACTTAAAAACACCTGACTTGAAAGCAGTCCTGACATTGGAGGCAACTGTGAATGGATGGTCTGTAATAACGTCCTGTTGTGCATTTGACAAAAACTGATATGCAAATAAAGCCTGTAGTCATTACCCTTTCATTCATCCAAAAATACTGAGTTTCTCTCATGCGTTGGGATACAGATGAAAATAAAATAGACAATTCCCTGGCATTTATAAGCTTACTCTGTAATTTGGCAAGCAGGCAATAAACAAGATACTTAATAAATATAATATCAGGTAGTGATAGCCAACATAAAGAAAGAACTGGCAAAGAAAAGCAGTGAAACAACTTAGAGAGATATGGAAGGTGGGAGATTTCTATTTGAAGTAGGTTGGTCAGGAAAGCTTAGTGTGAAACAGAAGACAGTAAATAAAATAGGTGAAGAACCAAGTCGAATGGCAAGGAGGGTAAGAATGCACATCATGAAGGGCCTCGTATGATGTAGTAAAGAGTTTGAAATTTATTCAAATACTGTATTTTTTTAAGTAGAGAAGCAATGAGATATGATTAGAATTTTGACAAACTACTATGGAATTTGTGTGGAGAATAATTTTTAGGAGGAAAGATATGGGAAGAAGGGTTGCTAGTGAGGGAGGAAGATGTTGCAGAAGACCCAGTGAGAGAGGATGGTGGCTTTCACCATCCTGCAGTAGAGATAGTAAGAAACAGTTGCTTCAGGAAACAAATTTTTTAAAGAGTCTTCATTTGTAAAGGAAAACAAAAAATAGTCATATCATTTTTGAAAAAATACTGCATTTGAAAAAAGAGACCATTTTTAATAATCAGAGAAAATATATTCTTATGAATTTTAGTCATAAGAATAAATTCATAAGAATGGACATGGAAATCATTCTGGAAATTCCATTCAAAAGAATAAATGGAAATCATTCTGGAAATTCCATTCATAAGAATAAATTCATAAGAATGGACATGGAAATCATTCTGGAACATGATTCAAGAGGATAGTGAATCTGAAGTAATGAAGAAGGCAGTCAAAACAAGTGTGGTGTAAAATCTGAAAAGACTGCATACAATTAAAAACAATTTATTTGAATTCAAACTTTCAGTAAGAGAAGAAAAATCAGAAAAGCAACTTTGTGTGAAAGAGAGGCTTGATAAATTTCCCCAAACTTACAGGGAAAGTTATGAAAATTAAAATGAGAAAAAATATAAGCACTATGAAAACAAATTCAGGAATAAAATATACTTGTTACATAAATTTTAGAATTAGAGAAGAAATATAACAGATGCCACAAGTAATTTAAAGCACAGATAAAAACAATGGAATGAGTAGACATTGACTTGCACAAATGTAAGTAGATTTCTACATACAGTTAAGAAAAAATAGGCACCTTCAAAGAAATTAAATTTTAAATGGCCTCAGATTTCTTTTTCCACAAGAATAAATACCAAAGAGCAACAAATGAAACATCTTCAGGTATTTGGGAATGTCTTTATCCATTTTGTAGTCAGAAAACATTTTAAAAGGGAATGTGAGATGACAGAGAAGGCTAACAGCTAGCAGGATTAAACAACATGGAGGCATAACAAAGGTGTAGCAATACAAAACAAATTGCTCTAATAATTTACTATGAAGATAATAAGGACTAAATTATATAAGCAGTAGATATGGGAAGGAGAAAACAGATTTGAGAATCACTGTACATCATGAAGTACTGTCATACGGCATAATGGTTTTCGCATAAATTGTGAATTGCGAGTCACCAAACTCAGCCTCAACATACTCGTATGTTAAATGGGACAAGCAAACTCATAGGATTATGATAAAGTAATGCTGTGATTTATCTACATATCTATCTCCTCTTCTTTTAAGGAAATCAAATATGAAAGGAAGCACTGTTAATTTTCAAGCCATATTCCAATATGTGGTAGTATTTTTGTCTTGCATGTATTGCTGAGGCTAAATCTCAAACATTTGGCAACTTCTTTTATTTGGAAAGTGAAGTAAAGGAAAGTACAAAATTATTCCAAGATTCCAGATCTAGATTACTAGAACAATGAATCAAAATGTCTCTGAAAGATGGAGCTTCTCAAGTATTCTCCAAATAGAATTTGCTTTCTCTTAAATTCAGGTCTACTTCAAGGCATTACTAGTAGAAATTTGGATACATAAAAGAGATGCTGTATCCAAGGAGAAAAATAATTAAACTTTGGATATATTAAAAGATAAAGTGCTTTGTGATAGAACATTTATCAGTGACAGAAATACTGATGTCAAGCAAGCACCTACAAATTTAAATGAGGAGCTTGAGAGAGGTTGAATTCATTGTTGCATTGCCATAGAATTATTATCTTTAATTTTTTTTTTTTTTTTGCTGTTTGTACATTTTGCTTTAGGAAGACATTGCAAAGTGGGAGTAGAAAATCAAGAACTAATATTTAGATCTAGTATCAAGTGGGTTAGTAAAATATTATCAAGGAAAAGACAATGAAGCAGAGAGACTAGAGTACAACCAAAATATTATAGTAGATAGAGTGAGGCAGCAGAGTTGCAAGTGGATGCTCAACAAAGGCAAAATTAGGAGAAAGTTAAGGAGAAAGAGAATTTTTAAAATAAATTTAAAAACTTCACACCTTTCTAATTTTAGAAGAAAGAATCCATTGGCAACCTTCAAGGAAACAATGTAATTAGAGTGGTTATGATAGAAGCGAGCTGGCAGAAGGTTAAGGCAGTAAGGGGAGTGAAGATGAAGCAAAGCTATAAGTGGAGAAATCTGGAAGGGGTGCACTAGGGAGGGGCAGTATAAGGAGAGAATAATAAAATTTGAGTGATGATCAAGGTCAAATGAGCAACTTTTGACTTTTCTATTGTTAACATAGTAGAGGCAATTGTGGACTTAAAAGACTTAAAAAGGGAGAATTAGTATGCCAGTCTTGAGATGATGGATGTAAGAGATCACTTTCTTGATAGATCTTAGTTATTTCTTTACTTTCCATTCTCTCTCAATTTATTGTGACTTCCCAGAAGGCAGATGTGAATACCTTTTCAGGTTTGTGTTTTCAGGGCCTATGAAAGTACCTGGCATTTAGTGGGAATACCAAAAACATCTGCTGAAGTGAATTAAATTTAACTGTGAGGGTTCATGCTCAGGAAGTTGGTTTTATGTTAAGAAATATACAAGAAAAATTAGATAATGGGGTGGGAAAGTGTATTAGTCCATTTTCACACTGTTATAAAAAACTGCCTGAGACTGGGTAATTTATGAAGAAAATAGATTTAATTGACTCACAGTTCCACATGACTAGGGAGGCCTTAGGAAACTGATAATCTTGATGGAAGGCAAAGGGGAACTAATACCTTCTTCACAAGGTGGCAGGAGAGAGAAAGAAGACAAAGGGGAGAAGTTTCACTTTTAAACCTTGATCTTGTGAGAACTCACTCATTATCACTAGAACAGCATGGGGCAAACTGCCCCCATGATCCCACCAGGTCCTTCCCATGAGGTCCTTCCCTTGACATACGGGGATTACAATTTGAGATGAGATTTGAGTGGGGACACAGAGCCAAACCATATCATTCTGCCCCTGGCCTCTCCCAAATATCATGTTCTTCTCACACTGCATAATACAATTATCCTTTATCAACAGTCCCCCAAAGTCTTAACTCATTCCAGCATTAACCCAAAAGTTCAAGTCCAAAGTCTTATCTAAGACAAGGGAAGTCCCTTCCACCCAGGATCCTGTAAAATCAAGACCAAGTTAGTTACTTCCAAGATACAATGAGGCTACAGGCAATGGGTAAATATTCCTGTTCCAAATGGGAGAAATTGGCAAAAACAAAGGGACCATAGGTCCCATGCAAGTCCAAAACCTGGCAGGGCATTCATCAAATCTTAAAGCCCCAAAATAATCCCTTTTGATTCCATGCCTTACCTCCAGGGCATGCTGATGCAAGGGGTGGGCCCTCAAGGCCTTGGGCAGCTCTGCCCCTGCGGCTCTGCAAGGTACAGCTCCCACAGCTGCTTTCATGGGCTAGTGTTAAGTGCCTGTGGTTTTCTAGATGCATGGTGCAAGCTCTTGGTGGATCTAGCATTCTGGGGACTGAAGGACAATGGCACTCTTTTCACAGGTTCACCAGGCAGTGCCCCAGTTGTGACTCTGTGTGTGGGCTCCAACCCCACATTTCCTCTTTGTATTGCCCCAGTTACGGTTCTCTATGACGGCTACACCCCTGCAGACTTCTGCTTGGGCATCCAGGCATTTCCATACGTCCTCTGAAATCTAGGTGGAAACTCACAAAGCTCAGCTCTTGTCTTCTGCACACGTGCAGGCCCAACACCACATGGAAGCTGCCAAGGCTTGGGAGTTGCACACTCTACAGCAATGCCCTGAGCTGTACATTGACCCCTTTTAGCCACAACTGCAGCTGGAGTGGCTGGGACACAAAGAACTAGGTCCTGAGGCTGTACAGAGCAGCAGGGCCCTGGGCCCAGCCCACGAAACTATTTTTCCCTCCTAGGCCTCTGGGTCTGTGATGCAAGGGGCTGCCTTGTAAATCTCTGACATGCTCTAGCAACATTTTTCTCATTGTCTTGGCTATTAACATTCAGTTCTTCATTTCTTTTGCTAATTTCTGCAGCCAGCTTTAATGTCTCCCCAGAAAATGGGTTTTCTTTTCAACCACATGGTCGAGTTGCAAATTTTCCAAACTTTAATGCTCCGCTTCCCTTTTAAACATAAGTTCTAATTTTGAATCATCTCTTGGTGAATGCTCATGATGGAACACTTTCAGAATCAGCCAGGTCACATCTTGAATGTTTTGCTGCTTAGAAATTTCTACCACCAGATATCATAAATCATCTTCCTCAAGTTCAGTGTTCTACAGATCTCTAAGGCTGGGGCAAATTGCCACCAGTCCTTTTACTAAACATAACAGGAGTAACCTTTGATCCAGTTCCCAATAAGTTCCTCATCTTCATGTGAGACCACTTTAGCCTGGATATCATTTTCCATATCACTATCAGCATGTTGGTCAAAACCATCCAACAGGTCTCTAGGATGTTCCAAACTTTCCCATGTCTTCTTTTCTTCTGAGCCCTCCAAACTGTTCCAATCTCTGCTAGTTACCCAGTTTCAAAGTCACCTCCACATTTTTGGGTTATCTTTATAACAGTGCCCCACTATCTTGGTAACAATTCTCTGTATTAGTCCATTTTCATATAGCTATAAAGATACTACCTGAGACTGGTAATCTATAAAGTAAAAAGGTTTAATTGACTCATAGCTCTACATGGCTAGGGAGGCCTCAGGAAACTTACAATCATGGTGGAAGGTAAAGGAGAAGCAAGTACGTTCTTCACAGGGTGGCAGGAGAGAGAGCGAGCAAAGCAGGGAAGTGCCATTTTTAAATCATCAGCTCTCATGATAATCCACTCACTGTCATGAGAACAGCATGGGGGAAACTGCCTCCATGATCCAATCACATCCCACCAGGTCCTTCCCTTGACAGGTGAGGATTACAATTTGAGATGAGATTTGGGTGAGGATGCAGAGTCAAACAATATCAGAAGGGGTCAAAAAAAAAAAAAAGGCAGGAGTCAGAGCTGACATAGTCCTGAGATGTTGAGCCAAGTGTTTACAGATCAGCATGTAGTTGTGCTATAAGTGTCAGAATTTAAGGTTAAAGATGAAGTAAAGACCAATGTTCAAATCAAGAATCTGGACAATAGGCAGGAAGAGTCAAAAAATCAGTAGATTATTCTAGCATTCTCCATCCAGTAAGTCTTTACACCCTTCTTCTGCACTAGGGCCAATCCCTATGCAGGAACAGACACAACTTAAAATAAGAATAAGAAGATGATGTAGTTCTCAGGAAACTGAATTCAAGGAGAGAAAGAAAGACCAAAACAAAATAATGTAAATTAGAAAAAAAATTTAGGAAGGTGATATAGTTTGGCTGTGTCCCCACACACATCTCATCTTGAATTTTAGCTCTGTTAATCCTCATGTGTTGTGGGAGAAACCCAGTGGGAGGTAATTGAATCATGGGACTGGGTTTTTCCCATGCTGTTCTTGTGATAGTAAATAAGTCTCATGAATCTGAAGGTTTTAAGAAGGGCAGTTCCGCTGCACACTCTCTTGCCTGCCAACATGTAAGATGTGCCTTTGCGGCCGGGCGCGGTGGCTCACGCCTGTAATCCCAGCACTTTGGGAGGCCGAGGCGGGTGGATCATGAGGTCAGGAGATCGAGACCATCCTGGCTAACAAGGTGAAACCCCGTCTCTACTAAAAATACAAAAAATTAGCCGGGCGCGGTGGCGGTCGCCTGTAGTCCCAGCTACTCTGGAGGCTGAGGTAGGAGAATGGCGTGAACCCGGGAAGCGGAGCTTGCAGTGAGCCGAGATTGCGCCACTGCAGTCCGCAGTCCGGCCTGGGCGACAGAGCGAGACTCCGTCTCAAAAAAAAAAAAAAAAAAGATGTGCCTTTGCTCCTCCTTCACCTTCCACCATGATTGTGAGGCCTCCCCAGCCATGTGGAACTGTGAGTTCATTAAATCTCTTTTCCTTTATAAATTACCCAGTCTCGGGCATTTCTTCATAGCAGTATGAAAATGGCCTAATACAGAAATTGAATTATGTATGGTAGTCAGATCCAAAAAAATCAGTAAGAAATAGAAAACAAATATAAATGAATCACCAGAGGGAAGTTTCTTCTCCCTAAAGCTATAGAAAAAAGATGAGAGGTTGGATCCAGAAATAAAGTTGTCTAGTTGAAAATGAGGAAAAAGTCTCATTTCATGTCAGTGTACCTAAATCTTCTTGAGGATGTGACATGTTGGGTCGACAGGTCAAAGGAGAATGACAAATTGAAGATGTCAAAGAAGAGTTGTTCTTGAGGGAGATTCATAATCTAAACAGTAAATACACACACACACACACACACACACACACACACACACACACACAGCTCCTGAGAACATGTGCCCAAGGTGGTGATGGCGCAGGAGGCAGGAAAATGCCTAGGCAGATAGGGGTGAAACCCCACCCCAAGCCAAAGACAGTTTAAAGCCTGAAAGCCAAGCTACAAGTCAAATCCATGGACAGGGTTGAGAACCCGTCTCCCTGTTTGGCGCACTTTCCTCTAATTGATCCCTACCCTTGACAGATTTGACATATACCTACCTTTTCCTAATGGGTTTTATATACTGTTGTACCCCCCTTTGAGTGATGTCTTCTCATTAACCTTTCTGCATACTCACAAACCCATCAGCATGCACTTCCCATTCTGAGTCCATAAAATGCCACAGACCCAGCCACAGGGAGAGAGAACCCACCCAACAGCAGGAATGTGGAACCACCGTATGGTATCCCCTCTCCACTGAGAGCTGCTCCATTACTCAAAAAATTCTTCTCTGCCCATCCTCACACTTCAATTTTCAGTGTATCCTCATTCTTTAACTATTAATCTCTTTAACTATATGGACCAGTGGGTTTTATGTTTCACTAAGTATCCATTACACAATGTGAGATAAACAAAAATGTAGTATCGTTTTTTTGCTGTTACTTTGTAAGTGTTTTTTCACTAGAATAACTGACTGCCTTGTCATGAGCTTCCTTTCCTGTATCACAAAAATTATCTACTGCATAAAAACTTCTAAGGTTTATGTCAAAATGTAATTTAAAATCATATTTTTTCTACTTACTTTATTTGAAATCAAATTGTTTATTTTTCCTTTGCTTTTCTACTATCAAAAATACTTTCTCTACTATTATTTTAATGGTTCATTTCTACATTGACTTGCCTTGTTTTTTCCAACTTCATTTTAGTAATTTACTGAACTTTCATGGAACAAAATGTGAGTTATATTCTCTAGGCCTAAGAACATATACCATTAATGCCTAAATGTGCTACACAATCAAGTTCTTAAGAGAGTTGAATTCAAGACATTAAAAGCACAGTATCTGCCTCATACCAATGTTTTATGAATCTCTAGGGCTAGTTAGAGTAACCACTGATCAAGAAAGTTCAACAAATGCAAAACAACATAAAATATAAATTAATATTTTAAAAATCTAGGTACATTACCAAACTATTTAAAACCAAGGATAAAAAGAAAATATTTAATCATCAAGGAAAATAATACATTATATAAAGAACAGCAACAATACATATGAGAACTGATTTCTCATTTGAAAAATTGAATGCCAAATATGATGAAATAATGTTTAAAATTATAAAAGAAAAACTGTATACATAAAAGCTAATCAAATCTCTTTCCTTTACATGCCACAAAAGAAATGCAAAAAGAAGTTCTTCAAACTGAAAGAAAATGTACCAGATAGAAATTAAAATATATAGACAAAAATCGAGAGAACTGGTAATGGTATAAAAGGTATCCATGAACATAAATAAAAGTAAATGTTTTTCTCTCTATTAAGAAACATTTAAAGGTCAACTCACAACTTAAGTAAAAATATTAACAATGCATTTTGTGGTTTAGTATATGTTAATAAAATATGTGTTAACAACATATATATGATAAAGAATGAGGATAAATGGGTGAATAAAATAAAACTCTTGCAGGGTTGTTACATTTGAAGTCCTTTAAAAAAAAATTAAAGGTAGATTCTGATAAGTTAGGGCTGTACTTTTAATATTCAGAACAAGCATGATACAAGGTATAGCTAAAAGTCAACAGAGGATTTGGAATGGAATACTAACATTGATTTCATTTACCAAAAAGAAGACAGGAAACAAGAAACAAAGAAGCCAGGAACATTAGGAGCAAATGGAAAACAAATAGAGCAAGATAGTAGACTTAAAGTAACACCACTAACAAATAGATTAAATGTAACCACACAAAAGGATCCATTAAAAAAGCAGAGATTGTTGGAACTTAACTACATACTGTTTATAAGAAATATACTTTAAATTTACGGACACCAAGAAGTAGAAAGAAACACGGGAAATTGATACATCTGGAAAACAAAAAGCATAAGGAAGACTGTGTGGCTATGTTAATATGAAAGTTGACTTCAAAAAGTTATCATGAACAGTAAAAATAAGAACATTTAATAATGTTCATCAAGAAGAAATAACAATCCTAAGTAACTCTTATAAAAAGGCTTCAAAATACATAAAGCAGAAATGGTTATAACTAAAGGGAAAAGAATAGATGAATCCACAATTTTGTTGGAAATTTAAATATCTCTTTCTCATTAATTAGTAACACAAATAGGAGAAGAAAAATCAGTAAGAATATAGATGATTGACATTTATAGACTATTATAACCATATTGCAGAATACACATTGTTATTGAGTGCAAAGGAAGCATTTGCCAAGTTACACAGTAGTCCCACCTTATCCACAATTGTAATTTCTGTGGTTTCAGTTACTTGTGGTCAACCATGGCTTACATAGGGTTCCAGACCTCATAAACCAGTCTAGTGGGAGAGACAGATATTGATAGCATAATAAGTCCTATATACATTGAATAATAAAAGAGAATACTATCAAAACTTTTTTTTACTGTTCTTATTTTAACCCAACAAAAATTTTCCTCTTTGATTTTATAAAAAGCTGATAAAAATAATATGTATTCTTGACTACAGGGTTAATCTTATATACAGCATATATAATATGCAATAATGAAATCAATTTATATATATAAAAGCCAAGATAAAGTTAAAATAATTGTGTATAATGACATATGTAATAGCCTAATTAACTTATATATATATTTGTAATATGCAGGATGGTAATTTTTACATAAAGGTATATGTGTACTATATATGTGATTTAATAGATAAAAAATTTATATATATGTGATTTATGTATTTATATGTAGACATATATAATATTACTTTAGCCTAAACTGTGAGATTTATGAGCATGATTAGCTTTATCTGTGTATAAACACTTCCGGTATAAACATCTATTTCTACCTTTTCCCCAAATTGAAATATTTAATACCCAAAGTGCAACAATTGTCTGAATCTTAATCAGATTATTCTATCCAGGATCTTAAGGCATTGCTTCCTGTTTCTTTTGTCACTATGACCCAATTGAATTGCTACTTTTATTGTCATTTATTGTAGAACCACCTGTTCAAGCATATGTTGCTGACATTCAGAACGTGCCCATTTTCACACATTTTCACCCATTGTCAACACCAAGGTGTCAACCACGTGTGCAGACGTGTAAATAAATGTAAATGTTTGGCATAACAAGCCTGCCTGGAAGCACCCAAACCCCCCTTATATATTTTGCAGCTACCTCTTTTATACTATGACCTAATACATTTCTGCCTTTTTTTCCCTTTAATTCTTTTAAAACATGGGCACATTAATGGTGCTATTCTTTCTTACTTGCTGACTTTATTGTATTTCTTATGTCATCTTCTTTTCAGTTATTCATAATGTTGACTTTTGCAGATATTTGTGATCTTGGGAAGTCACTTCACCTCTCTGAGTCCCAGATTCCTCAGCCTGTAATATGAAGATGAAGATATTTACTCTGGAGGGATTATTAAGAATTCAATGCAATAATGTGTGTAACGAACTTAGCACAGTGGTCAACATCAAGGTCCATGGTAATCACTAATCTGGTTTCATATTTCAAAGAGTAGCTTCTTCAAGTCTTCCAAATTGTGTCCCTCCTTTCTTTGCCACTCCAGGTAACTGCTTATGGCATTTCAACTGTTCTTCATTATATATTATTTTAATCATCTGACAAGTTTTGTCCTTTACCTTTGAAGTCTTCAGCATTTCTTTCTGGGAAGGTGTCCTGAATAAATATTGATGCAACAAAAATACCATTCTGACCCTGATTATTTTCTTCTTGGGTATAAATTAGTGTTTCTTTAATTTGTTTACTTTGCACCTGGACCGATTACCTTGTTTTGCTATAGTAAGGGCTAAATAAGGTAAGGACCAGAAGTTCATTCCCTGTTTAGGTCAGTCAGGGTTACACTGAAGACATATTTCTTTCATGCTTACAGATGTACCCCTAATCCTGACCATCTGCTTAGCAAATGAGCAGAAGGGCACAGTAGGTAACAGTGGACTGTAGTATAAAACACAATCCCAGAGCTAAGCGCTGTATCCCACTAATCACAACATCATCATATTTAAAGACGAGAGCACAGCTGAGCAGATGTCTTGGGTGTGATCCAGGAACAATGCCAATGGGAGCGAGTAGAATGAGAAAAATGAAAGCTTTAGATGAAATGGCATCCAACCGGGATCCTGAACATGCTGATTTAGATGTTCCTTTTATTCTAAATTATTTTAAAGAACTAAAAAACTAAGCAAATTTTAGCTTTAATGACTTTTCAGTTGATCCTCTGTAAGAGGTTCAAGTGAATATCTATTTGATATTTTTATACTCAAAATGAAAAACCAATTTCATATATATTTGGCAACAGTTAAGTTTCCCATTAAAATAAGGATGGTGTGCTCTTGGTTTCTATTTGTCATGATTGTTCTATCTTGGTATTTTTTTCTTTAACCTGAAGATCTTAAATAAAATTTTCATTCAATTAAATAATTTGAATTATAGCCATGAAAGGGATAGTATTTGGCAAACAGCTTAAGAGACGTCCTGCCTCTCATCACCTTCTGGATTTTAATTAGGCAAATATATATTAGGTTCTGTGTCAGAGCACTCTGCCCAAAAGATAAAGCTGCACCATTAAAATCAAAAGGAACAAACGTCAGAACACTGAGACACTGGGGTTTCTAATAAGAAAAACTTCATTAAGGGAATGGTGCTTTTTACCTCATTCTATTTTTATTCCCTGTCACAGGAAATGATGAGAATCTCAGTTTTTTCAAAGACAGAAAACAAAGGTGTTCACAAATGAATGGCATTTATGTATATGACACTTTATCTTCAGTGGACAGTTTGATCAAGTTACCAGCTTATGGTCTTTGAAATACTAATGAGATTTTTCCATACAGAGGCAAGCAGTCTTTTTATTTTTTCCCTATGAACAACAAAAAAAGTTTCATTTATCAAAGTATTTGCCCCATGTGCTTACCTTTTTGAGTTTGTTTTGGTTTTCATTACAAATATGGCATATACCACTTTTAGCATTCAACAATTAAATCAATGGTTGGGAACCTTTTGGGAAGGACATGCCAAGTCTTCCTTTATCCTCTCTGATGTAAGAGTTTGTGAGCCATCAGTGTAGCTTATGATTAGGATGTCTATTTATAAAATGTAAATATTTCATATAAGCAGATATGATTTAATATGTTTATGAAGGTTTTTTTAATTAAATGGGAATACAGACAGTGCATATGATCCTTGACTTTGCTTTTCTTTGTAAAAATTTCAGGAGAAAAATCACCTCTTGTGGGGGTCCTGATAAGTCATATTTTTTACTCTGTTATTCCTGGGGCAGCTGTTGGGAACAGAAGATTTTAAGAGGGAGCATCGTTCTGGTTTGCTGGAAGCAGGGACTGTTTTATTTCATTTTTGCAACCTGTGTACTAGGTATATAAGGGATATTCGATGATGGCTGTTTAAATAAATACAACTAGCTTGGAAATATATTTTCCAGATATGGTTGTATTAAGGTATAGTTGCACTGAATTATAGTTTTCTCCCAATTTGCTGTGTATCTTTGCAACCCCTCTTCCATAGAAATATAACTGAAGCCAACTATCATGTCTACATTTCACAAAACAGCCTTAATCCAACCCAATATCTGATAAACTGCCAAAGCCCATGGATATGTCTCTAATTAGAAACACAGAGGCCGGGTGAGTTGACTTACGCCTGTAATCCCAGAACTTTGGGAGGCCAAGGCAGGCGGATCACCTGACGTCAGGAGTTCCAGACCAGCCTGACCAACATGGTAAAACCCCATCTCTACTAAAAATACAAAAATTAGCCAGGCATGGTGGCAAGCCTTATAATCCCAGCTACTTGGGAGGCTGAGGCATGAGAATTGCTTGAACCCAGGAGGTGGAGGTTGCAGTGGGCCCAGATTGAGCCACTATACTCCAGCCTGGGAGATAGAGTGAGACTCTGTCTCAAAAAAAAAAAAAAAAGGAAGAAAGTAATACAGAATATTAACCTTCTAGGCACTCACCCTGAAAATATACCATAACTCTCAAATGTCTAGTACTTAGAAAATTCCAAACATATAATAAGTACTCAATAAAGATGACTTAAAAGAGACATATCTATTCTTTGAGATATACTAAATTTTATTTATTCATCGAAACTGATAAGTAAAAAAAGTTTTCATGGCTTCAGTCCCAATGGCAGGAAAACTGCAACCCTTAAAAATCTTGAGTATTATTGTTTCCGCTACACATTCCTATTGATTTTATTTTATCTTGTTTTTTATTCTTTTCATATTCATATTACTTCAAAAACAATTGTAAGAAGATTATTTTATACTTTGTATATTGTATATACATTTTGTAACATACCTCATATCCTATGGGGGATAAAGATGCCATAAATATGTCTGTAGAATTTATTTTTTTTTGCTACTCTTCTACATAGTACAGTGCCTAGCCCATAAGTGTTCAATAAATGATTTGTAATAGAACTGAACTAAGTGAGCAACTACCATGGATGATGGAAATGCTCATTTGGAGGCTACAATAAATAAATGAGGGTCAGAGTTTGGAAACACTTGCATTAGGTATGATCCAATAGTGAAAACAGACAGGTAGGAGTAACTTCATTAGTTGTACCATCTCATTTTGAACTGATATGAGGGAAATAATATATGAAGTTAGCCATATCTTGCTTCAGAAGCAAAGGAAAGTTTTAATTTAAAAGTCCACTTTTGTTTAGGAGACAAAAGTAAGTTAATTAATTCATGAATTCTAGAGGAACAAATTAAGCATTTGAACAAGTTAAGCATCTGTGATATTATAAAATATTCTGGCGAAATTTTTGTTTGGCTGTGAGCTTTTGTATACTGAAATATGATGTGTATTTTATATATAACAGTTTAATTTTGTGTCATAAATTCTAATTATATCAGGCATGACCCATTAATAAAAACAAAATTTTAAAAGGGGGAATCTTTCAGCTTTGAAACCATCTCACAGGATCTATAGCTATGTCAAGGAAGGTTCCAAGTCAATACTGTATAAGATTTTCTTGTGTAATTCTTTATATGTTCCAATTTTCTATTGATAATTTCAGGAAAAAAGTCTTTAAACTAAAAATATATAGCCTTTCTACAATATAACTATGTCTAGAATATAAACCAGATAAATTCTTAATTATTTCCAAATATTTATAAATAAATTGATATATGTGGTCATCCTACTTAATTTAAGGTTAATATTTTGAGGCACAGTCAAAGAAGGTAGGAAAGTCTTAGTTTGTCAGAATCCCAGGATTCACTTGATAAACATCAGAACTATTTCACTTAGTGGTACAAAGCCATTATAAAGGCAAAATAAATAGTCCACTTGAGACTCTTTCAACTTTTACAAAGTAATTAAGTAGTTTCTAAAGCTTTATTTTATCTCCCAGTCTCTTAGCAGGAACAGAATTAGGATTAGTGCCCATCATCTTCTTCCTATGGAGAATGATTGTTCAAATGGTTAGAGTGTGATGCTACTGAGGACCCTATCACTGGTTTGAGTATTCCTTGAGTTAGCTGGATTTGCTCCAAAATAACTAGTCACAGTTGGTCCCCATCTAGAAACATAGATTCCTGTCGTAAAAGCCTTAGAATCATATAACAAAACTTAAAATAATATTACTTTATGCTGTAATAAACAATTGCCATCAAATGATTCACTTCATCACATAAAATTTTTATGTATTTTGCAGATGACATTAAGGCTTGCAGGTTAAGTAAACTGACAGATGTTACAAGCTAGTGTCACAACCAGGATTTCCACCAAGTCTGTAAAATCCAAAGGCTATGAAATTAAGCTTTATGCCAGTGTTTCTCCTACTTAAAAGTTTGCAGATACATTCTCAGGGGTTTGAGAATTCTATTTAAGTAAACAATGCATGGCTGGCGTTAGTTCAGCATTTTCTCATGAAAGAAGCAATAATTGGCCCATATCTAACATTGTATTAAAGAATTATTTTGCCTCCATTTTTTTAGTATTCATTGATCAGAATGTCCAGTCACTCTGATAGGCACTGGGGACAGACCAGAAATTAAGCACACAAAAATACTTGTCTCATGCAGTATGCATTTCAGTGATGTAAGACAGACAATAAACTATAAATAAATAAAAATGCATATAATATAGTGATGTTATTAGAAAATAAAACAGGGCATTGGGGAAACAAAGAGATCCAAGGGGTTATGGGGTTACATTTTAAAATAGAGTTGTTAATAAAGACCTCATTAAGGGGGTGATATGTAATCCAAAAACTGAGTGGGATAATCTAGTGGAGCACGTCTTGAGGTTATCTGGAAATCCAGATTAGGGGCAGTCCTAGTAGAGAGCGTGAGGCTTCAAGTTGTTGGCTGAAATAGAGGATTAGCAAATAATTTATTGTACAGGTGCAAAATGAGCAAGGTTAAAGTAGTAGGAGAGAGAAGGAATGCGGATAGTTTAAGAAGGAATGGGAGCACTTGGAAGGTTTTGAGTAGAGCATTAAAATCATGTGGGATATTTGGAAAAAATTACTCTGACTGCACTTTCAAAAAAAGAGAGTAAATGTACAAAATAAGAAGCAGTGAGTCAGTCAGGATGCTATAGCAAATGTCCAAGAAAGAGAGGTTTGGCGGCTTGTTGCCATCACATGGGAGGTGTTGGTGACTTAGAAGAGAATGAGAATGATGAGATGGTGGCTAGAATCTGGATATATTTTAAGGGTAGAGCAAAGAGGATTTTTGGTAGTGAGCGGTGAAGCCAGCTGGGCTTCTGGGTCAGGTGGGGACTTGGAGAACTTTTCTGTCTAGCTAAAGGATTGTAAATGCACCATTCGCACTCTGTAAAAATGCACCAATCAGCGCTCTGTGTCTAGCTAAAGGATTGTGAATGCACCAATCAGTGCTCTGTAAAATGGACCAATCAGTGCTCTGTAAAAAGGACCAATCAGCACTCTGTAAAATGGACCAATCAGCAGAATGTGGTTGGGGCCAAATAAGGGAATAAAAGCTGCCCACCAAGCCAGCAGCGGCAACGTGCTCAGGTCTGCTTCCACCCTGTGGAAGCTTTGTTCTTTCCCTCTTCACAATAAATGTTGCTGCTCATTCTTTGGGTCTGCACTAACTTTATGAGCTGTAACACTCACTGTGAAGGTCTGTGGCTTCACTCCTGAAGTAAGCAAGACCACAAACCCACCGAAAGGAAGAAACTCTGGACACATCTGAACATCTGAAGGAACAAACTCTGGCCACACCATCTTTAAGAACTGTAACACTCACTGCGAGGGTCCATGGCTTCATTCTTGAAGTCAGTGAGACCAAGAACCCACCAGAAGAAACCAATTCCAGACACAGTAGGAGGGTGTGTATTGAATGCATGGCTAAAGATGTCTCCAAGTTTTAACGCCTAAGAACTTAAGAGTAAGTTACAATTTATGAGATGAGGAAATCTTTGTGAAAATAGAGTTTGGGAAAGGAAGAAAGAAATTTACAGATTTAAAGATGTTTTTGTTTGTCATTGATATGTTAAGTTTGGAATGCCTATTAGTCATCCAAGTGGAATTATTAGTGAAGTTCAATATACGAGCCTGAAAGAGATGTGGGCTGGAGATGTAACTTTGGAAGCTAATAGCATAAATATGGATATATGGGCATGAATATGCAAGAAAGAGAATGATACACTGAATAATGAGTATAGATAGGAATGAGTTAGGAGCACTTAGCCATACACCTCTAATTTTAGAGGTCAGGGAAATTAGAAGAAATCAGCAAAGGAAAGGAAAGAAAAGGAAAATGAAGAAGCAACAAGAGAAATGGAAGAAAAGCTAGAAAGTATTGTATACTGAAAGCCAAACAACGTTTCAATGGTAATCAAATGTGTCTGACGCTGCTGGTTGTTAAATATGAGGAAGACTAACAACTAAGCCTTGGATTAGCAACTTGGGGTCACCAGTCATCTCACTAAGCAGTTTGAATCAAGAGGTGGCCTCCAAGCCTAACAGGAAGACATTATAGAGAGCAATATTTTATTTCTTAATTAAGTTAATAAAATGAGAATGTGATTTGTTATCGCGGCAGTATTGTGTGTGGTGTATTTTTATTTGCTTCAAGGAACAATTTTTCATTATGTAGCAACTTTAAAATTTTGCAGTTACATTTTAGGGCACACTATTTGATTGATGGACCCATCTAAATAGTAATTATTAGATTTAAAAATTATTCATTACACAAAAGAAACACTAAAGCAGTGGTCATTTTACTTTTATAGATTTGTTCATTTTTAATTTGTAAATCCATTTAGTTTCATTGTTTTTATTAAATTTGTAAGCATAAGGAGTTTATAGCTAGTAGGTTTGATCATATTTATTTGAAATCACAACAAAAGAAAGTTAAATCAACATGATGGAGTATCAGAAAATTGTTTTTCCTAAGAAGAAAGCTGGACGTTGTTCAATAATAACAAACTACACCATACTACACTGTATCCTAGCAGGCATCAATCAAGGTTGGAAGGAAAGGAAACTATTATTATCGTCAACTATAAAATATCATAGGTTTATGTGAGTGAAGGGTAGCAGAATACGCCACCCCAATATACACCGCTTTGGCATAGGTATATTTTGAGCTAAATGTAATTTAAAAACTGAAACAAAAACAAAACACCAGATGTAGAAAGGACACTCTGACACTCTGTTTCTCTTCCTAAAAGCAGAAGATGGAAGATGTCTTAGGTATATCAGGAAAAAAAGTAAAATTCTTGTTACCGGGGACACGAAGTTGAGATCAAGAGAATCCTGTACAAACAGACCTCCTCAAAAGAATTCATATTTTTTAAGTTGTTTCTTATTTGCATAAACTTATGGAGTACAAGTGTAATTTCATTACATGGATAGATTGCACAGTGATGGCCAGGGCTTCTTTTATTGCATTAGCCTGTCCAAATAGTTCAGTTACTTTTTTACAATTGTCTGTCTTTGTTCGAACTAAACATTCAGGTTCGAGAAAAACATTCATGTTTTTTGTCACTTCGTTTTGGGTCATTATTTCCATATGAGGATTCCTGTGCCTCATCAAGCTTACATTGAATATATTTGTTTGCTTTTTTCCTGCTAAGCTGTTTTACGTTACTTTAATTCTTAGGCTCTGACAAAAATGCATAAGAAGGTAGAAGTAAAATTTAGCCTCCCTGACATGAATAACAAGTTTATAGAACATTGTTTGACATATAAGTGTAATTTAAGTGTTTGCTATTGTTATTACTGAAAATATGGGAGATACTGAGTATTTGGAAAACTGCAAAAATTATTTTGCATTTAATTGTATAATAATATAATCCTAGTTCCATAAGAAACTTTCACTTCTTATGATTTTGTATACCATCCTCAGTTAGAAACAAAGTAAAAAATTAGATACTGAAAAAAAATTGTGAAATATAACAGATCCTGAAATTATTTTACAAAGACGATGTATAGTATTCTAAGTTTGGGGCTCTTGGCATCTTAATTTTGATTTTAATTTTAGCTATTAAGGTTAATAATTGCATCACAAGTTTTTAAGGTTGTCTTAGTGGTTTGTGCCTCATATTTCATGCCATTATATGAAAATATCATGTTTGTGTGCCTTCAACTGAAAGAAGTTGGCATCTATTAACAAAATATATATATATGAGATTCATCTTTTCTTTTTATTGTTATTATTCTTTAAGTTATGGGGTACAGGTGCACAACATGCAGGTTTGTTACATAGGTATACATGTGCCATGTTGTTTTGCTGCACCCATCGACTCGTCATTTACATTAGGTATTTCTCCTAATGCTATCCCTCCCCCAGCCCCCCACCCCCTGACAGGCTCTAGTGTGTGATGTTCCCTGCCCTGTGTCCATGTGTTCTCATTGTTTAACTCACACTTATGAGTGAGAACATGCAGTGTTTGGTTTTCTCTTCTTGTGTTACTTTGATGAGAATGATGCTTTCCAGTTTCATCCTTGTCCCTGCAAAGGACATGAACTCATCCTTTTATATGGCTGCATAGTGTTCCATGGTGTATATGTGCCACATTTTCTTTATCCAGTCTATCATTAATGGACATTTGGGTTGGTTCCAAGTCTTTGCTATTGTGAACAGTGCTGCAATAAACATACATGTGCATGTGTCTTTATAGTAGAATGATTTATAAACCTTTGGGTATATACCCAGGAATGGGATTGCTGGGTCAAATGGTATTTCTGGTTCTAGATCCTTGAGGAATTGCCCCACTGTCTTCTATAATGGTTGAACTAATTTACACTCCCACCAACAGTGTGAAAGCATTCCTATGTCTCCTCAGCCTTTCCAGCATCTGTTGTTTCCTGACTTTTTAATGATTGCCATTCTAACTGGTGTGAGATGGTATCTCATAGTGGTTTTGATTTGCATTTCTCTAATGACCAGTGATGATGAGCATTTTTCCATAAGTTTGTTGGCGGTATAAATTTCTTCTTTTGAGAAGTGTCTGTTCATATAATTCGCCCATTTTTTGGTGGGGTTGTTTTTTTCTTGTAAATTTGTTTAAGTTCTTTATAGAATCTGGATGTTAGCCCTTTGTCAGATGGATAGATGCATAGATTGCAAAAATTTTCTCCCATTCTGTAGGTTGCCTCTGATGATAGGTTCACTCTGATGATAGTTTCTTTTGCTGTGCAGAAGCTCTTTAGTTTAATTAGATCCCATTTGTCAATTTTGGCTTTTGTTGCTATTGCTTTCGGTGTTTTAGTCATGAAGTCTTTGTCCATGCATATGTCCTGAATGTTATTGCCTAGATTTTCTTCCAGAGTTTTTATTGTTTTAGGTCTTACATTTAAGTCTTTAATACATCTTGAGTTAATTTTTGTATAAAGTGTAAGGAAGAGATGCAGTTTCAGCTTTGTGCACATGGCTAGACAGTTTTCCCAGCACCATTTATTAAATAGGGAATGATTTCCCCATTGCTTGTTTGTGTCAGGTTTATCAAAGATCAGTTGGTTGTAGATATGTGGTGTTATTTCTAAGCCTATGTTCTCTTCCATTGGTCTATATATCTGTTTTTGTACCAGTACCATGCTGTTTTGGTTACTGTAGCCTTGGAGTATAGTTTGAAGTCAGGTAGCGTGATGCCTCCAGCTTTGTTCCTTTTGCTTAGGATTGTCTTGGATATGTGGGCTCTTTTTTGATTCCATATTTAATTGAAAGTAATTTTTTCTAATTCTGTGAAGAAAGTCAGTGGTGGCTTGATGGGGATAGCATTGAATCTACAAATTACTTTGGGCAGTATGGCCATTTTCATGATATTGATTCTTTCTATCCATGAGCATGGAATTTTCTTCCATTTGTTTGTGTCCTCTTTTATTTCCTTAAGCAGTGGTTTGTAGTTTGCCTTGAAGAGGTCCTTCACATCCCTTGTAAGTTGGATTCCTAGGTATTTTATTCTCTTTGTAGCAATTGTGAATGGAAGTTCACTCATGATTTGGCTCTCTGTTTGTCTGTTATTGGTGTACAGGAATGCTTGTGATTTTTGCACATTGATTTTGTATCCTGAGACTTTGCTAAAGTTGCTTATCAGTTGAAGGAGATTGGGGCTGAGATGATGGGGTTTTCTAAATATACAATTATGTCATCTGCCAACAGAGACAATTTCCTCTTTTCCTAATTGAATACCTTTATTTCTTTCTCTTGACTGATTGTCCTGGCAAGAACTTTTAATACTACGTTGAATAGGAGTGGGGAGAGAGGGCATCCTTGTCTTGTGCAGGTTTTCAAAGGGAATGCTTCCAGTTTCTGCCCATTCAGTATAATATTGGCTGTGGGTTTGTCATAAATAGCTCTTATTATTTTGAAATACATTCCATCAATACCTAGTTTATTGAGAGCTTTTAGCATGAAAGGCTGTTGAATTTTGTCAAAGGCCTTTTCTGCATCTATTGAGATAATACTGTGGTTTTTGTCATTGGTTCTGTTTATGTGATGGATTATGTTTCTTGATTTGTGTACGTTGAACCAGCCTTGCATCCCAGGGATGAAGCCAATTTGATCGTGGTGGATAAGCTTTTTGATATGCTGCTGGATTCAGTTTGCCAGTATTTTATTGAGGATTTTCACATCGATATTCATCAGTGATATTGGCCTAAAATGTTCTTTATTCGTTGTGTCTCTGCCAGGTTGTGGTAGCAGGATGATGCTGGTCTCATAAAATAGTTAGGGAGGATTCCCTGTTTTTCTATTCATTGGAATAGTTTCAGAAGGAATGGTACGAGCTCCTCTTTGTACCTCTGGTAGAATTTGGCTGTGAATCCATCTGATCCTGGGCTTTTTTTGGTTAGTAAGTTATTAATTACTGCCTCAATTTCAGAACCTGTTATTGGTCTATTCAGAGATTCCACTTCTTCTTGGTTTAGTCTTGGGCGGGTGTATGTGTCCAGGAATTTATCCATTTCTTCTAGATTTCCTAGTTTATTTGCATAGAGGTGTTTATAGTATTCTCTGATGGTAGTTTGTATTTCTGTGGGATCGGTGGTGATATCGCCTTTATCATTTTTTATTGCATCTATTTCATTCTTCTCTCTTTTCTTCTCTATTAGTCTGGCTAGCCATCTATCTATTTTTTTTTTTTTTTGATCTTTTCAAAAAACCAGCTCCTGGATTCATTGATTTGACGGGTTTTTTGTTTCTCTATCTCCTTCAGTTCTGCTCTGATCTTAGTTCTATTTCGTGTCTTCTGCTAGCTTTTGAATTCGTTTGCACTTGCTTCTCTAGTTCCTTTAATTGTGATGTTAGGGTGTCGATTTTAGATCTTTCCTGCTTTTCTCTTGTGGCCATTTAATGCTATAAATTTCCACCTACACACTGCTTCAAATGTGTCCCAGAAATTCTGATACGTTGTGTCTTTGTTCTCATTGGTTTCAAAGAACATCTTTATTTCTGCCTTCATTTCGTTATTTATCCCATAGTCATTCTGAAGCAGTTGTTCAGTTTCCATGTAGTTGTGTGGTTTTGAGTGAGTTTCTTAATTCTGAGTTCTAATTTGATTGCACTGTGGTCTGAGAGAAAATTTGTTGTGATTTCTGTTCTTCTACATTTGCTGAGGAGTATTTTACTTCCAATTGTGTGGTCAACTTCAGATAAGTTGCAATGTGGTGCTGAGAAGAATGTACATTCTGTTGATTTGGGGTGGAAAGTTCTGTAGATGTCTCTTAGGTCTGCTTGGTCCAGAGCTGAGTTCAAGTCCTGCATACCCTTGTTAATTTTCTGTTTTGTTGATCTAATATTGACAGTGGGGTGTTTAAGTCTCCCATTATTATTTTGTGGGAGTCCAAGTCTCTTTGTAGGTCTCTAAGAACTTGCTTTATGAATCTGGGTGTTCCTGTATTGGGTGCATATATATTTAGGATAGTTAGCTCTTCTTGTTGCATTGATCCCTTTACCAGTATGTAATGGCCTTCTTTGTCGTTTTTGATCTTTGATGGTTTAAAGTCCGTTTTATCAGAGACTAGGATTGCAACCCCTGCTTTTTTTTGCTTTTCATTTTCATGGTAAATATTTCTCCATCCCTTTATTTTGAGCCTATGTGTGTCTTTGCACATGAGACTGATCTCCTGAGTACAACACACCGATGGGTCTTGATTCTTTATCCAATTTGCCAGTCTGTGTCTTTTAATTGGGGCATTTAGCCCATTTACATTTAAGGTTAATATTGTTATGTGTGGATTTCATCCTGTCATTATGATGCTAGCTGCTTATTTTGCTCGTTAGTTGATGCAGTTTCTTCATAGCTTCAGTGGTCTTTACAATTTGGCATATTTTTGCCGTGGCTGGTACTGGTTGTTTCTTTCAATGTTTAGTGCTTCCTTCCGGAGTTGTTGTAAGGCAGGCATGGTGGTGACAAAATCTGTCAGCATTTGCTTGTCTGTAAAGGTTTTTATTTCTCCTTCACTTATAAAGCTTAATTTAGCTGGATATGAAACTCTGGGTTGAAAATTCTTTTCTTTAAGAATGTTGAATATTGGCCCCACTCTCTTCTGGCTTGTAGAATGTCTGATGAGAGATCTGCTGTTAGTCTGATGGGCTTCCCTTCATTGGTAACCTGACCTTTCTCTCTGGCTGCCCTTAACATTTTTTCCTTCTTTTCAACCTTGGTGAATCTGACGATTATGTGTCCTGGGGTTGCTCTTCTGGAGGAATATCTTTGTGTTGTTCTCTGTATTTCCTAAATTTGAATTTTGGCCTGCCTTGCTAGGTTGGGGAAGTTCTCCTGGATAATACCCTGAAGTGTGTTTTCCAACATGGTTCCATTCTCCCCATCACTTTCAGGTATACCAATCAAACATAGATTTGGTCTTTTCACATAGCCCCATATTTTTTGGAGGCTTTGTTCGTTTCTTTTCACTCTTTTTTCTCTAATCTTGTCTTCTTGCTTTATTTCATTAAGTTGATCTTCAATCACTGATATCCTTTCTTTTGCTTGATGGATTTGGCTATTGAAACTTGTTTATGCTTCACAAAGATGTCATGCTGTTTTTTCAGCTCCATCGGGTCATTTTTGTTCTTCCCTACACTGGTTATTCTAGTTAGTAATTTGTCTAACTTTTTTTCAAGGTTCTTAGCTTCTTTGCATTGGGTTAGAACATGATCCTTTAGCTCAGAGGAGTTTGTTATTACCCACCTTCTGAAGCCTATTTCTGTCAATTCGTCAAACTCATTCTCCATCAAGTTTTGCTCCCTTGCTGGCGAGGAGTTGTGATACTTTGGAGGAAAAGAAGCATTCTGGTTTTTGGAATTTTCAGCTTTTCTGCGCTGGTTTCTACCCATCCTTGTGGTTTTATCTACCTTTGGTCTTTGATGTTGGTGACCTACAGAAGGGGTTTTGGTGTGGACGTGCTTTTTGTTGATGTTGATGCTATTCCTTTCTGTTTGTTAGTTTTCCTTCTAACAGTAAGGCCCCTCAGCTGCAGGTCTGTTGGAATTTGCTGGAGGTCCACTCCCGACCCTGTTTGCCTGGGTATCACCAGCGGAGGCTGCAGAACAGAAAGTATTGCTGCCTGATCCTTCCTCTGGAAGCTTCGTCCCAGAGGGAACCACCAGATGCCAGCCAGAGCTCTCCTGTATGAGGTGTCTGTTGGCACCTACTAGGAGGTGTCTCCCAGTCAGGCTACACGGGGGTTAGGAACCCACTTGAGGAGGCAGTCTGTCCATTATCAGAGCTCGAAATCTGTGCTGGGGGAACCACTGCTCTCTTCAGAGCTGCCAGGCAGGGACGTTTAAGTCTGCTGATGCTGTGCCCACAGCTGCCCCTTCCCCCAGGTGATCTGTCCCAGGGAGATGGGGGTTTTATCTATAAGTCCCTGACTGGGGCTTCTGCCTTTTGTTTAGAGATGCCCTACCCACAGAAGTGGAATCTAGAGAGGCAGTTGGACTTGCTGAGCTGTGGTGGCCTCTGCCCAGTTAGAGCTTCCCGGAGGCTTTGTTTACACTGTTAGCGTAAAACTGCCTACTCAAGCCTCAGCAATGGTGGATGCCCCTCCCCGCAACAAGCTCTAGCATCCCAGGTTGATCTCAGACTGCTGTGCTAGCAGCGAGAATTTCAAGCCAATGGATCTTAGCTTGCTGGGCTCCATGGGCATGGGAACTGCCGAACCAAGCACCAGAGGGAATCTCCTGGTCTGCTCATTGCGAAGACCATGAGAAAAGCACAGTATCTGGGCAGGAGTGTACAGTTCCTCCAAGTACAGTCTCTCATGGCTTCCCTTGGCTAAGAAAGGGAAATCTCCCAACCCCTTATGCTTCCTGGATGAGGTGACACCCTGCCCTGCTTTGGCTCGCCGTCTGTGAGCTGCACCCACTGTCCAATCAGTCCCAATGAGATGAACCAGGCACCTCAGTTGGAAATGCAGAAATTACCTGCCTTCTGCATCAATCTCACCAGGAGCTGCAGACCGAGCTGTTCCTATCTGGCCATCTTGCTGGAAATCCCTGAGATTTATATAATTTATATGTACATATATAATGCATGTATATGTATTATATATGTCATATGCTGATATGGTTTTGCTGTGTCCCCACTCAAATCTCAACCTGAATTGTATCTCTCAGCATACCCACATTTTGTGGGAGGGACCCATGGGAAGGTAGTTGAATCATGGGGGCCAGTCTTTCCCATGCTATTCTCACGATAGTAAAAAGGTCTCACAAGATCTGATGGGTTTATCAGTGGTTTCCACTTTTGCTTCTTCCTCATTTTTCTCTTGCTGCTTCCATGTAAGAAGTGCCTTTCACCTCCCACCATGATTCTGAAGCCTCCCCAGCCATGTGAAACTGTAAGTCCAATTAAACCTCTTTTTCTTCCCAGTCTTGGTTATGTCTTTATCAGCAGCACGAAAATGGAGTAATACATATACTATATAAAATATTACATGTTATATAGTGTGTGTGTATATACACATATATACAAATTCACACAAATACATATTTTTGTGTGGTGTGGAAGAACATGATCTGTAGTATAGATATAGTGTATGTTTATATTTTTGTAATACATATATAATTTATGTATAAAATACTTAGCTTTTACCACCATATAAGGTAAAAATCTTTTAATGTAATTTCTTTGTGCAAATAAATGGTAAATGTAAAATCTGTAATTTTAGAAAACAAATAATAGGGACTCCATTATTGATTTCTAATTTTTATCACAATTATATGTTCAATAGTTACCTTAGAAAGTAAGGTAAAGTGTTCAGATCTTATAATCTAAAATATATTTTCATTACCAAGTCTGGGTATTTACATGGGAATCCGTTTTTCTCCCTCAACAGGCAGATTTTCCTGAATCCATCTTTAAAGTCTTCTACATATTTAAGGACAATATAGTTAGAGGTCTTTGAAACAATTTAAGCTTAAATTTTCTGTCTCTATGCTCTCTGTATTTCATGGACTGCTTGAGGCCAATTCCATGTGAAAGACTCCCAACTGTTGTTACTTTGTTGGAAGAAACAAGGGGAAAAAGAATGTCTTAAATTAATTTTTTAGACCATACTTGATCCAGATTTTCTTTCTTTTCATGACCTCTTCTGTTTTTTGGTATTATTGAGGTTCTTTAAACAAGGCCTTGAGCTATTCATTGCTAGTGATTCACTACCAAAAGACTTTTTGTTAAAGAATTTCATTGTGGTTCTAGGAAAAGAAAACTATGAAACTCACAATTCTCTATTGAAATGTATCACTGAAAAACCAACAAATGCAGGTTTTCAGCATTAAAAATAATTTAGGTAAGAAAACAAAACTGTATAAATAACTTTATTGGAAGAATTTTTAGAATCCAAGTTATCATGCTTTTAGATAAAAATACATTTTATTTCTATTGCTTCCTAACAAAGACTCTCCTTGACCTAACTTCAGTCATGCTTTGCTAAGGCCTCAGCCTTCAATGTCTGTCCTTGTTGGGCATCCATCACCCAGCTTTAGGAAAAACTTTGCTAAATCAGTTTAGCAAGAACTGTTATTTCATCACTCTGGCCTGCCTTCAGTAAGAATTCTGTTAAGTCAGTTTAAACAGAAACCCTCTTACCCAAGACATTTCCTCTTATAATTCCATCCACCAACTCCCCTACCCTAATCTCCTCTGTGGCTACAAATTGCCACTTTTCCTTGTTGTATTCTGAATTGAGGCCAGTTCTATATTGAGATTTCTTTTTTTCCTATTACAATAGTTCCTAAATAAAACCTGGTTTACCACATTAACTACTATCCATATCTGGTTTTTCTTTGACAATTCCTATTCAATCTTTAGGATTTTCCCTATACAAACTTGGTTTCATACACATTGGGTTATTTTAATCTGTAATTCCTTTAAATACAATATTAAACACTTCCAAATCTTCACTTTGTTGGTTTTTTAAGTGCAAAACATATTCTTATTCAACACAATTGTATATATTTTCTTTATTATATTCTCTTGTATTTAGAAAAATTCAAACGAGCACATATATTCATATTTATAGCCTATTTTACATTCTATTTCATTCTGTCTTGATATTTGAGCTGAGCTCTGGCAAAAGAATGGGGTAGTTTTTGCCTCACATGTTTTGTACATGTGTCCTGCTTTACTCTTGTAAATATAGCTGAAATGTGCAGTCAATGTTTTAGCCCTTTGGGCACCCATCAGGCACCAATTGTTTACAGAAGTGAACTGGGTAGCAAGAATTTAAACTGCCTTGAAATCATTAGATGATTAGCTTTCCCTTGAGTTTCATGTCTCCCTGAAAAGTCTTACTGGAGAACCCATTATATTCTCTTCCCCTGGTACTGATCAAGGAAAACAAAAATGGAAGCATTATTGAGTGCAATGTTGATTTTGAGACTAGGCATTGTTTAAAAAGAGAATGCTAGGAAACTGCTATAAAGTACAAACATTTATCCAAGCGTAATAGACAATGCCAATTGTTTTGCCTCAAAGTCCAGAGTCTTTTAAAAAGCCTTTTTTTCCAGTGAACAAATCTCAAGAGAAATTGCTGAGATTATTTCTCTAAATGATAAGCATGTGGATGTTGCCCACTTTATGAAGCAAATAAAACTGCATATGAATTAAAGCTAATTTAAGCTTTTTAACAATAAGACTACATGATCAATATAAAAAATGATCAGGTGCATATAACCAGTCAAAACTGCAAATAGGATCAACAACTCTCAGTTTTTTAAAAAAAATTATATATATATATATATATATATATAAAAGATGGACACTTATTATTTATTGCAACATTCTCTGAATGCATATGCCATGTGATTATTGGATGTAGACTATGAGAAGAGAATTTTTAAGTAAAAGTAGGTAAAGTAAGCACCTCTGTCTTTTCCTTTGAATATATGTGAGATGCTTGAATTCAAAGGAAACACAGGCCAATTACTCACTATAATGTAAGGCTTGCATTTGAACTTTTGGGGATTTGAAAGCTTATATAGGAATACCAGTAAGTGTGGCTATTTTTCTTTTGTACAACTGGTGTTCAAACAGGAACATTAATATATTTCCCCCAAAATAGCCCATGTAAAAGGACTACTACTCACATCAGTGTCACTTCTAACACTGCTGTCTGTTAGTGCCATCATTTTAAACAAACAAAAAAACTGCCTCAACCACTCCAAGTCAGAAAATATACAGAAAGAAATATATATTTATAGTCCAAGAAATGAGAATGTGCTGCTTTTGTCTGATTTTTAGGGCAGAATAATGAAGGTCAGTAGTTGTTAATAAATATGATGATTTACACAAATGCTACAAATCACATAGATGCCCCTAGAAAAGGGCCTTTTACAGGCCTCATAAGTCATCTAAATATTTAAAATCTCTCAGTGTGATAAAAGGCTTATTTCTAAATGCAGTCTATGATCATTCAGGATATTAAGCCTAATTCTACTGGCTCTCTCTTCAGTACAGAATGAAAACCAATGGCCCACATAGAGTCATCATTTAATACATTTTAGCCAAAAAAAATGTTTGTTCTCATGATGGCTGTATTGGGATTATTGTCATATTTGTTAAGCATCTACTTATGTGGTGGCTGTAAAAAAAACTCTTCTTTGGGATCAAATTTTAAATTGTGAAAACATTTGATTTAGTGACACCTTCATCCTAATTTAAAGAAGATGTGGATTTCAGGTAGAATTTAAAGAGGCCTAAATGTAAGTGTGTGTATACATATCAGTTGTCATTACATAGCTATACATTCAGTTTTCAAAAGCCTGGTCACCTGGCCAACAACACCAGGTGTATGGACTTGTTTCTTTCAATCTAGTAAGTAGAGAGGAAGCACAAATCCTGGACCAGTATATAGGAAAATGGGAATAAAGTAGGAAAGGAAATACCTGCATGAACTGGTTCAACTTTATTAGGTGATCATTTCTCTTTTTTCAGCAGAAAGTTATTTATGGTTAACTTCCAACAGATCTCACATCCACTATTTTCTCTCTCCCTGAAACATTTTAGGGTAGCATGCCAGTTGAGGTAGTTCCATAGCTTTTTACAGACTTTGAGCACATCCCTCCTATCCTCAGGTCTCTTTTACAAGGTAAATGCTTGTCCCAATTCCTTTTGCATTTTAAGAAATATGCTTAAATGACCAATGAACTTTAGCCAAAAGCCATAGCCTTTACAGATTGTTAATCACCAGATTAACTGAAAGCTCCCCATAAATTCCTGTTTCTGAAATGGGAACTTGCAATTAAATTAACTAATTTGTTTATAACTTTATTTGCTTCCAGAGTAACAGAATGTGATTTTGCTGAGGGCACTCATACTAGCAGAGACATAATTTACAAAGTAATATTTTTGAGATCTATTAGACTGAAATGGAATACTCAGAACAGCAACGAATTGTGGCTTAGTGGACATTACAGCCTGACTGGCTGTTTCTGTGTTTCACATGCTTCCTTCCAACCATCCTCAAAATATAACTAAAACTATTTGGTTACAATTTAAAAATGATGAACGATATTAAATTGAGTGGTGGGTTTGCTAACTGGGCTTTGAGAAATCCTAAGGTTTCTGAAGAAACCCTAAGTTCCAGCTTGGAGACAAGGAATAAATTCAAGAGACAAGTAGGCAGGCCCCATTTCAAATCAAGCAACTCCACTTTCTTCTTTTGCACATTGAACTACAACTGCTTCAAATATTTGTCTCATTGACCTTGAAGTTAAAGAAAAAAAATTACTCGATGGCATAAACCAATTGTCTAGAATACACTTAAAAAAATGTTCATTAATACTATTGGATGTTTAAATTAGTTGGCATTCTTAGTTCTAAAATCTTGTTTGTCTTACTTTGTATATCTTTGATCTTCTTGCTTGTACAAGAGCCAAATCATGTCTTCTGAAATTTTAAATAATTTTTAAATAATCAATTTACAATGAACCCTTGGAGGGTAAATGAAACCATTTTGCCTAATTCCAAGAACTGTTTCAAACCCCAGAAGGTGGAAGACTTAATTGCAGTGTATTTTTGAGAGAAAGTTAGTCCATTAGCATTTGTTTATTTTTAACTAACATTAAGTTGGAAGTATGCTAATGTAATGTTTTATTGTTAAAAGAAGTTATGCAGAAAAAAAGCTGAATTGGAGAAAGTCATAAAACTGAATGACCTAATAAATTTTACCAAGGAAACAAATTTTATATTCTCTATAGGCAAAAATTTATTCTAAACACAATAACAAAAGCAGAACCTTGTTTCATAGTCACTAAATTTTTAATTTTCACTTCTGTTCATAGAGAAATTTTGTTGATCTGTATTTCAGAGAATTCCTTTAGTAGTTTTTATGGTTTGGCTGTTTCTCCACCCAAATCTCATCTTCAGTCATAATCTCCATAATCCCTACGTGACTAGGGAAAGGTTTGGAGGGAAGTGATTGGATTATGAGGAGAGTTTCTGCCATGCTGTTCTCCTGATAGTGAGTGAATTCTCACAAGATCTGATGGTTTTATGAATGATAGTTTTTCTTGTGCTCTCACACACTCACTTCTCTCACCTACTGCCATGTAAGACATGCCTCTTTCCCTTCCACCATGATTGTAAGTTTCCTGAGGCCTTTCCAGCCATGCGGAACTGTGAGTCAATTAAATCTCTTTTCTTTATAAATTACCCAGTCTCAGAAAGTATCTTTATAGTAGTATGATTATGGACTAATACAGTAGTCCTGAACTTTGATAAATTTGTGTTTCCAAAACTGGTGATGGGGAAGAAAGAAACTCGGTAGTCTTTTTAGGCCTGCCAACTTACAAAAACTTGCCAACAGAAGCATCAAAATTTTTCCTGACATGTCAAGTTCCAGTCTAGCAAAGGTTTTCACTACTTACAGAAGTGGCAAATTTAGGAAATCTGGAAAATGAAGAAAGGCATAAAGAAAGTAAAAATCCACAAATTCACTACTTGCCAACATTTTGGTTTATTTCACTTTTCCAAGTCATTTTACTATGCACATGTGTTGAGATGCATGTGTGGACATAAGCTTAACTTGATTTTATTTTTAGTAAATTACTCCTAATGAAGACATGCTGGGAAAACCTATTAATTCAAAAATTATTAGTAGTAATATTACCATTTTGAATTGTTCCACACTTCGTAAGACATTAAAAATTCATTCCTAAAAAATAAAATGCTTCTCAAAGTAGAAATGCTATAAATAGTACAGGATTTCGCCACAAAAAAGATTTGCTAAGTGGCTTGAAAGCTGGTGCTTACAGATGAAATTAACACATATTCTTTAGAACTGTAGCTGCTGCTTTAATATCCCGATGAACTTTTTCACTTTGTGATCATCACAGTAATCATCAGAATGTTTGACACAACCATAAGATGCATTGTATCTTGTAGAGAATTAGGGTACATGTTTAACTCTTTAGGGAACATTTAAGTATCACCTAGGGAGGCAGAAAGGAAGACAGAAATTAAATGAATAAATCACTCAAGGTCACAGAGCAAAGTTGAGTCAGGAACTCACATATATTTTCACACAAAAAATGTATGTACTTTATACTTTTCCTTAGTACCTAACTTTTACAGAAAAAAAAATGCCTCCCACTAGAAGGTTGATCTGTTTCCATACTAAATCAAATTGAATTAATTTAACTTAACGTCACTTCAAAATATACCTTTCTTGAGTTTGTGTATTTCATCAGGAAAAGCAAACCAAACTAACTTTCCCATTATCTTTGTAATGGACTTTAATTACTTTATAGTCATTTAAGTGGTATTATATGACTATGAAAACAAAATGGCATTTCTTTATTTTTATTTAGTTTATATTACCAGCACAGATATCAAATAGACAGAAGCGTCAAAGGAAGCATTTAATTTATCTCCAGTGTACCAAACCAAAAAAGAATACTTTTGCAAGACAATATTTCTGTCAAAAAATGGCTGTACACTGGTGGTTATTCTGATTCATTTTTGATTTGTCTGATGAATCTTGTTTGATAGTACTCTGTTCTCAGACTAAATTAGAAAAGTGTATTATTTCCTATTCATTACTTAGATTAAATACAATCTAACACCATTGTGCCTTTTGTTCTTCCCTTCCAGGTGTAGATTTCAACTGAAACAATTTTAAACTAGAACAAGATTACATTATTGATAGAATTTGAAAAGACAAAATTAACTTTTCTATGATTGACATGATTTTTAAAGAAAATACCCTCCAAAAAGACCTATTAAAAAAGAAATGAAAACTTAAAAAAAAAACAAAACCTGAACAGGAATTAGGGAGCTCTTATTTATGAACATAAGAATAACTTTTGGTTTCAAAAAACCAAGAATATAGTATTTCCAGAACCATCTCCCTTCCTCCAATTTATATCTTTTCCTTTAGCTTTCCAAATTCCTATAAGGCAATGCCTCTTTCCTATATATTTTGCCTTCTGGTTGGAACTACCACATACTCTGTTTTGTTTTTACTAAGGGGTAGAATTATGACTCAATGGAAGCCCATCAGACACGTTCTTCTAAGTCTTGTCTTCAGCAGAGCAACAAAGACGGTAAGAATTAGAGCTGATTCCTCAAATAGGAGTGGCTCTAGGAAACTGTCTCTTATTTCCTGCTACCTGGATCCTTAGACCTGTCTTGTTGCATATTATTTATGACACTCATTTTCCCATCCATTAAATTTTCCCAGGCTGCCCAAGCCACCATCTGCTCTTCCAATGAATCTTCCCTTTGTGCCTCAGTAACCCAGAGTCATTCTTTGGTTCATCATAAAGAATACTAACTAACAGAAGCAAGGACTATATTATTAGATGAATAAGATATTTAAGATAAAGTGTTAAATATTGTCACCAAAGAAAATTATCTAAAAACAATATCATGATTAGAATTTTACATAAAAACATCTGTAGTACCTCAAGGATAAATTGCACCTCATCTTGAAGAAAAAATATATTTTTCCCCAAGAAACGGTGTATTACAACCATCTTCATGTAAATAGTCTCAAATGTTCCTGCTTTTTGAGATAAAAATGAAAAAAAATATGTTTCATTCCTCTTAATCATGCCTTTAAAGTAGACAGGCTGCTACAATTAGCACCTATACTCATGCTATTAAGACTTGAATTCAGTGTTTGCTGCCCTTTTTCTTCTCAAAACAAAACAGTAAATAAATAAAAACATAAGCTATAGAAGAAGGCACATACAGTAGATTTTAAGGATTTTTAAATTGGAAAGCAGTTGCCATCTGACTTCTTACAGCCTTTTAGCTTTAATACCTTCAGAGAAGTCAAAAACAAAATTTTCGTTGGATGGGTAGAGGTATCACTGAACGGAACTTCCACTATGAAAATCATGTTAGCAGCACTGGCACATTTTAAGTGATGTGACAAATAATGAAATAATTAAATTTTATTAGTTCACTATTTTCTGGCAAAATCAACACTCAACAGTGGGTTGAGACTGCGAAGAATGAAACTTCTATTTTAGTAGGAACTGGTAAGGGTTTTTTTTTTTCTGATTTTTTTCAACTTCTGTCCCTTGTCACTGCTACATTTTCCTCATTTCCCACACTTGCCTCCAACAATTGCTCAGAAAAATGAGGAAATTAACCTGTAGCATGTTCTCTGTGTTATTCTGAGGGTGGGAGAAAGCAATGTGCAAAATCTGTCAAATGAAATATGGATACCCAAATATGACTAATTAGGAAAAGTTTCTTGAAGATGTATTAAGCTTGGGTTCATTCACAGTTCCATTTTCTAAAAGTCAACAGTTTTATAACTGCTTGCCACTATGGAGAATAGTTCGTTGATAAAATGCATTAATTTTCATTGTATTGCTAAGCTATTAGGGTTTTTTTTTTCCCTGTGTGGTTGTTCTATAACTGAAAAAATCAATTTTTAATTAATATACAAATTATAATACACAATTTAACATGTAACATAGGATAATTTTATGAGTGCCTGAAGTTATTTAGATCATCTCATACTTTTAAGTTAACGAATGGACTTTATATCTATAATAAAAGCTTTTACTTGTAACAATGAGAACAGTTTATTACCTCTAACTTTTTTAAGCCTTCTCATTGCCCCTTTATATGAGTTTTAAAAACTGGAGAAAGTTTATGTCTATACTGTGATTGTTAACATTGAGTATCAACTTGACTGGATTGAAGGATGCAAAGTATTGTTCCTGGGTGTGTCTGTGAGAGTATTTCCAAAGGAGATTAACATTTGAGTCAATGGACTAGGAGAGGCAGACCCACCCTCAATCTAGGTGGGCACTATCTAATCAACTGCCAGCATAGCTAGGATAAAAACAGGCAGAGGAACATGGAAGGACTAAACTGGCTAAGTCTTTTGGCTTCCAACTTTCTCCTGTGCTGGATGCTTCCTGCCCTCAAACATCGGACTCCAAGTTCTTCAGCTTTTGGACCCTAGGACTTACACCAGTGGTTTGCCAGGGGCTCTCAGGCCTTCCGCCACAGACTGAAGGCTGCAGTATCACGCCTTACCTACTTTTCAAGTTGTGGGACTCGGACTGGTTTCCTGGTTCCTTAGCTTGCAGAGGCCTACTGTGGGACTTCACCTTGTGATTGTGTGAGTCAATTATCCTAATAAACTCCCTTGCATATACACATCTATCCTACTAGTTCTAACTCTCTAGAGAACCCTAATACATATACACATACAGTATTAAAAATTAAAATACAGAAACTGAATTGATATCTGTTTAAGTTATAATGATTTATGATCCAATTTTACATTAATTTTAGTTTCATCACTGCAATATGTTATGCCCTGTGTTCAGCATAGAGGTCACAGTTAAGATCTATTTCCTGCCTTTGAGAAGAACAAGATCCAGTGAAAAAAATGTACTAGTCTTTGTGATTCTCATAATTTCTCCCCACTTCACAATGCTAGAGAGTAATCCCATTAAATAATCTTAATATTTGGATGCTCCATGATTTGTTGTAAACAGTTATATATCTCCTGAAGCCCTCTCACTCTGAGTACATAAGATATTCTTACACACTTCAGAGAATCAGAGGCCATAGGAAGATCAGGTCCATACTCCCATCCTTTCAATGTACATATTTTCATCAACATATATTATTCTCCTTTTAGCACACGTGCTTAAAGATAGGTTTCTTCTTCTTTCCCTAAGATTTCATTTCATAAGTATAATATTTTCTCTATTATTTTTAATCTCACTTTCATAAGCTAAAGTTTTCTAGCCTTTAGCTTATATTGTTCAAATATCTCCTTTGTTTACAGGTGCTTAACTCTCAGTGTGCTATTTTAGATTTCTCCTGCCCCTTACTCAACCAGTAAGAAGGAGGAATTCTGGTATAGGCAAGAATAAATTGGTATCTTCCTGTACACCCAATTTGGCTATGATGTTAGGGTATCTTCTTATGAATGCAAGATTTGAAAATTTGCTCTTTCATGAAATTGGTGTATTTGGGTAGTGATGGTGGCAGGTTTGTTGCTCTATATACACCCCCAAGATCCCCCCCACATTTTTTTTTTTTTTTGAGACAGAATCTTGCTCTCTCGCCCAGGCTGGGGTGCAGTGGTGCGTACCCGGCTCACTGCAAGATCCGCCTCCCGGGTTCATGCCATTCTCCTGCCTCAGCATCCCGAGTAGCTGGGACTACAGGCGCCCGCCACCACGCCTGGCTAATTTTTTGTATTTTTAGTAGAGACGGGGTTTCACCGTGTTAGCTGGGTCTCGATCTGCTGACCTCGTGATCCACCCGCCTCGGCCTCCCAAAGTGCTAGGATTACAGGCGTGAGCCACCGCGCCCGGCCTATTTTTTCTCATTATCTTCTTCCTCACCCTCTTCTCCTCTTCCCCTTTGTCTCTTCCACTCCCTACTTTTTCAATACTCCTCCTCCTCTTCCTCCTTCTGCTTCTTCTTCTTCCCCTCTTTCTCTTATTTAAAATCCATATTTTGTTCTTTTTTCTGAGAAGGAGTTTCACTCTTGTTTCCCAGGCTGGAACACAGCGGCACAATCTCGGCTCACTGCAACCTCCCCTTTCTGGCTTCAAGCGATTCTCCTGCCTCAGCCTCCCGAGTAGCTGGGATTACAAGCACAGGCCACCATATCTGGCTCATTTTTTGTATTTCTTTAGTAGAGACAAGGGTTCACCATGTTGGCCAGGCTGTTCTCGAACTCCTGACCTCAGGTAATCCACTCGTCTTGGTCTCCCATAGTGCTGGGATTACAGGCGTAAGCCACTGTGCCCAGCCGGAATCCATCTTTATTATAGATCACCCACAGTAGAAAAACTGGATCCAGATTTCAGTCTTGGCCTCCTTTATTATTAGCAATTTATCCCCTCCATGAAATGAAATCAATTCATGATTGATTAATCAATTAGAAAATAATCTCTTCCTCTTTATTTCAATTTCCTTCCAAGTTACAATTTTTTTTTTACTGTTTTGAAACAAACCTTCTGAAGCATTGATGTCCATTTTGCATTTGCTATAGTCTTTCTCAGCATCAATTAAATTCTCAAGCCATTAAACCCTAAATTTTATTTTGACCATAATACAAAAATATTGTATTAAGGTTAACAATGACCTTGATTTTTCTGCATTTGTACTCTCATTTTTTTCACCTACCAATCTCACCATTGCACTTTGCTCTGTCTACACCAGTTTCTCTTTTTTCTTATAACCCTCTTTTATAGTACTTTCCTTTACTCTGCAACATTCTTCCTCAGAATTATTTGCTTGTGCTTCATTTTGAGATTAGCTATTAATGTTTTCCTTCTCTTTTCAGTTAAAATGATGTTTTTGATCACTCCATCTTATTCCATGACTTGAAATATGTTAGTGATTCTGTGTGTTTATTTCCAGTGATCTTTCTCTTGAATATTAGAATGATATTTCTAATTGTCATGTTGACATCTACACCCGAATACCCGACAAGCCCCTGGAAAATGAACATGTCCAAATTGCACTTAATATCTTTCTTGCCTCACTCATCCCACTTATGTACTATATTTAATTAAGGTTACTAACAGATGCAGTGGTACATGCCTGAATCCCAGCACTTTGGGAGTCTGAGGCGGGTGCATCACCTGAGGTCATTCGAGACCAGCGTGGCTACTAAAAATACTAGCTGGGCATATTGGCAGTTGCTTGTAATCCCAGCTATTCGGGAAGCTGAGGCAGGAGAATCACTTGAACCCAGGAGGCAGAGGTTGTAATGATCTGAGATCGGGGGTATTACCATTTACATTGACTCCAAAACCAGAATCCATAACTCCTCTTTCTAGCTCCTCCTCACACCAGTCTCATCGGATTCTGTCAGTGCCTCTTTTGAAGTATTTCTAAGTACAATCCTTTCTCCCTATCACTGTTTTACCACTACTACCACCATCATTACTCCTTCATGGATGATAATATTATGTCTAAGTCAGTAAATCACTCTTATTTTCTTTCTCTCCTGTCAACTGCACCCTCATCCCCATTTCTATTTCTATCTTGATGCTTCCAGATAATCATTTGAAAAAAACTAATTTAGCAATTTTATGTCTAGAAAATTCTGTCCTACTAAAATGATGAGAACAAATTTTAAAAAAAAGGCAGAAAGAGCAACAGTTAACTTTTCTTTCTATCTCCAAACCTTACCCACTTACCCCCTACAGCCTATTTTGTATACCCTTAGCTCTAGATTAGAACAGATACTAGATTTTTCAAGTCTTCCAAATTTTCTCTGGAGTAGGGCATCATTAAATTGTGTGATTTCAAAGAGGATCATCGTAGACAAAACAAGGCTTAATGCATACTAAGCTGTGAACACAACTAGTAAGTATGTTCCTTAGTTTTAATGTATTTCTATTGCATCTTAGAAGGAATTCTTCTAAAATTACAGGTAATTGCATGGAATAAAGCAAATATGAAACCTTAAAAGACTTTCTGAAGGGATACTGCACAAAGATAATATAGTGTTCAAAAATGTTTAAAAGTTATACTTTTGAAAGTGCACTGGTATTTACAAATTCTCTTAGGGCAGAAATTGGCAGAAAATATGATTTTGTCTGAAGACAAAATAAATTGTCTTTTTTTTTCGCTAGAGTCCTTATTGCCTATAAGATTAAATTAAAGCTCTTTATCAAATATTAATGCTTAGATCACTTTTCATGGTTAAAATTTCTCATAACTTAGTAGTAACATTAACATTTAAGTCTAGAAGTGATAATATCTCTGGGAAAAAAACTTTTATTTTCCCATTTAGTCTAAGTCTGGGAAAAGGAAGAAGCTACGAAGTGCTTCCATAGGCATACAAGATTTGGACAGCTTAAAGAAATCTGTAGACTACCATACTTACCTCCATCTTTCAGGAAGTTTTATAGTCAGGTCTTGCCTTTACTCCTGTTATGGACTCCTTTAATACTGGTTTGAAATTTTTGTAAGACTTTGCAATTAAACATAGTAATCACTCTCAATGGACAGCATATGTGTTTATCATCCCAGTAACTCCAGACTCCTGTTTTCTCTCTGGCTCCTAGAGTGATGTTGGCTGTCATAATCTTCCGAGAGCATACAATTATGTGATTGAATTCATTACTCTGAACCATTCAGAAGTCTGCTATTGATGACTGTTCCTGATTTACCTAGCTTAAATTTGTAGCAATATTGACTAAGGTTTGTATCTTTCATGCGAAACTTCAGTCAAGAGTGTTCTACTGGGTCTTCTACAACTACTTTCCAACCTAAATCTTTACTTTCAACCCTATCCTCTTATCACAAGTCAAACTTCTAATCACATTAATCTTCAAAATGCACCTCTAATTATCCTTGTTATGAAGAATTTCTCTTCAGCAGAGTTACTGGACTTTTCTGTTTCTTCAGCATTCTGTTTATGGTGTTTAGCATCTCTAGTAGGGCAGCTGGGACATTGTATTTTAATTAGCAGCTCACATGTCATTCTCCTAGCCTAGACATTGAGTGCCTGAAGAGTAACACTGTGCCCTTTACATCTCTTTATCTCAAGCACATAAAATAGCCCCTACAACACGAGTATTTCATATTTGCTTAGTGGGGAATAAAAGGGATTGTATTACTGAATACCTGAATGAATAAAAATGACCTTGTATGGTATGTTTACTATTATTCCACTTTGGAGCTAAGCACATCATCTTTTTATAGATGGCTTTGCCATATTTTAAGTCCTTTCAAAAGTACTTGATATTCATAACCTCACTGTGAAGCAGACAGAGCTGATATCATTGTCTCATTTTAGAGATGAGGGCATTGGTGTTTAGAGCAAAAGAGACTAAATAAACTAAGATAAAAAACTACGCTAGAACCCAGATCTCCTGACTTCATGAATAGTAAAATATAAAGTGACATTCTAGTTTATGTTATCTATTACATATAGACAAGGGGAAATTGAGTTGTCTACTACCAAATAAGGTGAACTATCTATTTTGAATTCTCAGTAGAGAAAGAAGAAATACAAAATCATAATTTCTGCCAATTTCTGCCCTGAGAGAATTTGTAAATACCAGTGCACTTTCAAAAGTACAACTTTTAAACATTTTTGAACACTGTATTATCTTTGCACAGTATCCCTTCAGAAAGTCTTTTAAGATTTCATATTTGCTTTATTCCATGCAATTACCTGTAATTTTAGAAGAATTCCTTCTAAGATGCAATAGAAATACATTAAAACTAAGGAACATACTTACTAGTTGTGTTCACAGCTTAGTATGCATTAAGCCTTGTTTTGTCTACGATGATCCTCTTTGAAATCACACAATTTAATGATGCCCTACTCCAGAGAAAGTTTGGAAGACTTGAAAAATCTAGTATCTGTTCTAATCTAGAGCTAAGGGTATACAAAATGGGCTGTAGGGGGTAAGTGGGTAAGGTTTGGAGATAGAAAGAGAAGTTAACTATTGCTCTTTGTCTCTCTCTTTTTAAAATTTATTCTCATCATTTTAGTAGGACAGAATTTTCCAGACATAAAGTTGCGTGGAAAGGTGCACTACAAAGACAATTGAAAGTTTTTTTAGAATATTAACGATCTTGGATCCTGCACCATTCCAGTTGTATCATAATACAGTGGGGAATAATAACAAGTAAACTGTAATACTATAAAAGTCAAGTTAGGAAGAATTTAAACATAAGATATTTCCTTCTGGTGCTTTATGACTTCCCACTTAAGTTACTTTCTAATCTGTGGCATGTTGTACTGCTCATTCAAAGGCAATCCATTAATCAACAAAAACCAGTGTGTTCTCCAGAAATCTGTGGCTCTCATTGTTTGCCCAGAGTACACTGTTATCTTGTCTAAACAAAGTAGTTTCCTGTAAATAACCATACTTTTCCTTCCTTTTTGAAATATACCTGTTCCACATCCCATTTCAAGGAATATAATTTTTGTTATGGCACGTATCTAATTGTCTTAGTCATTTTCTATTGTTATAAAAAATACCACAGACTGAGTAATCTATAAAGAAAATAAGTTTATTTAGTTCACAGTTCTGAAGGTACTCTCAAGAACATGGCACTGGCATCTGGTGAGGGCCTTCTTGCTGCAGCATGACATGGCAGAAGGCATTATATGGCAAGAGAACAAAAGTAAGAGAACCACAGAGAGCTCTCTTTTATAACAAAGTTACTCCAGCAATAACAAACAAACTCTCATGATAGTTAGTGGCATTAATTCATTCATGAGGGCAGAGGGATTAAATTCCAGCACAAGAACTTTCGGAGGACACACTTAAACTGTAACACTAGCTGATAAAGGTGTTTGCTATTATTTTAATGGCTAACAATTCTTACGACAGAAAGAAATCAAAATTTCATTTTTAATTCATATTTCTCCTGGAAAACAATTCTTAAGTAAAATAGATTTCCTTGTTAATTATTTTTTTAGCTTTATTTATTTATAAACTAACAGTCTTCTATTTTAATGATCAGTTTTATGAATTTTGGTGATTATACACAGTTGTATAACCACTACCACAATCAAAATATAGAACAGTTTTATTCCCTTTCAGATGTTTTCTTCCCTTTTTATTGTCTTTCCTCAACCATTGTCTTTAGATATATAATACTGATCTGATTTCTGCCATTATAGTTTTGTCTTTGCTAGTATTTTATATAAATGTAATCAAACAGTATATAGTAAACTGTCCTTATATATGGGTGTGTGTGTGAGGGATACAATCCAAGACCTCCAGTGAATGCCTAAAACCATGGCTGTTAACAAACATATATATATATATATGTTTGTGTGTATACACACATGTATATATACCCTAAATGTGTGCGTGTGTATATATATATACACACACACTATATATATATACACAAACACATAAATACACACACTAAGTGTATATATATACCTAGTATATTTATATATGTAAACATATATAGTACAGTATATGTATAGTGTGTGTATGATTTATATATTATAAACTATATATAGTTTATAACAGGTCTAATAAGAGATTAATAAAAATAACTAATAATAAAGTGGAATAATTATAACAATATAGTATAATAAAATTATGTGAATGTGGTATCTCTGTCTTGCTCTCTCAAAATATCATATCATACTTAAGTGCAGGTAACTGAAACTGCAGAAAACAAAACCATGGATAAGGGGGACAAACGTATATTCTGTTTTTAACTTATTTTACTTAAAATAATGCTTTTGAGATTTATGTATATGGATAAATGTATTAGTAATTTTTCCCCTTTTCATTACTGTAATATAAAATAAACCAATTTGGACCATGTGTTTTGGCCCGTAGGTTGTTTGTTTCTTCAGGGCACTCTGAGATCCATTAGCACAAAAGCCTACTGACACCACATTCGAATTTTTACACATGTAATTGTTTTTTAAAACAGCCAAACAAGCAGAGTTTTTAGTCATTTAGGGTCTGCTTGCTTTGCATATTCTGCAAAACTACACTCAACATCTGTTGGTCATTGATAACCTAGAACCGTTTGGTTATAAGACCCCAAATGACCATTGCCATTCAGAGGTCATTGGTAACTTACTAAGAGACTCCCCTGCTGCTGAATGACAATACCTAGACATGTAAGCTCTCGCTCTGATTCCCCTTTGCCCCCAGAGTTCTCTGTCTACATGGTGTCCCTCACCTTAAGCCTCTGGACAGTTTCATGATATAAGAGACCGCCCCTCTCTTGCAGTTCTGTCCAAACATCAACCAATAAAGCTTGTTCTGTTTTACTGACTTATTGATCATATGTATTTTCTTGATCACTTCCCAAATCCTGTAGAACCCCTACAATTATAAGATAGTATTCTGTATCATAGATATTAGCACATTTTCTTTATTAATTAAGTGATGGACATCTGTTTCCAGTTTTTGTCTTTTATCCATAATGCTGCTTTAACATTTACATACCAGTCGGCTGGGTGCCGTGGATCACGCCTGTAATCCCAACACTTTGGGAGGCCGAGGTAGGTGGATCACGAGGTCAGGAGATCGAGACCATCCTGGCTAACACAGTGAAACCCCGTCTCTACTAAAAATACAAAAAATTAGCAGGGCGTGGTGGCGGGCGCCTGTAGTCCCAGCTACTTGGGAGGCTGAGGCAGGAGAATGGCTTGAACCCAGGAGGCAGAGCTTGCAGTGAGCCGAGATCATGCCATTGCACTCCAGCCTGGGCAACAGAGCAAGACTCCGTCTGAAAAAAAAAGAAAAAAATGTACATACAAGTCTGCAGACATATGTTTCCATTTATTTTTGAAAAAATACAGAAAATGTGCCTAAGTCATATGGAAAATATGTTTAGCTTTAAAAGAAAATAACCAAATTGTTCCCCAAAGTGGCTATACCACTTTGTATTTCATTAAGAATGCATGAGCTTTACGTGTTCCACATTATCTTCAGCAAATGCCATTGTCAGTTGTTTCTGTTTTTGTTTTAACTTTAGCAAGACTTGTGGGTGGATAATGGGATCTCATTGTGGTTTCTCTTTGCATTCTCTGAAGATTGTGATGGGAGTATCTGTTCATGAGCTCATTGGCCATGCAGATATCTTTATATATATATATATATATATATATAGTTTTTTATATATATAGTTTATATATATATAGTTTAAGTTCTGGGATATCTTCTTTTTAAAGTGCTTGTTCAAACAATTTGCTTTTTCAAAAATGGATTGTTAGTTTTATTAATGAGTCATGTGAGTATTTTTTATTCTGGATGAAAAACATTTGTTAAATATATATTTTACATTATTTTCTCTCAATCTCTGACATGCCTTTTCATTCTCTCAACTGTATCTTTAGAAAAGCACATAAAGTTCATTCTAGTAAATGTTATCTCTTATAGTTTGTACCTTTTTGGTCTTTGTAAAGAAATTTGTACCTTACCAAATAGCACAAAGCTTTCTACCTTTTTTTTTTTTTTTTTAGAAATTTAAGAGTTTTGGCTCTTACATTAAGTCTGTAGTCTATTTCATGTTAATTTATGGGGGTAGTATGAAATATGGATCTAGGCTCATTTATTTTTCCATACAGTTATCTAATTGGTCTAGCCCTATTTTTTGAAAAGACTATCTTTTCCCTGTTAAATTATCTTGGCACATATTCCAAAAATCAATTTACTGCTTAAACATGAATCTATAATTTGTAATTTTTAAATGCTTGTTTTCTGACCCTAGCAATCCATCCTCTACACTGCTGCCCTATTGACACATATAAAATAAAAATATTGTCATCCCACTCTCCTACTTAGAATATTTTAGTAATTTCATACTCCCAACAGAATAAATTCAAGGCACACTCACATTGTCCAAAATACCCTTCACAATTTTGGATAGTAGAGGGGGGCCTATTGAAAAGAAAGGTATACAATGTGCAAGGACACAAAAGGTGTGTTTTTTACCCAAAATTTATCCAAAAGTATGGTAAATTTTTGAGATTCCCAAGACTTTTGTATTGCTGCAATATAGGAAATTAGGTGACATATATTCATCTAATCAATAAATTTTTTTTATTTTTTTTTCTTTTCCCAGTGTCTTCTTTCTATTCATCTTTATATCTTAGCTTCATGGTCTAGTTCAGTGCAACTACACGTATCATTCTCTGGCGGGCATCTTCAGCATCACATGGTAGTTTGTGTCAAGAGACAAAATTACAATAAATTTAGTTTAAAGATCTTAATTGTCTTTTATTTGCAACTCTAGAATCATGCAGCAACTCATTCTGTAAGGCAGAATGTGTATTCAAATGAGCCGATCTGGGGAGGTTGGTTTTATAGACAGAAAAGGGCAGAGGAAAGCAGAAACAGAAAACAAAATGTCATTTAAAAGTTACTTTTCTTGTACAACTCAAAGCAGAGGGGATTTGGGGATTTCTTTATCCAGTTTTCACTGGCCTGTTTCGATATTTGACTGTTTCTCTCTCTTGATTTTTTGGAAGGTCAAATAATTTAGTTTCTGCTTGGTGGCCTGGAACTTCAGAATGAGTGATTCCATTTTGGTTTGGTTTGTTGGGCCTAGTGCAGGAGCTCAGTCCAGACCAATGACCTCCTATACATTTTGTTTAACATTTGTTAGTGATGCAACATCTCAGGCCCCACCCAAGAATAACCGAATCAGAATCTCTGAGGGAGACATGAAGAATCAGTGTTGTAATAAGCCGTTCTAACTTATTAATATGCATGCTTATTGTTTGGTATGACCTGTATGTTCTGTTCCTTTAGCATTTCTTTTATAATGTTAAGATTTCTTACGCATGGTCGCCCATGTTTAAATGTCTTAAAATATTAAATATTTTGATTACAAGAAAACATATTCAGAGACATTTGAAATTCTTGAAAGTAGTTACTAATTATCTGTCAACTGTCAGTACTAAGTATGCTAAATAAACAGATATGGTTTTCACTCGAGTGACGCTTTACTGTTCATTTCCTGAAGTTTAAAAACATACCACGTGAATTCTTAAGATAAAATCAGGAAAAAGAGAAAAAATTCTGGGAGATGTATTTTGAAAGTTCATATCAAACCGTAACAATCCTCTTTTTAATGAAATATGACAACAATCATAAAAATTTTATCCTTTAATATGTTAATGTTGTAAATTACATTAATATATTTTCTAGTGTTGAATGGTTCTTAGTTGAAATCTTCTTGGCTACCATGTATTTTTAATTTTTCTGTTATTCTGTTAAATTTTATTAATTTAATTCATGAAAAGCTCGTGATTAGGTAATATATTTATGTGATTCAAAAACAAAACTATTTTTAAAATATATTCTGAGAAACATCACTCCATCTCTGTCCATTCACTTCATTCCACAATTTTTATTAGTTTCTCATTTATTCTTTCACATTTTATGTAAATAAAAGCAAATATGTTTCTACTTAGCACCTTCCTAATCTTATAAAATGTGGCATAATATGTCCATGATTATGCATCTTGTTTTTTCTTTCTCTTAACAAAAATATTCCCCAAGTCTCTCCATACCTGGATTTAGAAAATATTTTAACTGTGTACTTCTTTACTAAATAAAAGACAATTTATTTTGCCGGACTCTTATTGCTGGATACTTAAATTGTTTCCAATCATTTGTTATCCTGAAGCATGCCACACTTACCAACTTCGTGTGTGTGTGTGTAATGTATATAACATATATGTTACCTATATATAACATATATAACATATATTACATATATAATATATATAACATATATTACATATATTACATATATAACATATATAACATATATTACATATATAACATATATTACATATATAACATATATTACATATATAACATATATTACATATATAGCATATATTACATATATTACATATATTACATATATAGCATATATTACATATATAACATATATAATATATATAGCATATATTACATATATAACATATATAATATATATAGCATATATTACATATATAACATATATAATATATATAGCATATATTACATATATAACATATATAATATATATAGCATATATTACATATATAACATATATAATATATATAGCATATATTACATATATAACATATATAATATATATAGCATATATTACATATATAACATATATAATATATATAGCATATATTACATATATAACATATATAATATATATAGCATATATTACATATATAACATATATAATATATATAGCATATATTACATATATAACATATATAATATATATAGCATATATTACATATATAACATATATAATATATATAGCATATATTACATATATAACATATATAATATATATAGCATATATTACATATATAACATATATAATATATATAGCATATATTACATATATAACATATATAATATATATAGCATATATTACATATATAACATATATAATATATATAGCATATATTACATATATAACATATATTATATATAGGATATATTACATATATAACATATATAATATATATAGCATATATTACATATATAACATATATAGCATATATTACATATATTACATATATAACATATATAGCATATATTACATATATAACATATATAACATATATAGCATATATTACATATATAACATATATTATATGTATATAACATACATAACATATATTATATATTACATGTATATAACATATATGTTATATATTACATGTATATAACATATATAATATATATTATATATTACATATACATGTAATATATGTGTATATATGTAATATATGTATATATATGTAATATATATATGTGTATATATATATGACCCAATTTTTTAAATTCCACGATTGGAATTTCCAGGTCAAAGGGTAAATGCATCTGCAATTTTGGTGAATATTTTCAGATATCTACCTTCTTCAACGGAACTGTTTCATTGTGTATGAGCTGGCCTCATAGATACAGCAGTTTTCAATTTTTTGGATAGTTTGTTAGTTTTAGAATAAATGTGTTCCTTTTTATATATGTGCAATTTGATATATTTTCATACATTTGTCCAATCAACTATCTGTTCACATTCTTTGACTATTTTTCCAATGGGTTATTTGTCTTTCACTGTTGATTTCTAGAAGTCGTGTTTTGTTTTGTTTTTTTTACTAAAAGAGAGACAAATCCCAAGTTTGTTCTGAACAACTAGATAGAGAAAATTTGGAAAAGGTGGAGGTTTGTGGAGAAGGCAAGTAGAAATTAAGAGTTTGATTTTTGACATGTTAAATTTGAGATATCTGTGAGACATTAAAAGTAGATGTAAATTAGGCCGTTGGATGTTCCAATTTGGAACTCGAAGGAGAAAAGTGGGCTGCTGATATAAATTTGGTATTCATTAGCATATAGATGGTAATGAAAGTTCTGGGAATGGAGGAGCTCATCTAGGACAAAAAGGTAAAAGAGAGTGGAAAAAGAGACCAGAACTGTTCCTTAAGACACTTAAATATTTACAGTGGGCAGAGCAGCACTTCACTAAGAGGTCAGAGATACTGATTTCCCCAGGTACTGGATTAGCCAGGCTGAGCCTATACCAGCTGGATCCCCTGGGCCAGCTGCCTCTGAGAAATGGAGACTCTATTAATGACTCCGCCAATGGAAGTTAGAGCAGTGGGCTCTGATGGTATACCCTACAATCTATATAAATGGGGAGCATGAGGAAGACATGTTCACTTGCTAATCCTCTACACAGGCTGAATGCAGTTAAGGAGATGCCTGACCACCCAGACGCTCTATTTGAGCAGCTAGCTATGGTTTACAACATGGTTCATTTTGAGCAAAATATCATGCTCCAGATCCCAAGAAAACAAACTGACTTTGACCAGCTTCTTGTTAACTCTCCATCATTTACATGTATATTTATATATAAATATGCTTTTCTCCAGTATTTTAAAGAACGAGAATTATTTAATAGAGCATATAGTGAAGTTAATGTTACAAATATTCAGGAAATGAACTGATATCATGAAATATATATGTGAAAGTTTTAACTGTTATTTTCATTGTTGAAACTAAATGTGAGTTTTTTTTTCTTTTTGGTTATCTGTGTTTTTGTTTTGGTTCTTCTAATAATCAACACATATGTACTACACATGTAAAATAAGTTACTTTATGTATTTAAGCTAGCAAAAGGGAGAACTAGGAGCAATGCTCATTCTCTGTGAATTTATTTTTAAAATAAAAACATATAAACAGTTTTAAAATTGATAAATTAGATGTAACTACATTATTGGCCTAATTATTATCTCTTCATTGTATTAGTAAGTTTTGCTATTGAAGTCTTTCAAAAATATTTTCTATTGAAATAAAATTCTCATTTGTAATTTGATTCAGTAGAAAGAGCCTGTAGTTTTTATTTCATTTTTCATTATGGGCAATGACATTTAGATCCATTTGTCATTTAAATGCAAAAGTTTTCACACAGAATTACCTCAGTTAAAGTGCAGTTTTAATTAATTCAATTGCATCAGCCACCTCTTGCCCACATCACCTTACCCTGCTAGGAGGTGCTATTACAGAAATGCAAACAATATTGCAAAACAAGATCAGAAAGTGATTTGCTGGGGGCAAGGTGAGGAACGTACTTGGGATTTGGGGATGAGAAGAGCCTTTCCTTGTGGTTACCTAGAGTAGCAAAGATTAAAATGTGTTGCCTTGGGCAGCCTGTGGCTCTTTCTTCTTAAAATCTAACTTTTCAAAGGCTTTGGCATCTCATTACCACACATATGTGTAGTTCTCCAATTGCCTCCCTTTTGGAATATCTCATTACCTCACTTCGTTTATATATCTAACAAAATCCCCTTTAGTTATGTACATCTCATTACTCTCTGGCCAAGGTTGACCTTGACACCTCTGGACCTTATTTGTCTTGCAATATGTAGCTGTTAATGATTCATTTCCATCTGTGTCATTTATTAAAACATTTAAAGGCATAACTACATAAGAAATCTGCCTTCATTTTATAGGTTTGCCCTTTCAAATTTAAGAATGAAAAGCATATTTATTTCACTCGAGTAGTTTGTCTACAATTTGAGTGAGTTACCACCATGTGATGTTTAACCAGATACAATATCAGTAACTTTTGCTGAACCATTCTCTGACGCATTTAATAAAATACATTGATGGTGTAGTTAGTAAAGTGAATAGGATAGATCCAGGCTACTAATAATTCATAAAATAATTATGATATTAAAATACATGCCTTGGGCCGGGTGCGGTGGCTCACGCCTATAATCCCAGCATTTGGGAGGCCTAGGTGGGCCAATCACAAGGTCAAGAGTTCAAGACCAGCCTGGCCAACATGGTGAAACCCCATCTCTACTAAATATACAAAAAATTGGCTGGGTGTGGTGGTGGGCACCTGAAATTCCAGCTACTTGGGAGGCTGAGACAGGAGGATTGCTTGAACCCAGGAGGCAGAGATAGCAGTCTGCCGAGATCACCCTGATGCACTCCAGCCTGGGCGAGAGGGTGAGAATCCATCTTAAAAAAAAAAAATGCCTTAACTGCTAGATGCCTTATAATTGCTGATGAGTGGGTAATATAGTCAATTAAAGGGTAATGAAAGCAATGCACTAATGGAGGATTTTTATATGCCATATTATCCCATAACACCAGCATAATACATTTGTAGCCCAACTTCTCCAAATACCACAAACATCCCTTCTTCAGATACAAAACTGGAACACACTGTTCTGTAACTTTAAATCTAATTTACAATTAGAGATAAAATACAATATTAAAAGCAGATATAAAATTATTTTTTCAGGTTCCTTTATTCCAATAATGTGTCTTAAAAGATTAAAATTATATCAACTATATCAATGGGTCGCAACTTTATTTCTCCTTAAAATACAATTTTTAACGTTGTAACATATAAGCATTCCCTAAAACATCCTTTGAGAGATTTTGGGTGCCTCCTTTCAGAAAATCACTTATGTAGCTAAAACAGGAGTAGCTTAATTTGGACCATATATGACCTACTGATTGGAAGTTTCATTCAAATGTACTAGATAGATGGCTCATTAATCTCTGAACTAGGTAAATGCTACTGCCACAGCACCATCTCCAACCCAATTCCAGGAAATGTACATTAATGTCTACTGAAATTCAATAGGAGGAATTCCTACCTAATTAAGGCATCAGTCTGATATTAGTGATCCCATTTGGAAAGCCCTGAATGTTCAAGGATATTCAGAGATTTAGGGAGTTCCATGGATGTTTTAGACCTCTCTCATCCACCATTTCTCCAACCTAAGCTCCTTGGTAATTGTGTAACAGAAAGTAAGGGAATTTTCTCGTCTTTTATCAATTTCAAACCTTGCGTCCACCACAAATACTACTTACAGCTGCATCAATAATGGGTTTTGCTGCCCCTCAGCTTTAAACCATCAAAATAGATTTTCCCAAACAATGGGAAAGGCTGTTTATGACAATATCACCCAGGCTCTTCCTCCTTAAATGCCTATATCTGCCTTTGTATGTAATTAGTCCTGGGTAAGGTAAATTAATCCATATGGCATTGAGTGTTACTGACAATCAACACTATGATGATCCAAGGCTACGGTAGGCAGAGTCTTCTATGCCACAAGAACAGAGTAAGATCCAAAGTCTTTCAGATGTAGACCCAAAGTAGAAAGAGAGCAAAGCGTTGTTCTATTAGCTGGCAGGCTGGCAATAACACTACTTTGGCAGGACACGGGGCTGTGTTCTAAAACCAAAACATAGACTACAGTGAGAATTGATGGCCCTAAATCAGACCAGTGAGTTTCAACCTTCTGAAAGGAATGGACCTTGTCTAGTTTACTGCTGTGTACATAGTTCCGAAACTACTATATTTGCTTGAGTAGGGTGTTAAATGATATTTATTAATTGATGGTATACAAACATGTATGATGTACATTCCCTGGGCAAAGACATCCCAGTAGAATGAACTTCTGCTACATTTATTCATAATTTCTGAATATCCCAGGGCAAACTAAGAATATATCTACATTTTAAAACCTTCTTCTTACAGCTCTATCATACTCTTATGGAAATGAATATTTTCATCAAAGTGATGCAATTACTCTCTGTTATCAACCTCTCATTTACTTCTGTAAAAATATCGGTCCCTGTTCATTAAAGACTGTTCCTTCTCTACAAATCCAGGCACTTAAAACAATCTTCTTGGTTTGTGTTTGATTTGGAAAACAGCTTTGAGAATGTTTCACGTCTAACTATACCACTAGATACCCACAGATCGATGGCCAGAGAGAATGTTTCAGCTAATAACCAGAACATGTGAATAACTAAGAACTCTTCAACTTAATTTTATAGACTGTACATGGTGTGATGTTGGATTTGATACTAAATAAATCTCATCATAATAATACCAGATAGAAATTATTTTCAATGTTATTATATATCTAATTAATCATTTACTTTTTATATCATTTATATCCAAACTTACAATGAGAAAGAAATTAGAAATTATAATGACTTGTCAATGCTCTGTTGGTGGCCTTAATAAAAATTATTTAATTCATAGTTTGGGTTTATTATTAATACTCAAAAATTAAAAAAAACAAATTAAAAAATAAGTGCCATCTCCCTTGGTGTATAACTTCTACTTAGTTTACACGTTACTACTTCATGGATTCTTTCCCTGAGTGTCTACAGTATTAGAAAAGTGACTTTTTAATGCATCTCCATATTGCTAGTAACCTTTTCTACTGAAAAATAAAGAAGCAGTGGGCTTTAAAAGATATTTTACCTAAGGCTAGCATAATTTGAAGCATGAAATCCATTTTTATTTTTTATCATTTTGACAAGTGAACTTTAGGAGGGCAAAAACAATTTTTAACAAGTAGAGAAACTGCTTAGATAGCATTAGAAGAAAAATTATGCTGTGCTATTTTGTTTATTCTTCAATATTTCATGTGTCACTGTCATTAAGCTTGACAGACTTGAAGCAAGCAGTATTTTTAAAGGGTACATTTTACTGCTTCCTAAACAAAAAAAATCAGTTTTTGGACAGCACTATTTATTTTCAAAGTAAAGGACAGTTATATATAACAGACTGAGTAACTTAACAAAATATTCTGATTTATTTGTTTCTTGATACAAAGGTTTAATTTTTGAAGCTTGAATGATGAGAAGTTATTAATTCTAGCCATTATAATGTATTTATTTGCTTATTGAAATGTAATATAAAATTTCACCATCACTCCCTGCCCTTAAAAGAATGCCTGGTTTCTTTAATGCAATATTTCAAAACTAATGAGTCTTATTTTTGGCAAGACACATCTGCATTTATTCTGAATAAAAGCTTCAAATGATATTTTTAAAGAATGATTTAAAATTCTTGTACTTTATATATGTTGTCAGCCTTGATCACGTAAAAAAGTAAATTTATATTCATAGCTAAATCAAAGACAGTGCCCATATTATTTTTTGCTGCTTTTAATATTAATCCTGCTTTTGTATTCTCAGTGAATAACCATGTGTCTTTCCATATAGTTTAAATTGAAATTAAATATTTTGCAATTAAAACCAATTATTATTTATTTCAATTTTTATGAACACCAGAATATATAGAATGATAATAAACATAATATAGTACTTTGGGTCATTTCTAAATTCACTGGATTATGCTATATGGAAATCATGTTAATGAGTGTGAAAAAAATAAATCTTTTAGTGGAATTTGGTAGATACAGTATAGTGTTCTGTTCTCATCATAATTATAATCAATATCTATATGTATATCTACCAATCAACAAATGTATCAAGATCCAGAAAATTTCATATTCTGTGCAATATATGCTATTTATATTTGCATATATCAATATATTTGAAAAACCTTTAATTAGACTGACAAAGAAAAAATAGTAGACACAAACTATCAATAGCAGAAGTGGAAGAGGGCTATCAGTGCAGACCCTACAGACATTTAATAAAAAAAAAAGAATAATATGAAAAATATAAACACATAAATACAAGTTATATGTAATGAACCAATTACTTGAAAGTCCCAAATTATGAAAATTGACTTACAAAGAAATAGATAAGGTCAATTGTTGTATAATAATTATAGGAATTTAAATTATAGTTCAAAACATTCTGAAAATGACAGTTTCTAGCACCAAGTTGTTTCACGGGAACATTTAAATAAGAAATAAACCTACATTTAAATAAGAAATATTATCGATGCTATACAATCTCTTCCAGATAGTAGAATTAGAGTGAATATTCATAATTCATTTTATGAGGCTATTAGCACCCAGATAGCACAAGAAAAGAGAACTCTAGCCAAATATTTCTTTTGAATCTATATGCAAATTATTCTCAACCTAACACTAGTACATAAAATCTAAAAATATATATAAGAAATAATATACCATGCCCATGTGCAATTTATCCAGGAAAAACAAGACTAGCTCTGTATTAAAAAAAACTCAATTAGGCTGGGCGTGGTGGCTCACGCCTGTAATCCCAGCACTTTGGGAGGCCGAGGCGGGCAGACCGCAAAGTCAGGCTAACACAGTGAAACCCCGTCTCTACTAACAGTACAAAAATTAGCCAGTCATGGTGGCATGCGCCTGTAGTCCCAGCTGCTGGGGAGGCTGAGGCAGGAGAATGGTGTGAACCCGGGAGGTGGAGCTTGCAGTGAGCCGAGATTGTGCCACTGCACTCCAGCCTGGGTGACAGAGCGAGACTCCATCTCAAAAAAAAAAAACAAAAACAAAAAACACATGCAATGTAATCCATCGTATTTGCAGACTAAATTTCAAACCATGTGATCATATCAATTGATGCAGAAAAAGCATTTGACAAAATTCAACATCTATTCACCAAAACAAAACAAACAAAACAAAAAGGAACTCAACAAACTAGAAATAAAGAGGAACTTCTTTAGCTGATAGGCATCTAAAATGAAACAATAGGTAACATCACATCTTATGATGAAAGTCTAAATGGTTTCTTCCTAAGATTTTGATGTGGTAGATAGAAATCTAAAATGGCCTTTGAGATTCCTGTTCCCTGCTGTACACACCTTAAATATTCTACTGCCATGGAGGGTGGGTGAGAACAGACAATATAATGGCACATCACTCCTGTGATTACATTACTATTAGTTAACTGAGTTTATCAAAAGGGAGATTATCTTAGCAAGGCCTGACCAAATCAGGAGCCCTTTAAATGAAGGTGGAGAGTCAGAGAGTTGTTTTCCTTGCCTTGAAGAAGTAAACTGGCATTTTGAGACAGCAAGGATGGAAGGGGCCATGTGGCAAGAATTTGAGGACAGGTTCTAGAAGGTGAGAGCAATCTTAAGCAGACAGCTAACAAGAACCAGGGACTTCAATCACACAACCTCAAGAGACAAAATTCTGGCAACAGCCATATGTGAGTTTGAAAGAGAACACTGCACCTGAAATGAGATTCTAGCCCCAGTCAAATCTATAATTTCAGCATAGTCATATCCTGAGCAGGGGAACCAGCTAAGCCATATTCAGACTCCTGGCCCATGGAAGCTTTGTGATTAAAAATATCTGTGTTGCTTGAAGCTTCCAAGGCATTGATAATTACTTATATGGCAAGAAAACTTAAACACAGTGGGGAAAATAAGGCAAGGATGTTCATTCCCCCAACTTCTATTCAAGGTCAAGCTGGAAGTCCTAGCCAAAGCACTAAGGCAAGAAAGATAAAAATAATTCTGATTGAAAATTTGAAATAAAATTGATCCTAAATAGGCTGGGCATGGTGGCTCATATCTGTAATCAAAGCACTTTGGGAGGCCAAGGCAGGCAGATCACTAGGTCAGGAGATCAAGACCATCCTGGCTAACACAGTGAAACCCCATCTCTACTAAAAATACAAAAAAATCAGCCGGGCATGGTGGCAGGCACCTGTAGTCCCAGCTACTAAGGATGCTGAGGCAGGAGAATGGCATGAACCTGGGAGATGGAGCTTGCAGTGAGCCGAGATTGTGCCACTGCACTTGAGCCTGAGCAACAGAGCAAGACTCCGTCTCAAAAAAAAAAAAAATTGATCCTATTTATAGACCAGGATTGCCTATGTAGAAAATCCCAAATAATCTTTCAAACAAACCCATAAACTCACTCCTAGTGAGAGATTAAGGCAGCTGGGCTTCTGTGTCAGGTGGGGACTTGGAGAACTTTTGTGTCTAGCTAAAGGATTGTAAATGCACCAATCAGCACTCTGTGTCTAGCTAAAGGATGTAAATGCATCAATCAGCACTCTGTAAAATGGACCAATCAGCAGTCTGTAAAATGGACCAATCAGCAGGATGTGGGCGGGGTCAAATAAGAGAATAAAAGCTGGCCACCCAAGCCAGCAGCTGCAACCTGCTGGGGTCCCCTTCTGTGCTGTGAAGCTTTGCTCTTTAGCTCTTTGCAATAAATCTTGCTGTTGCTCACTCTTTGGGTCTATGCCTCCTTTATGAGCTGTAACATTCACCGTGAAGGTCTGCAGCTTCACTCCTGAAGTCAGCAAGACCACGAACCCATCGGGAGGAATGAACAACTCCAGACGCACCGCCTTTATGAACTGTAACACTCACCACGAAGGTCTGCAGCTTCACTCCTGAAGCCAATGAGACCAAGAACCCACAAGAAGGAAGAAACTCCGGACACATCCAAATATCAGAAGGAACAAACTCTGGACACACCATCTTTAAGAACTATAACACTCACTGCAAGGGTCCGCAGCTTCATTCTTGAAGTCAGCGAGACCAAGAACCCACCAATTCCAGACACACTAGAACTAGTAAAACTGAGGTTAACACCATAGGTTAAAAGTTAACATACAAAATAAGTTTCTTTATGCTAACAATATACAACTGGAAAGCAACTTAAAAATACAATACCATTTATAATAGCTTACATAAAATGAAATACTTGAGTATAATTCTAAAAATATGTACAAGATTTGTACACTGAAAACTAAAATGCTGATGACATGAAACAAACAAGAACCAAAGAAATCGTTAGATTTATTATGTTCATGAATTACAAAGATAGATATTGTTAAGTTGGCAATTCTTCCATAATTGATCTATAGATTTAATGCCATTACAATCAAAATTCCAGCAGGATTTTAGTAGATATAAATAAGCTGATTCTAAAATGTATATAGAAAGTCAATGAAATATTAAAAACCAAACGGTTGTATAAAAAGTATATGTAAAAAAGTATAAAGTTAGAGGACTCACACTAGATGGTTTTTGAGACAGTAATCAATACAGTGTGGTATGGGTGAAAGGATAGGTATATAGATCAATGGGCCACAATAGAAAACAGACTCTGAAAATAAACACTAATATGGCCCATTGATTTTGACAAATATGCAAAAATTAGTCTCCAACAGATGGTGCTGAAACCATTGGCAAACCATATATAGGCAAAAACAAATGAACCTCAAGCTTCACATCTTATTTCGAAAGTTAACTCAAAATGAATCATAGATCTTAAGGTACAATAGTAAATCATAAGAAATTATTGGAAGAAATCTTTGAGACCTGGGGTTAAGCAGAGTTCTCAGATACTACACGACATTGAAAACATGACGCATGAAACAAAACATTGATAAATTGTATGTTGAGAATGAAATAACAAGATACAAATGGGGAAAATATATACAAATTACTTACCTGAAAAAGTCTTCTATACAGAATTTATAAAGTACTGTCAAAATTCAACAGTCAAAAAAAAAACCAACAACAAATTTTAAAAGATGGCAAGGAGGCATCAAATGAAAAGATGTTGAACATAATTAACCATTAGCAAAATACAAATTTAAACCACAATGAGACACCACTAAACTATTATTAGCAAGGAACATGCACACACATATGCAAATATTAGCAAGTGTTGGCAAGGATATGGAGCAGAAGCTGGAACTCGGATATATTTCTGTTGGGAATGAAAGTGAAAAATGCCACAATCACCCTGTAAAGCAGTTTGGAGCTTTCTTGTAAAGTAAAATCTACTTTTATAAATAACACAGCAACTCCACTCTGGGGTACTTACTATAAAAATATGAAAAAATCTTCAAAAAAACCCTGTATACGAATGTTTATGTCAGCTCTATTTACATTTACCCAAAACTTGACACAACCTAAATGTTCTTTAATGAATGAATAGATCAACTATGGCATAATCCTGCAATAGAATACTACTCGGCAATGAAGAGGAACAAATGATTGAACATGCACAATGTGGAAGAATTTCAAGTGAATCATAACAAAAGAAGCCTGTCCCCAAAATTAACATACAGTAAAACTTTATTTATATAACATTCAGGTAAGGGTAAAACTATGAAGATGGAGAACAAATCATTGGCAGCCAAGAGTGATAGGGGAAAGTAGTAACTCAAGGGGGCAACATGATGGATTTTTTTGGAGTAATGAGACAATTTTGTATCCTTATTTTGGTAGTAGTTGCATGAAGCTATGCATGTGTTAAGACTCATAGAATTTTATATCAAAGGAAAAAGTCAATTTTTTTGACTTTAACTTTTAACTATAAATGACAGTTTTAGAAATGTAATAAGTAGACACTACACTGTCAAGATAATGAAATTTTCCTTACTTGTATGGTACCTGTTCAAGTGTTCAAATAAAAGCACTGTTTCTGCTTTTATTACTACTTTTAACTGTCACATAATAATTGTACATATTTATGGCATACAGTAGGATAGTTCAATATATGTGTATAATCTAATAATCAAATCAGGGTAAATGGCCCCATTTTGGAAACATTCCATTTAAATAAAACACCAACACCTAATCCTTTGAATATCTTTGACTAAGTAATATAATTAAAATAGATTCTTTATGGACAAGAAGAAAAGTGTGTCCAGACTGATGCCTACTGTTACATCTCACTTCTTTGTTCTAAGAAAACAAAATCAAATCTAACAGGTAATAATTTTGAAGGAATCACTAATTCAAATGACTTCAAAACTGATTGTGTAATAGGAAATAAAAATTTATACCCATAGCATAGTATATGAAAATGTATTCAGGCAGTCTCTTCTTTTTTGCCATATGAGAAATAAAACCATTAAATGTGACATATGGAATTAAAGCTATATTAAAATGCAAATATCCATCTTATAAATTATTTCCCATAGAAAGGTGTAATATTTGATGTCTACAGTCTTGACAGGTAAGATCAACAAAATGCCATGAAACAAAAATAATAAGCCAATTTGTTGAAGCTAATAAAATTTTGAACCAACATGCACAAAATGAGCGTAAACATATTCTCAGTTTTGATTTCACAAAGGCTCAGATGTACTCTAGTCTAAATAAATCTGCACTTTAAAGAAACTTAGAAAACTAACATGGTATGTATAACAAAATGGGTAAAATTTTAATAAAATATCTATTATTTTATACCATCTGAGAACTTGGCACAATTCTTGGGGCACAGTTTGGTGGCTCAACTTCCTTTATAGTAAAAAGCCAGAAAGTTTGACGTAAAAAATCCATATATATGATAAAAAGTAAAACAGGTTTACCATATGAACCAACAAGTGCACTTCTTGATATTGACCCAACAGAGTTAAAAACTTAAGTCCACACAAACACTTGCACACAGATCAGTTTTATTCATAATTTCCAAAACTTGGATATCACCAAAGATCTCCTTCAGGTGGTGAATGGATAAATAAACTGTGGTACATCCAAATGATGAAATATTATTAGGTGATGCTGGGCACAGTGGCTCACGCCTGTAATCCCAGCATATTGGGAGGCTGAGGCAGGGAATCACTTGAGGTCAGGAGTTTGAGAACAGCCTGGCCAATATGGCGAAACCTTGTCTCTACAAAAAATACAAAATTAGCCAGGCATGGTGGTGGGCACCTATAATCCCAGCTACTCAGGAGGCTGAGGCAGAAGAATTACGTGAATCCAGGAGGTGGAGGTTGCAGTGAGCCGAGCCAAGATCATGCCACTGCACTCCAGCCTGGGCAACAGAGGGAAACTCTGTCTCAAAAAAAAAAAAAAAAAAAAAAAAGAAATATTATTAGGTGATAAAAAGAAATGATGTATAAAGCCACAAATACACATGGAGGAAACTTAAATGCATATTGGTGACAGAAGTCAATATGAAAAGACTAATACTGTATGATTTCAACTACGTGACAGTCTAGAAAAAGCAAAACTATTGAGACAGTGAAAATATTAGTGGTTACCAGGGGTTGCGTGGGGCGGGGAATGAATAAGGATAAATGAATTAGCAGAGCATAGTGGATATTTAGGGCTGTGAAAATACTCTAAATGAAACTATCATGTTGGACACCTGTCATCATACATATGTCCAAATCCATAGACTGTAAAACACCAAGTATAAACCCCAATATGAACTATGAACTTTGTTAACAATGACATGTCAATGTTTGTTCATTGACTCTAACAGATGTACCACTCTGGTGGGGGATGTGGATAATTGGGGACGCTAGGCATGTGGCGGGGAGAGAGTATATGGGGTATCTTTGAAACTTCCTGTCCTTTGCTGTGAACCTACACTGCTCTAAAAAATTAAGTCTAAAACAAGTAAAACAGAGAAATAATAAAAAAGTCTAAGACAAAAATCTTGTTTTAAACATTTTAATTTGTACCAAACTCTTGCCTATTATAGAAAAATTAGAAAATACAGAAAAAATAAATCAAACACACTGTCACATATCTTTTATGTGATATACTCTCACTCTAATTCAGTAATATTTTTAAGTAAATATGTGCTCACTCTATGCTTTTTCTTCTTCATTTAATTTTCTAAAGACCTATGGCCAATGTTATTATTAGTAATAAAAATCATCATTATCTTTTTGGTTATTCAATTTCCAACTTTCTGTTTTCATTTATAGATATTTTGTTATTTAAACAAATGTGGAAGCCATGGCTAACAAGGAGAATTATGTGATGCTTTCCTTTCAGGAGTAGTTAATTTTGGCAGTCAGTTTAGCAGGAAGCAACATTCCCATTTCCAGCCCACGATTCAGAGAACCAAAAGGTTCTCTTTCAAATATGTGTAGTTTTGATTATAATTTCCAAAAATTTAGAGCCTCATTGTGATACAAATAAAGTGAGCATATGTCAAAGATTTACTTAATTCATTAATGAAGGAACAGCGACTTGGTAAGGCAGGTCCAAAGTGAATTGGAGAGAGCACAAGTAATTATGGCAGAAAAACAGGACGCTACAATTAGATTGCTAACATAGAATCAAAGCTGGTTAATGTCCTATAGGACATTAAAGCCACAATTTTGCTGATATCATTTGAATCTCCACCAAATAAAATTCATTTGCAAAGCTACGAGAGAGGAGTCATCATTACTATAGGACAAGTATTATTTGCATACTTTTTGCTTATCTACAAATTAACATCTTTACTTTAGAGCTGTAAAATATATTAATAAGTAGTAAATGGGAAATTAAACAAAGGCACACTCACCTAGAGACATAAAGTGTCACTGCATGACCCTGACAGAATAAACAGTGATCCTCCTTGCCTATTTCTAAGTTTTAGATGTATTTTCCTAACGATTTTATATTTACAAGTTAAGGGATGAAGAGGTTCATGTGATTACAGATCTATTTTTAAATGCTACTGATAATTACGAATATGCAAAGTATTTGTAGCAAGTATGAATCTGCTGCATAGATTCTGAGGTTAAAAAATAAAAGTCATTTTCCTTAAGCAAATTAACTCTGGAATAGTCTCTGTTCACCAGCTGGTTGTGAAATTTAATCGTTATCATTTTTGCCACCACTTATCTCCTATTACCCCTTGGGCACGACGAGATGGTCCATTCAAAAACCCTTTCTTCAGTCTTTCCATACCATGTCCATAGTTTTTATCCAAAGTTTCTAATCTATAGCATCTAACATCTGGTTCACATTTAGTCATCACTGTCTGAGAGGTACTACATTTGGCTGGGGCTTAAATTCCCATTATTGGTGTAATTGGCAGCAATATGTATTCTTTCAGCCTCTGGAGAAATTCTTCCCTATAGAACCATTCCTCATAGGGCCACCATCTTTGACTCATTTTCCTCTTGCTTATCTGTGGCAATTGCAGCCCCTTTCTTGATAAGACACAACAAAACCCAAACCAAAACAAACAAACATTCCAAAATAAGACTTTTAGGATGTTTTCTTCATACCATATTGTTAATCTCAGGGTATGTGTGTGTTTGGACGATGTAGGAGGATTCGTAATAACACCAGGAGCAGGTATACTGAGAAGTGAAAGAAGGTTAAGCTTCAGAACTTCACTTTTCTGAGTCCCTTCCAAATCCCTGGAAAGACTTGAGAAATTTGTTCATGTGGCAGTCATAAGTTTCTGCAAAATTTACAAAACTAAAGAAATTTAATCACATTTGGTTAAACTACTATCCTTTCCTCTATGAACTTCTAGGTAGATTCTCTTCACATATGTGGGGGTGTGAAGGTTGCAGGGGTTGACAGAGGGACATTAGAGTAGATGATAGTATTTTAGAAATTTGGTAAAGGAGTTAAGTTTGGTGGAATGGATATATTTATTGGCTTGCAGTACTGCCAGATATATTGCTAGCATGGTTACACAGGCTAGGGAGCGGGATAGTTGCGAAGCTAAAAGCTTTCTAAATTACTACTAATAAGAGTAAATTGTGACCAACTTCGCTAGATGACAATTGAATTACCATTTTCTTTCTGTAAATGATATTGTAGAGTCATTTTTATATAAAAAGGATCAAATAGTATACAAGAAAAGCGTAAAGGAACAAATAACATTATGGAGATGGGTTAGGTAGTAAATTATGCATTTTTTCAGGATTTTGTGATGTTTTTCAGTTTTTTTTGTTGTTGTTGTGAGTTCTGGAATACATGTGCAGAACGTACAGGTTTGTTACATAGGTATACACGTGCCATGGTGGTTTGCTGCACTCATCAACCCGTCATGTACATTAGGTATTTCTCCTAATGCTATCCCTCCCCTAGCCCCCAACCCCCCAACAGGTCCCTGTATGTGATGTTCCTCTCCCTGTGCCCATGTGTTCTCATTGTTCACCTCCCACTTATAAGTGAGAACATACAGTGTTTGGTTTTCTGTTCCTGTGTTAGTTTGCTGAGAATGATGGTTTCCAGCTTCATCCATGTCCATGGGAAGGACATGAACTCATCCTTTTTCATAGCTGCATAGTATTCCATGGTGTATATGCGCCACATTTTCTTTATCCAGTCTAACATTGATGGGCATTTGGGTTGGTTCCAAGACTTTGCTATTGTGAACAGTGCTGCAATAAACATATGTGTGCATGTGTCTTTATAGTAGAATGATTTATAATCCTTTGGGTATATACCCAGTAATGGGATGGCTGGGTCAAATGGAATTTCTGGTTCTAGATCATTGAGGAGTCATTACACTGTCTTCCACAATGGTTGAACTAATTTACACTCCCACCAATGGCATAAAAACGTTCCTGTTTCTCCACATACTCTCCAGCATCTGTTGTTTCCTGACTTTTCAAAATTTGTAGTGTATTATGATTTGTTTTCTTAGTCTAAGTAAATGTTCATTTTCATACTTTATTTTGAATTCATAATTTTGTATTATTTTTCTTAAACAGGACCCTCAAAATTAATTTTTAGGACTCACAAAACCTGAGACAAGCTTTTGGCTCTCTTTAGTGTGTAGTCTGATGGGTATTTTCATATGCAGAAATTGCTTTTTGTTATTTTGAGTTTCTTATAGGACTGAAAAAAATACACATCATTTAAACAGATGATCCTGCTCCACATTATGTTTTATGTTGTCATTAACCTGCTGTTGATAGATATTCAGGCTACTTAACATGTAGTACAGTATTCTAGATATTAACAGTCATACCAAGGATTTTTAGATTTTCTTTTATCTCTACAGAATAAAGAGTCTACCTGTAGTTTGTGTAGATAAATTCAAATGAATATGTGTACACATTCTCTTGCCTCAATCTGTCTTGAAAAAAGAATCCATGGGCAACTGAGAAAAAAACATTTTAAACATACCCAGGTTGAGAATTAAAATGGTATTAAACAAGTCTTCAGAATTTCATTCCCCATGTCTACTGCTCCCCAAATGTAAAATATGTGTGACAAAAATATATCTTGGCCCATGACAGGAGCAATAGAAACTAACTATAATACATAGCTGATTTTAATTTATACATTATAGCTGATTAAATAGCTAGCTAATTTCAATAAAGTGCTAAAAGTACAATGTTAATGATATAACTCCCAAACTTGATTCTTAAAAGTTTTCTTTTAATTATTAATGCTTTCTACCCAAATAATTCAAAATTATATTGATCCTATATATGGTAATAACCATCCTTCCTATTTAAGCTGGCTCATTATCTCCAAAATTCCATTTAGGACACGTATGAGGACTTAACAAAAGTATGACAACCCACAATTATAACAACATATGAAAGTAAGAGTGACAACAATCTAATTTCAGACAATTTGCACTAATTATAAGGCCTACAAAGTGAAAAAGAAGAATCATTTTGTGAGTTAAAACTGAAAAAAATTACCCTTGGAAAGTAAACAGACTCATTTGTCTGAGAGATGGCCAGGAAATGTTTTCTCACACATTTTCTTCCTGATTTGTGGATCCACGGATTGCATAATCGAGAAAATAGAGCAGTCTTCTCTACATCATATTGATTTCAATTTATGAGGCAACAGGAATGTGTTCCCTAATCTTCCACACCCCACAAAAAATACACATGATCACATTGTACTTTTTTATTCCTATATTGCAAAATTTTAGTGCAAATAATGAATACCTCAGGACTAGGAGAAATAACAGCTTCACATTACATCTTAGCAGATGGTCCACAAGTGCAACCAACTAAATGTTTATGTCTCCCCATATTTCAAATGTTGACATTCTAACCCCCAATGTGATGGTGTTAGGCAATGGGGCCTTTGGGAGGTAATTAGGTCATGAAGTGGAGTCCTCATGAATGGGGTTAGTGCTCTTATAGAAAGAACTTCAGAGAGTTATCTCTTCCCCTTTACACCATGGGAGAATGCAACAAGAAGTTAGCAATCTGCAGCGGTAAAGAGGGCCCTCGCCATGCTGGCATCCTGGTCTTGGGCTTCTAGTCTACAGAAGTGTGAGAAATAAATTTCTTTTATTTGTAAGCTACCCAGTCAATGCTACATTGTTATACCAATTCCAGTTGACAAAGACACCAAATAAGTAATATATTTAAGGAGAGGGAAAGAATGAACAGTACTGCATCTTGTAAAATATATTCTCCCTTGTATTTCATCATTTCAAAGTTTTATATAGAAATAATAGAGTGAGTGAAGATAATATTGCAACCCAATGAAGCTACAGGAAGTGAATGGCTATGAAACACTAAACATGGGGATAAGGGCTGGGACCTTTCTTCAGTTCTGCAGGGATCGACAGAAGAGTCAGGTTTTATTAATTCTGATTGTGGTGTTTCTAGGGATTTGTTTTTAAATTGAACATTCTGCCATTTCAGTTGTTTATACAGAAAATAAGGCTATGCAATAATTTTTCTTGTATGCACTGGCCATGCCATCTATGGGACTGTTCTATCTTTCATTTTGCTCCCTGTCTGCTTCGTTCTCAGCCTTCCCTCTGATACTATACGAGAGGACTAGTCCAGGGTTCAGGGCCAAGCACAAGCTACATATCCTAAATTTTGGGCAACATTGATACTGGGAGAACTCTTTGTTTCATCAAGCCTGAGTCTTAAAGAAAAGAAAGACTTATGGAGGGCCTCTAAAAAGCATTTTCTCCTAAAAGAAAAATATAAAATAAAACAATCCTGAAGATGTAGAGGCCTACCTCCAAAAAGTATTTTGTACATAAAGAGAAGAAATTATTTAAGAAGTAAATTGGCAATGGTATTGATTTGAGCAAAGCCTCGGCTGCTGTAACTATAAATCTCTGATGCACAATAATTAAAACGAAGGTTTCTTTCTGATGTGACAGTACAGCCAATCTACAGCGGGAGTCAGCAGTCTACCACAGGGTTATTTAGGAACCCAGGTTTCTGCCATCTTGTTGTTCTGCCATTGTTATACTTGGTTCCATGGTTGAAGGCCATTGCCATGTTCACACTGCAGACTGCAGGAAGGTAGAAAAGATATGGCCCAAGGAACGTGAATTATGTATATTTTAGAAATTACATGGAAGTGGAAACTCCTACTTACTCTAATCTTTTTTGCTGGAATAAAATAACACGGTCACATCAAGTTACATTTTTGGGAAATGTAGTCTGTACCTGTGCAGCCATGAGCTAAGGGAGAAAAGAATATATTTTTGTTTGTTTGTTTTGGAACAACCCAAAGGTTGTCCTTTCAGGATATAAGACAACAAACTACAGGGACCAAACAGGTTGAGATAAAGTTCAAAATAATGTTCGAGCTGGTTTAAGTGAGAAGTTGGCACAGGTAAACCCAAAGAACACGATTAACACTGGAAAATTCAATCACTAAAACAAAAGATGCAATTTAGACAAGAGTAGAAGATAAACATGATGATAGATTAGATGATAGATATTGAAGGAGGATGGAGGCAAAATAATCCAGGATCAACGTAAAAAGTATGTATGTTCTCAAACGGAAAAAAAAACAAAAATAATAAAAATATGTATTTTAAAAAATACTTTTCTAAGCTTGAAAATAGAATGGAAATACAGCTTATAACATATGAGTAAAATTAACAAGAAGAGAGACAAAGTTAGGCGAAACAATAATAAAGAAATATGTAAGCATTATGAAAAATACTAAATTATAAAAGTGGTCACTGACAATGGAAAATATCTGGTTGATATCTGCAACACTGAATCCCAGAAGATGTAAAAGGAATTTAGATAGTTAATGTTTGTAATCTAGCTTTTTCTGTTGTAAGACAAGTCACAATTCACAGAGATGAAGGTTTATAATATATATATATAATAATACATATTATATATACATATACTTCCTAAAAAAAAACCCTTGAAATAAACCAAGAGTGATACAAAATAAAGAACACATGCATGCGTTAAGACTTTATTCAGTTTTCTTTCTTTCTTTTTTTTTTTTTTTGAGACGGAGTCTCACTCTGTTGCCCAGGCTGAAGTGCTCACTGCAAGTTCCGCCTCCCGAGTTCACACCATTCTCCTCTCTCAGCCTCCCGAGTAGCTGGGACTACAGGTGCGCACCACCATGCCCGGCTAATGTTTTGTATTTTTAGTAGAGACGGGGTTTCACTGTGTTAGCCAGGATAGTCGCGATCTCCTGAACTCATGATCTGCCCCCTTGGCCTCCCAAAGTGCTGGGAATACAGGCATGAGCCACCGCACCCAGCCCAGTTTTCTTTATAAAATTCCCTAATCATAAACTTTTTTTATTTGCTTAGTTTCCATATATTATTAACTTTTGCATATACAGTTGACTTTATTAATCTATTACTATTGGTTTTTGCTGCTGCAGTAAAACATTACTACAAACTTAGCAGCTTAAAACATATACATTTATTATTTTAGTGCATTTTTGGGTCAAGTGTCCCAGCATAGCTTTGCTGGGTCTTCTGCTGGAGGTTTTCATAAAGCTACAATGAAAGAGGCAAATGGGACTCTTGTCTAATCTGAAGCTTGACTGGTGAAGGATTTGCTTCCAACATCAGGTTGTTCTTGGCACTGCTCAGTTTCTTATGGGCTGTTAGAGGATTGGGTTCCTTGACTGGAGGATACCCTTGCTTGGTTCCCTGCCACATGGGCCTTCCAGTATGCTCACATGCTTTCTTATATCCAGCAAGGGAGAGTGTCTCCTCATAAAATGGGTTGAAGTTGTATGTCATGTCATCACAGAAGTGACATCCCATGACGTTTGCCTAAATTTGTTGGTTAGTATGAAGTTACAGACTCTGCCCACACTCAAAATAGGGAAATTACACAAGATATAAATATTAAAAAGTGGGAATCCTTGGGGGCCACTTTAGATTCAGCCTGTTTACTACCCAGAATAGAATTAATCATATAGACAAATGTATTATATAATCCTTTAGATCCTTTTTTTTTTTTCCAGGAGACCTCTCTCCTGGAACTTCTTTTCCCTTAACCCCATGTTGGTTTCTTTCTTTCCCATATTCTATGTTCTTTGTTTTTTTTTTCCATTTTTATTTATCCCCTTTTTGTTAAGTACATTCTCTTAATAGCTGAGAAATTCAATTTTTGTGATTTTTCAGAAATAATCATGTTCTTATTTCTTTCTTACATTTGACTGATTATTTAGGGATACATAGAATATAAATTTAAAGTACTTCCCCTCACGTGATTGATAGTATTGTTTTGTTATGTTTTAATTTGCAGTGTTATTTTCCAGTGTTAGAGAATATACATGTAAACAAGAATTTCTGTACATTATAGTAATGTTAGTCTTTCTGGACAGTGTTCTATCAATTTATATTAAAAGTTTTTAACAAGTTTATATCCTTTGTCCTTTTCAGGATTTTTTTCCTAAGGAAATAATTAAACATTTAGTTTCACAGTAATATTCATCTTTGTCTTCTAATAGTCAAAATTTAAAAATAGTTGTAATTCTGAGTTAGAGAAGATTTGTTTAACAGCTAATCAAGTGATTAAATGCATGACCACATACATAAGCATTCACCAATTCTTATATTTTTCAAAGAATATTATTCATTGCAAAAATAGGAATCAATAATTTATATACACAAATCTATATTATGTGTAAATATTTATAGAAAAACATAAGGAAATTTTGAAGGGGCCTGCAGTGATTAGTTATCACTGGTTAGCCACTTATGCATAGACTTTACTTTTTTTTTATTTCATAAAATTTTCAAATCCTACTGAAGGAGAACAATCATAAGGAAAAATTTAAATTGAGTCCCCAGTGAGAGATAATTAAATTAAATGTTATACTTTCCTAAGTCTAGGTTGGTGTTTTTCTGCCAAGGAGCAATTCTGCCCTCACACCACCACCTCCAGAGGACACTTGGCAATGTCTGGAGGCATTTTTTACCATTTTAAGTGAAGGGTTGCTAGTAGTATCTAGCAAGGCCAAGGATGTTGCTAGATCTTCTGAAATGCACAGAATGACCCTCTGCTCCACAGGAAAAAAAAATTATCTGTTTCAAGATGTCAATAATGCCTAGGTCAAAAAACCTGCTCTAGGGGTATGTAGGGGTACATATGAAAGAAGATCTGATCCAGTAGATCTCTGTGATTTGCATTCCTAAACATGAAAGAAGCTTACATTTTAATTATCCCTTCAATGAGGACACAGTTCCATCTTTGCACTGACACCTCCACCATTTAGATAGCATCAGGGTGACAGGAGGAGCCACAGCTATACATTTTCCATTCACCTATGCACCACGTATCAGACAAAAGACAAATTTCCCATTGACAGAGTAAGCGGCTTGACTCTTGGGCAGTTTAGAAAAGAGGAAAGCCTCAAATGGAGAACACTGAACATTCTACAAATTTTGAGAGTAGAAATTTCCAAGCAATTGATTGAAAAAGTAAAATAAATGAAACCATTGACTTCTATTTAATAATTTGTACATGCTACACTCAAATATATTGTTATAATGTGAAACTAAGCATTATTAAAAATATATGTTCCTAATATTAAGTAATATTATTGAATGTTAACTAAATAATGCCTTTTAAATAAAAAAACAACCTAAATGCATCTGTCTAGTAAAGTTCCTAGCAGACAGTAAGTGCTCATTAAATATTTGTCAACTGAGGAAAGAAAGACAGCAAGAAAGCAGGAGAGTGCAAGAAAAAATATGACCAAATATGTGGAAGTTGAGCTAGGAAGTAGTCAGGCTAAAAATACAGAAATCAACTCCACAGTGAGAGTCAGATTGAAATCCAAGGTCAGCTTGAAACTAAATATGCCTTTTTTTTCTGAGCTGTTCTTTACCTGCTTCATTTATCAAAACTTTAGATCTTACTTTGATATTGCCATTTTGTCTCCTACTCCAGCATGTGTATTTCTTACTCTGGTATATTAACCCCATGCTGGTTCTAGCCTTGTTGATTTATTTTAGTATCTAAAAATCTGAGTTCATGGGACTTATCTTTACGTATAACTCAACACATCATTAGCAATTTTAGTAATAAAACTAAAACTTCTCCATATAATGATTCAAAAAATCCAGGCTTAATACAATATTTTTTAGTTAAAAGATAATTATTTAGATTGATTTTTTGAAAAATAACAGCAGAGCTAACAGAGATATTCATGAAAACAAGTATGTAATGTCATTATTTTAAGACCTAATCTGCTAAAGCTCATCATCACTGGGCATCAGAGAAATGCAAATCAAAACCACTGTGAGATACCACCTCACACCAGTTAGAACAGCAATCATTAAAAAGTCAGGAAACAACAGGTGCTGGAGAGGATGTGGAGAAATAGGAACACTTTTACACTGTTAGTGGGACTGTAAACTAGTTCAACCATTGTGGAAGACAGTGTGGCGATTCCTCAAGGATCTAGAACTAGAAATACCATTTGACTCAGCCATCCCATTATCGGGTATATACCCAAAGGATTATAAATCATGCTGCTATAAAGACACATGCACACGTATGTTTATTGCAGCACTGTTCACAATAGCAGAGACTTGGAACCAACCCAAATGTCCATCAATGATAGACTGGATTAGGAAAATGTGGCACATATACACCATGGAATACTATGCAGCCATAAGAAGGGATGAGTTCATGTCCTTTTTAGGGACATGGATGAAGCTGGAAACCATCATTCTTAGCAAACTATCGCAAGGACAGAAAACCAAACACCGCATGTTCTCACTCATAGTTGGGAACTGAACAATGAGAACACTTGGACACAGGGTGGGGAACATCATACAGTGGGGCCTGTCATGGGGTGGTGGGAAGGCGGAGGGATAGCATTAGGAGATATACCTAATGTATATGATGAGTTAATGGGTGCAGCACACCAACATGGCACATGTATACACATGTAACAAACCTGCATTTGTGCACATGTACCCTAGAACTTAAGGTATATATATATATATATAGATGTTGTTTAAAACAATTATTGTTACGCAAGTGCTACTCAGTAAATGAGTCAGCTAAACCAGTAAGGTGACTCAAAAAGTTGAGTCTTTAGGGTGGAAAAGCAAATTTTATTGCCGATTGCTCGGAATTTAATGTTGACTATGAAATTTTAAAACACCTAATTTTAAAAAGTTCAAGGTCTCAACTATAAATGAGACATTTGTAATTATTGTAATAGAATATGTGAATATTCACTTTATTTTTAACATAATCATTGAGAAAATGCAGAAACAGATAAAAATAGATTATGAACATAAGATATCATTTTACAACTTTGCAATATTATCATACGTTTTCATATCATGTTTTAGATTATACATTTTATATCAATTTTATATTGTGTTTTATATCATAGATATGTTTTATATCAATTATATTTTATATCATGTTATACATAGATAAGTAGCTATAGAGATAGACATAGAGATAGTATATTAGTCCATTCTCACACCATTATAAAGAAATACCTGAGAGTGGGTAATTTATAAAGAAAAGAGATTTAATTGGATCATGGTTCAGCAAGCTGTACAGAAAGCATGGCAAGGGAGGCCTCGGGAAACCTGCAATCATGGTAGAAGGCGAAGAGGAAGCAGGCACATCTTCACATGGCCAGAAAAAGAGGAAGAGAGAGAAGGGGGGAAGGTGCTCCACACTTTAAAACATCCAGATCTCCTGAGAACTCTATCAGGAGAACAGCACTCAGGGGATGGTGCTTAAACCATTAGAAACCACCCCCTTGATCCAATTGCTTCCTACCAGGCCTCACATCCAGCATTAGGGATTACATTTAGATTTGGATGAGGACACAGATCCAAACCACATCAGATAGATACACTGCATCTAAAATAATAGGCGTTCTACACTTAGCCTTTCTAAAAACATTTTTCATATGTTTTTAACAATGAATATATAGAAAGCACGAAACCGTAAAATGAAATTTGCGAGTCCCTTTTACCATGTTTGTTTTGCCATATTTGTGCCACTTCCCTAGAGAAGGATCCTTAATGAGCTCCTTGCCTCTCAGGACCTCCTTTGAGCCAACTTGGGCTTCCATGGCCGACTCTCACTTTAGTTATTTCCTGACTCACTCTCCACACTGAATCATGCCTATTGTATGATGCACTCTATCACAGCCTTTGATCCCTGTTTAATGATAGCTAGCAAGTGGAAAACAAAAGCAAGCAATGATTGCATACTTGTGTCTTTTCAACATTTTTTTTTTAGTAACTGCCAGTTTAATCTTTACCAGGTCACATGCAATTGTATCAATACACAGTAATGATCTCTCAGCACACTAATTTTATTTACATTCTCCACATGGCATTGATCATTTTCCATCTATTTTACTGTTGGTAGTTCCTAACCTCATATCCTGTATTGGCAATGATATCTTTAAGGTTTTTCATCTAATGATTATTGTGGGGTTTTTTTATTGTTTGTTTTCGAGACAGAGTCTCCCTCTGTCGCCCAGGCTGGAGTGCCAGTGGTGCCATCTTGGCTCACTGCAACCTTCGCCTCCTGGGTTCAAGTGATTTTTCTGCCTCAGCCTTTCAAGTGCCTGGGATTACAAGTGCACCCCAGCATGCCAGGCTAATTTTTATATTTTCTTTAGCAGAGACAGGGTTTCACCATATTGACCAGGCTGGTGTCAAACTCCTGACCTCAAGTGTTTCACCCATCTCGTCCTCCCAAAGTGCTAGGATTACAAGTGTGAGCCACCGCTCCCGGCCATAATTATTGTTTTGGGGCCTTTTTTTTTTTTGAGACCTAGTCTGGCTCTGTCGTCCAGGCTGGAATGCAGCAGCACGATCTTGGCTCACTGCAACCTCTGCCTCCTGGGTTCAAGCGGTTTTCCTGCCAGCCTACGGGGTAGCTGGGATTACAGGCGCCAGTTTCCCCATGTTGGCTAGGCTGGTCTTGAACTCCTTGTCACTAGTAGAGGATGGCGACTGCAAGTTGTCCAAGTTCTTGGCATTTTGAACAAAGAATTGGATAGAACACCCAGCAAAGCAAACAAAGTATGAAGCAACAAAAGAATGAAAGTAGGGATTTGTTGAAAAGGAAAGTACACTCCACAGTGTGAGAGCAGACGCGAGCAGTAGCTCAAGGGCCTGGATACAGTGTCTTCTTGGGTCCAAATACCCTCTAGAAGTTTCCCATTGGCTACTTCATGCTCACCTCATGTAACGGAAGTAGTAGCCCTCAATCAGTCTGATTGGTTGCAGACAGCAGCCATTCAGAGGCTAGAGTGAAGTTACAAAGTTGCAAACCAAAACTCACTGGCACTCAGTATGATTTGTTGCAGACAGCCAATCTCCCATCTGCCATGCAGAAAGCGTCAAAGGGAGTAGCCTCTGGTCCTTGTATTACTTAGAGTGGAAAGTTAGGATTTTCCTTTCAATTTAGTTCTAGAATGTCGGCATGAAACAGCCTTAGGTTTCCTGCCTCCAGACCCTATTCACCTGCCTGGTCCTGACCTCCAGTGATCTGCCTGCCTCGGCTTCCCAAAGTGCTAGGATTACAGGCATGAGCCACCACACCCGGCCAGATCTAATGATTATTTTTAATTTCGGTCCAATGGTCATTTCTTTCTCCCTTCAATGATATTCTATATTTATACTCCGGATTAGTGCTCTGGGAACGCTAATCCTATGAAGCCCCAAAGTGTAGACTGTGGAATGATACAGTAGTATTAAGATGAAAGGGAATGAACTGGTAAGATTTTTAATCTCACTTTTTTTTTTCGACTCAGAGTCTCGCTCTATCACCCAGGTTGGGGTGCAGTGGGCATGATCATAGCTCACTGTAACCTCAAACTCCTGGACTCAAGCCCTACTCCCTCCCATCTCAACCTCCTAAATAGCTGGGACTATGGATATGTGTCACCACGCCCAATCAATTTTTTATTTTTATTCTTTGTAGAGATGGGACCTCACTGTGTTGCCCAGGCTAGTCTCAGACTCCTGGCCTCAAGTGATCCTCCTGCCTTGGCTTCCTGAAGTGCTGGGATTACAGGCTTGAGCCACCACACCCGGCCTATTACATATTTTTTAGTCAGGTTTGTTAAGGCATATTATAAATAGGATAAAATGTATCCATTTTACGTTTATAGTTGGATAAGTTTTTGACAACTCTATGCGATTATGCAAATATCATTAAAATAAAAATATAAAACATGCTATAAACCTGAAAAATTTATTTGGATCACTTTGCAGTTAATCCCCTCTCCCCAATTAAAGTCTTGTCAATTATTAACCTATCTGTTTCCTGTCCCCATACTTTTATCTCTTCTCAAGTGTCAAATCAATGGAAACACACAGACTTGTGTTTAGTTTCTTTTACTTGGCTTAATGCTTTTAACATTCATCCATTTTGTCAAATATCTTGCATTCATTCCTTGTCATTGCTGCGTGGTATTCTGTTTAATAGATGTACCACAATTTGTTTATCTATCTCCAGTTAATGGAGTTTGGGAACGCTTCTTGTGTTTGGCAATTATTATATTTTAAAAAAACTTTCAATGAAAATTAGCATATAACTATTTATATGTACTTATCATTTTCCTTGGACAAATACTTGGGTTAGGTTATAAGTGTATTTGTAACTTTATGAAAAACTTGCAAACTGTTTGTCAAAGTGGCTACATCATTACACATTTCCACCAGAAATGTATGAGTATCTAGCTGTTCCACATCATTACCAACAATTGGCATTGTCTGGTTGTTTGTTAGCATATTTTTTCTTTTTTTTTTTTCAGCCTTTCTAGTGTGTACTTAGAAGTATCTGCTTTAAATTTCATTTTCTTAATGACTACTGCTGCTAACTATCTTTTCTTGTCATTTATCATCCATATACATTATGAATTACCTGCTCAAATATTTCTGCTCATTTGTAAGTTGCATTTTTTATGTTCATGTTGCTGAATTTAAAATGTTCTTATGTACTCTAGATTCAGGTCTTTTATTAAATATAGAACATTATTTTGCAAATATTTTCTTTAGTCTGTGGCTTGCCTTTTCATTCTCATAGAAGTTTTCTAAGAACAGAAGATTTAATTTTAATGAAATCACATTTATCTATCTTTTCTTTTATAGTTTGTGCTTTTTGTGTACTATCTAAGAAATCTTTGCCTAACCCAAGGTTACCCATATTTTTTCTCTGTTCCCTTTTAGAAGTTTTATGATTTTATCTTCTAGTTTTAAGTCTGTGATATAGTTTAAGTTCCATTTTATGTGTTTTCGCAAAGTGTTGGTTAACAATAATTTATTGTCTATTTCAAAAGAGCTAGAAAAGATTTGGAATGTTTCTAACACAAAGAAATGATACATTTCAGGTGACAGATATCTTAATTACCCTGATTTGATTGTTACACATTGTATACTGTATCAAAATATGATATGTACATCATAAATACATATAATTATTATGTATCAATTTAAAAAATATTTTAACTGCCTTTAATTTGACTGGCCTTGGGTGTTGGATTTAACAGAAGACTTCATACAATACCTTAATCCCAAAAAATGCCCTCAGTGATATAAATTATGAGACTACTCAATTAAGAGAGTTATAGGAAGCATGTGGGAATTATGTGGGCTTATAATTAACTGTAAAAAAAATAGAACCAGTTTTTGTGTAAAGTTTAAGGCAGAACACAAATCTGACCTATTTATAATCAATCAAAGAAAATGTTGTTTAGGCAATGCTAACTTTCAACAAAGTAGCAGTTTTCTAAATTTATTCCAGCATGATTACTGAAAAGATAACCTTTTTATTACAGAATGTCTGTTTTATGTTTACATAGCTTCAAGATACCATTTCATATATTGGCAAATCCCTAAAATGTTTTTTAAAAAGGAAAGCTTTGTTGATTCTATTAGCAAATTTTACCACTAAGTAGAAATATCTTTAACATTTTGGTTAGTATAGCTTTTGATTAAGACATTTTTGAACTTTTATGCTATTTTTCCAGCAGTGATAACGCATGAAACAAAGAAAAAGTGCCAAAAGATATGTTATGCAAACATGGTCACATTATTTTAAATAATAGAGTTATGAGAATGGTAGTTTTATTTTATATGCTTAAGAATGTTTTGTGTAATCATAATCACATTGTTTCTAAGCTATATACCATGGTGATGATGCCAATGGGATCAAATAATCACATTTTCCACCTATATTCAAATATCCAAGTAATTATTTCAAAATAACATATTTTAATTATAGAGTAAGATTGCAGAGTAAGAGGCATATTGAGCTATTGATAGACAAGAGAAGTGGTTTTAATCAGCCATATCAAGTATTAAAATTCCAAACCAGATATATTAGAGTAGTAATTCATTGTAACATAAATGATCAGAAGTGGGATACCACCAATTTTAGTGTTTAACATTCATTAATTTGTTTAACTGGGGAAACTCTGAAAGTAAAAATTTTTAAATTCACATATCAGTACTAAAAGTTCTTTTGCCTGAGAAAATATATTGTGGCCTAACATTATAGGATGATTTGATATTTGCCTATATTCCAGACTCCTCTAAATTACATGTATATTTAGTATATGTTATCTGGACTCTAATATAAAATAATGTTCTTTTTATCAAGAATCCTATTCGTTTTATACGACAGTTTTTTTTTCCTGGTAGTATCCCATATTGGATTTTGATTAGTTTAATCACATCAGTAGTTTCATTTTAAATCTTTTTTAATCTACTGTAGAAATCACAAAGATATATAGGATACAAAATGTTGTCTGGTTGTTTGAAAGACCATACAATAGTCTGTTAACTAAAAAGTATCATTTTCTCTTCCCTTATGAGGAATTACATTACCAGCTCATCAAAGTATAATGAACTTACATTAACATGGATGCAGCTGCTGTCAGAGAACATCCTTAGTCTTGGAGGAGAATTATACCTTTAGAAACAAAAGTTTGAGAATGATTAGAGCATGAAATACTCTATAAAACATACAAATTTGTCCAGTTCTAAAGGTCTAACTTTCATTTTACGATATATATTTTATAATGTTAATGTCATAGAATGTGGATTCCAGCTGTATTGCCATTAGAGTTCTGTATTACTCACTTTCTTGGATGTTTAGGTAGAGTGAATAATACCTGATTATTTGAATTTACCATCCTATAATGTTTAACAGTAATGCCATCAGGAGTTATTGAGCTGTGAAAGGTTATTTTCTCCTCTACCTAATGATTCCAGGCTGTTTTCCAGCACATCATGACTTTGACTATTCTTCTCTTTCTTTCTTTCACTTGTCAGAATAACTATATTGATGAGTCTTAATTATTTCTATCATTGGTTCTAATATTCTGTCTTTTGCAATTCTACTAAAGACTTAAGGTACAGAAGAAAACAGAAACAAATCTTTTATAAACCTAAAATTTCTGACAATTTAGTCATCAATTGCTATATTATTCACTCACAAAACAAAATCCATGAGCTTCTGTAACAAATGCACCATTCTAGATGCTGGATAAATAGATTTTACTACTGTTGTTCACTTCCCATTTTGCATTCATGTTCTAGATGCTTGAAGCTGTCAGAAATCTGTTCACCAAAAAATTACTCAGTATTTGGTTTCATCAACCTGTACATTGGTTCAGAAGGTAAAATGATAGGAAACTGAATTGCATCACAGGAATTTAAATTGTTATTTGAAAATATTTCTCTTTTGTGTTTAATATCCACTTTGCTTAGTGTCACAGTGTGTTGATTTTAACCGAACACAGTAGCATACAAAGTGGATTTTCAAGTTGAGACTTGAAAGACTCTGCAGGATCAAAGATAATACAAGGTGGGTGGATAAAATAGTAAAAGTGAAGAGCATCATAATGAAAATAACATTAGTTTCACATTTTTCAACCCTGTACCCTTTATAAAAAAGTTAAATGATCTAAAAATATATATATAAAACCCCTTCCAGGCATACAAATAACTACACAGGGAACATCAAATGTGTAAGACAAAACAAAACAGAATAAAAAACTGAAAACTTTTTTTTCCTTTCCTTTAAGATTTTAGAGTGTATTTTAAGAAGGGAGCAATAGCTTTACTCTATTTTATTAATTTTGGAAAGAATATGCTGCTTAAGACCCCCCCGCCAGCTACTGAGATATATGAGGTTTTGGGATTTGAAATAATTTCATAGTTCTATCCTCAGTGCCTAGAAAATGACCAGCACATTGTAGGCCCTTAATGAGTATAGTTTTTATTAAGTGAATTAATGAATAAGCTATCAGATGATAAAGTAATTGTCTTTCACGGTAGCCCACATATAATTCTAATGGGCTATAATTCTCAAACAAGTTTTGTAGTCATCTTAAGTTGAATCAAGATCAACTTCTTAAATTGCCCTTTAAATATTCACAGAATTCTTCTTTTAGTAGGCATGTGCTCTTGGGCAAGTTAAGTGCTTCATTTCCCTCTTCTGTGGAAAACCTTGTCCATAGGAGTACCTACCTTATTCTAAGGAAAGAAAAAATAATAATTCACGTAAAACATCTTGAAGAGTGCTTGACTCATAATAAATCCATATAGTTTATATAAATATAAATTATCATGCTGTATTATTTCACCATATACATAAATTAAATCTATTGAACTTAAGTAATTTATACGCTAGTTCTAAATGAGGTTATTATGCCCATGAGCATTAAAAAGACTATTTTTATCTATATATTTCTGATTATTTACTAGTAAGGAAGTCATGTTATCTAGAAATAATGATCAGTACTGATGACTTACAGTTTAAATTGTAGTAATCCAGAATTACTTTGAAAATTGTCAATATTTGCTCAAGGCTAGAAAATAATTACTCATCAGCAAAACATTTTTGAACACTCAGAGACATCCCATAAATGCGTACAGGTTTTATCTCACACCAAATCTATTCCCAAGAGGAAGACTGGGGCAGGTATACACTGCTTACTAAGCTGTAAGACTTGGTGTGCAGTTGCATCTGCCTGCAGGAAGGGAAGCTTATTTGTAATTCACACAAAAGTGTGAAGTTGACCGGCAGCAGCCATGTGAACCCACAACCTTATTTTCCTCCAGTGCCTCAATAATGTGCTTCGAGCAAATCATTTTAGAAACTATTTATTTAAAGTTAAATTCATTAAAAAGCCATTTGTTAATGCTGTTGAAGTCTTCCTACAACCATGTTCTAGTCATTGTGCTATTTGTTGAAGATACACACATAAATAGAATGAAGTTCCTGTGTCTGTCCCATACACATTCTCATGGCCTAATGGAATTGAGGGAGACCCAAGCATATCATCACAATATTAATTATACATATGTCACAATATTAATTAGAATTCAGAAGAATAAAGGCCGACCTGACCCAGAATAGAAATATCCATCTAAGCCTGGGATAGAGGAGGATTTCAGAAGCTTGTACATAAATAGAAGTGGCAAACTTAATTCATAATCTGACTCCCAAATTTGCAATTATTAACCTCTAGGTTTTCAGACACTCAAGACAAAACAAAAAAATGCACATTTAAAACAACATACAACTATAAGTTCATCTACAGTGAACATGTGATAACTTCAGTTCTCTACAGACAGAATCCTAGGAAACTTCAATTCTCAGGGATAAACACAGAAGGCAAAATCTTGGAAGAGATAAATAGAAGGACTAACCAGAAAGTTGTGAAGGAAACCAAGAGAGAGTTGCATTGAAAACCCAAGGGAGTAGAAAATATCAACAGAAGCTGAGTGCCAAGAAGTACAATAAATTAAAGGCAAAAGTAAATAAATAAATACATAAATACATAAATATAATTGGGTTTCATAATCGGGAAGTCATTAGAAAGAGTTCTACTTAGTTGTATAATTTTGGTTTTGGCATGTTTGTCTTTACTTAGTTCATGCTAATAAATACCAGACTAAAAATATCTTTTTAAGCTCAGACTAAAAAAAATCAACTTTTTTAGTTTGAATGGCAAGAGGTTATGGCAGAATAAAGAGACTTAAGAGAGAATGGAGGGAAAATTGATAAAGCAAAAGGAATCAAGCTGAAAATTCACAAAGATAGAAGAAGAATGAAGTTCAAAATACAAATGCCTGGGTTGGCTTTGGACAAAAGAAGCACTACTTCATTTGAAGTTGGGCAGCAACAGGTAAAACAAAACAAAATATAAATTTCCTTAGGGCAAACCTGCCTCCTATTTTATTCAAACTCACCCCTCTGCTCACTGAGATAAATTCACAACTGATTGCATCATTTGGAGTGGCTAATCCGTAACTCAAAAGAATGCAACTATTTGTCTCTTATCTAGCTATGATCTGGAAGCACCATCCCTGATTCCAGTTGTCCTGCCTTCACCTTGAGTTGTCCCACCTTTCTAGACTGAACCATTGTACATCTTAAACATATTGATTGATGTCTCATGTCTCCCTAAAATGTATAAAACCAAGCTGTGACCCTACCACCTTGGACACATGTCGTCAGAACCTCCTGAGGCTGTGTCCCAGGTGCACGTCCTCAACTTTGGCAGAATAAACTTTCTAAATTAACTGAGACCTTTCTCAGATTTTCAGGGCTCACACATGTATAATAAAAGCTTTAATGCAAATTGGCTATTTCAGCTTGATCTGTCCTGTGCTTCTTCCCTCTCCTATAGGAATAGAATATTCCAGACAGGAGCTGTTCCTTTAACCTGGATCACAGAATGGAATTTCAAGTGAAGCAGACCTTTAGTCAACCCATAGACCTACAGCGGAGCCACAGACAAATCTCAGGCTTCATACATGAGAAATAAATTGATGTTTATTTGTGTAAACCATTTTAATTTAGTAGGCTGTTTCTTACCTCAGAAAAAGCTAACCAATACAATTTCTTATGATGATCATGTGTTATAATGGATACATTGTTATTACATACGTAAATGAATGATTATTTTCCCTTTCCCAAACAATTAGAAAAGTTTGGTTTTTAATGAGTGACAAAATATTGTCCTTTGTTAACATAGTTGAGAAGAAATAATTTTCTTAAGTCAATATTGATTCCTACATTTTTAACATCCTCAGTGTTCATGTATATTACAAAAAATAGTATGTCTTCAGAGAATTCCCAAAGATTTTCAAATAAAATTACTGCTGTATTTGAAACGTATTACAACCTGAAATGGAATCTATATAATGATGCAATTTTAATATAATATATTCTAGTCATTTCTCTATGTAACAAATTAAGAAATTTGTGATTTGAAAGTATACTCAAAGGCTAATTCTAATTTTAATAGCACTCGACCACTTTTCTGTACAGATCATAACTCTAATGTGAAATAAAAATTCAGAAAGTCTATTTTCCAGGAATTCCAGAGAATCCCAAAGTAAATGCCAGTGATATTTGTGTTAGATTTACAAATGCTAGATAATTTAGGGATAAAATAAACCTAAGAGAAGAACAAATATACTAAAGCATTTCAAATCAGAGTATTCAATTGGAAAGAGCAAAAACCTGTTAATAGAATATTTTCCAAAAGAAGTATCACCTAATTTTGCTTATATGACATCCAAATTATATATAACACCCTGAATACATGCCTAAATATATTAATGCCACTATTTCACGAAATAATACCAAAGCCTTTTGAAGACATATATGACCCTTTCGAAAGTTAAATTGTTAGATTAAGTTCTGAGAAAAAATGTTTCATTTTTCTATGAAGATATCAAGTTTTTAAGATGCACCCATCAACTAATAAGCATTTATTGAGGGCTTCCTTTTGTTCATTACTTCACAGATAGGTGAGATGCCAAAATTGCAGTAGACAGCCTTAAGATTATTTCTGATTCCTGACATTCATGTTCTTGTAACATTACTTTCTGTTGAGTGTGAGTTTGACCTAGTGACTTGCTTCTAACAAATAACTCAGCGCAAAAGCCATAGGAATCACTTTAAGATTAAATTTTAAAAACACTCTGTCTTCTATCTTGGGCACTCTCTCTTGCTCATATTTTTTGAGAGCCCTCTCTCTGAGTTAAGCCAGCTGCCATGTTGTGAGTTGCCCTATGGAAAGAACCCCTTGCCAAGGAACTGATGTCTATGACCAATCATTGAAGATCCACCTTGAGGCCTTACAACAGCTTCGTGCGTTTGGCTTCAAAGCCTGCCACAATTGAGCCTGGAGATGACCAATAACTCAGCCTCAGTCAACACTCTGAGCTATAAGAGAACTCGTTCTGAGCTAGAGGACTCTAGCTAAGCCAAACCCAGATACTTAATAGACATAGATTGTGAGATACATATTTGATATTTTAAGCCACTAAGTTTAGGGGTAATTTTTTATTCAACAATGTAAATAAAACTGATACACACAGCATGGTTCATCTTCACAAGATCTCAATAATAAATTATGATTTTAATTAAATATTACACAAAAGTCTAACAATTAATGATCCAAAATGAGCAGCTGAATAGTCAATTCTTAATAACCAGAATCTTTACTAGATTATTTATTTGTTCCTAAGTTGGAGAAAATGATTTTATGTGTTATTTTAAACTTTGATCTCTGTGCACATTATGCCATTAATGGTAATACTTGTTTTCTATTAACCACTAAAATGTGCTGCCACATTAGTAGAGCTCGTTTTAGAACTAGTTTGGAAGATGATCAAGTCCTCTGTGATTTCATAGTGTCTGACCCATTGAGATCCACAGATTTAAGATTAATTTAAATTTCTCTTTTTAGTTAACATCTGCTATGTTACTACTCTGGATCTGGCTCTTCTTGTTGTAAAATATGAATTGAATTTTCTTGAGGAACTAGAACTAGAAGTGGGACCTGATTAGTCAATTAGTCAAACTTCATAATCTCCTTCTTGGCTACAGTGATTAGTTCACTCAATTTTGGCCTGTATTAACCATGTCAAAGACCCACTTCAATGATAAGGGAGAGAATAAACTTTTTCTTCTCTATCTCTCTGTAAAATTTTTTTCTGTAGTCTTGAATCTAAAAGGATGTAGGCTGGAGCTATGGACTTTAATTAATAGTACTGTACCAATATTGGCTCATCGACTGTAACAAAGATACCACACTAAGGAAAGATGTTAAAAATAGGAAAAACAGGCGTTTGGGAAGAGCATATGGAACTTTCTGCTGCATTATTTTGCCTACAAAACAAAAACTGTTCTTAAAAAATAATGTCTATTCGTTTATTACTTTCACTACATAAAAACTGGGAATTGAGCCAATACAGGGAACAGAGTAAAATTGAGAGCAGGTAGAGGAATCAGGCTCTGGTGCTCTTTTAGTTTTGGAAGCCAACTCCAGACCCTGGACTTCTCAACGAAGCAAGCCAACAGACCAACAGACTCCCACTCTGTTTAAGATAATGTATTTGCTTATTTATTTATTTATTTATAGTACATTTCATTTGCTCAATTCATCCAATCAGGTATTCGTTTATTCAAGAAGTTTATATTTGGTGCTTATTCTGTGGAAGCAGTTCTCCCAAATTCAAGAGGAATTAAAGATGTATAGGACTAAGTAACACACTCAAAGGACTTAAGATCTAGTGAGAGAAGATATGCCCACAAATATTTCTGGTATCTGGAAGTATGCAATAATAGTATTTAATTTCTTTCTTCTTTGTTCTAATGTTTTTAGTTTGGGCTACAATCCTTGTCTGTTGGTAAACTCTGCTGCAAACTACCGTCCCCCTCAGTTAACCCTCCTGTTCCACTGACTCTCTTATTTTATTACCTACCACTCTGCCCTGGCTTACTATACTCCAGCTCTTTCTGGGATGTGTCCATCATACCACAGCCTCAAGGTCTTTGCACCTGATTTTTCCTCAGTCTGGAGTAATCTCACCTCAAATATCCACAGGGATTGCTCCTTCATCTCCTCCAGTTTATTTTCCATGAAATGTCATATTTTAATGTGGTATTACAAATCCTGTTTCAAAACTGAATATCCTTTCATACACACTACCTGTCTCTTTTCCCTGGTGTTCATACCATTGCACATGGTGCCATTTGACTACATTAAGTAGCTTGTATTTCCTCTCCATCATGATCTTCTTTTATGTCAGTCTTCCCCCATCAGAAAACAAGCTCCAGGAAAGCAGGGATTTGAAAGAGACTGGCACAGATGCTTCCACTTTTGAGAATGCAAGTGAATATGATAGAGAAGCAACTAATATAAACAGAGTTGGGAAAAACTTTCTGCAGAAACCTGAGCTAGATTTAAAGGAATGAACCTCAGAGCATCAATCAAACAGACAGAATGTAACAACAACAGCACTGGTCTGTCACCAGGGCATAACGTTTGTAATGGGCATTCCATTGACCACCATTTTCACTGGTCTCCTCTTCCCAAATATATTAAATCAGAAATAAAAATGTATCAAGCCTTATTATCTCATAAGATCCAGTCAGAGAATAAGGCAGTCTTGTTTTCTTTAGCTTAACTGTTGTACCTCTTCTAGAAACACGAATTCATTTAAACCTGAAGTACAATTAACCTTTGAACAACAGGAGTTTGCACTTCATGGGTCCACTTATACTCTGGTTTTCTTCCATTTCCGCCACATCTGAGACAGCAAGACCAAACTCTTTTCTTCCTCCTCCTCTTCAGGCTACTCGATGAAGAACTTTATGATGATCCACTTCTGCTTAATGAAGAGTAAATATATTTTTCTCTTTCTTATGATGTTCTCAATAACATTCTCTATTCTCCAGCTTACTTTATTGTATGAATACAGTATGTGATATAAATAAGATACAAAATATGTGTTCACAGTTTATGTCATTGGTAAGGCTTCTGGTCAACAGCAGGCTATTAGTGGTTAAGTTTTTGGAGAAGCAAAAATTATATATGAATTTTCAACTATGCAGGTGTCAGCAGTCCTAACCTCTGTGTTCAAGAGTAAACTATTTATTTCAACCAGACTTTAATTCTTGGCTTTTCGATATGAAATAAAAGTTATGCATTAATGCAGAGAAAATGTTAAGAAAGACGGTATATTTAATCTTAAAATGAGAGTCATATTTCTTTGTCATAAACTAGGAGAGTTACTAGTTTTTCATTTCAATTATTTTTGCAATTTATAGTCTTAAAATGACATTAACAAAATATACAAGTCATTATTAACTTTTGCTTACCACACAATATTTTTGAATGACAAGAGGTTTATTTGTGAAGAAAATGTAATCAAAATATGTATTATAGGCATGCTATATACTAAATTATTTTTGTTTGCAAGTTTTATAATTTCTGTATGACTTTAGAAAAAAAGTCATATTTTCTAGTAAAATAACAAGTAAATTTTTAATAAATGACATTTAGTGATATAAATTATCATAGCATCAGTGATAGCCTGAAATATCAATGTTTTTCTTTTCAAGTAGATTTAATTTTTAATAGACTACATTTGTTAGAGTTTATTTTTTTGAAGAAGTTTAGGTTTATAGAAAAATTGGGCCAGGTACATTGGCTCATGCCTATAATTCCAGCACTTTGGGGGGCCAAGGAGTTTGCATCGCTTGAGGTCAAGAGTTCAAGACCAGCCTGGCCAACATGGTGACACACTGTCTCTACTAAAAATACAAATATTAGCCAGGCATGGTGGCACCCACCTGTAATTCCAGCTACTTGGGAGGCCTAAGGTGACAGAATTGCTTGAACTCAGGAGGCAGAGGTTGCAGTGAGCCAAGATCATGCCATTGCATGTCTCTATCTCTTGGCCAGATCAGCCTGGCCAAGAGAGAGAGACTCGTCTCAAAAAAAAAAAAATGAGCAGAAAATATAGAGAGTGTTTATGTATCTACCCTCCATACAGTTTTTTCTATAATTGTTATGTTATAATTGATAAGAAAATGTTGATATATTATTATTAACTAAAAGCCATAGTGTATATTAGGGTTCACTCTTCGTGTCGCTCTTATATAGTCAACTTGACTTTGTGGTTGGACAAATGTGTAATGACTTGTATCAACTATTACAGTATCAAACGTTCCCTGCTTATAATCTTACAAGAAAAACAAAAACAAAATAAAGTAACTGTATGTCTTGTTAAAATTTTATTGTGCATTTAACACATATTTACTTTAACTAACAATTTTTTCCCTACTGTCTTTAGAAAAGCCAACCAGATATGACATGTATAGAAAAGTGTATGTATGTTTGTGGGGAGATATTGCTCCCTTAACAACTGGACAATTAAAGAACCAAATGAAATATAAGCAACATTTATTAATTGTTCATAAAGATGACTGAAATATTAATTACCAATTAAACTATTATGGAGGTTAACTAAACCAGATAAGAGCTAGAGAACCTTTATCTGGAAAAAAAATTTAAGCTTAAAACATATACTTTTATATGAAACGAGTCACGGCAAATTGATTAGGTCACTTGTTAAAACAATGATTAACAATCTTTATTGTGTATTAAAAATCACTTTGAATATTTATCAAATTTAAATTTTGTGTTTGACTCTCTGGGAATCTGATTGAGTAGCACTGGTGTGGCAACATCCAGATATTTGCTATTTTTAACAGAAAAAGAAACCAGAATGATTTGGATAGAACTAGTGCATAGACCAGACTGCGAGAAGCAACCTTGAAAATGGAGCCAAGTTTGAACTCTCAGACAACCCTGTGTAGTTACTTTTAGCACACAAGCATTTATATTTGTGCTCACTGTCAAAGCAGACAGGTAGATGCCACCTCAGCAAATGACTTGGCCCACACATTCACTGTGCATACGAATTCTAAATCATTTTACTGATGGCTTTTTAACCTATCTCCAGTAAAGTAAAGCTTCTTTTTGAAGGGTGTTCCAGGATGTAATTGCCATTATGTTCAAGAAGTTGTTATGCTCTATTGTGTTTGCTCCAATTGGTCAAGGTGTGCCTATTCAATCTTGTTTATGACTCTTTGATGACTAATAACTGACTTCCATTCTCCATATGAAAACAGTAATGGAGCCAATTCAAATAATTATATTTTCTTCAGATTAACTGCCTCCCACCACTTTAACCTTCCTTCATAGTGTCTCCTCCACACCCTGACTCATTTTTATTATTCACCAGATTCTTTTTTTCTTCCTAAAACTATTGAAAACTGACACAATACTCTGCTGATGACTAACGTAAAATATAGTGGAACAATTTCAAGACTCTGTAAGGGTAGCTTTCACACTACTACTACTACTGTTATTTGAGTAAAGTTGTGGCTTACATAATGCTTCCACATGCACCATTCTACTTATTAGACAACCCTGTGAAGTGGATTCAAATACTCTCATTTTATAGATAAGAACAATTTAGATCTAGAAATAGTAAGGAACTTAAATCCAATTTACACAACAATGTTTTCTTGTTTCCCTGTTCTTGTTACTACCCTTCTGTACTTCATCTTAATATAGAATGGCCAGGAGATAAGTGAAGCTATAGAACTGACTGGGTGATTCCAGAAATTGGAGCTATAGAGTCCCATAGTAACTTATGAATTGTCCTACAGTGCAGTCCTACAGCTCCGTTATGATAATCCTCCAGATGAAGCTATGTTCAAGACTGGACTAGATCTTGTGCTATAAAGCCACACTGGAACCATCTCCAATTCCCCACCTTGCTTCAGTTTTATATTCTTGCAGATAGCCTCTTTGAATCCATCAGGTAAGAACACAGAAATTTAAAATTGTGTCTTTTATGAGTCTAATTACATTCTAAATTTACATTTTTCTTCTCTGAGTCTCTATTTTCGTTTTGTATGTATATAATCATCTAACCATCACAACAATCAAGACATAAAGTATTTCCACCTCCCCCTCAAAAATTCTTTCATGTTCCTTTGTCATCAATCCTCTGCTGCCATCTCCGCCCCTGGAAAGTACTGATTTGATTTCAGTTACCATAGGTTTACCTTTCCCGAATATGACATAAGGAATGAAGTCTGTTGAGTCTGACTTCATTCACTTAGCATAATTCTATGTAGATTCATCTGTGTTTTTGTGTATAGTAGTAGTTTTTCTTTGTTACTGAGAAGCATATACATACATATAACACAATTTGTTTATTCCTCATTTGGTGAACAATGGGTTATTTCCAATTTTCGGATATTATGAAGAAATATCTAAAAAATCATTCACATACAGTTATTTTCATGACTATACATATTCTTTCTATTTAAAAAAATAGCTTGGAGTGGGATTGCAGGACTATCTGATATATATGTAGGTTTAACTTTATAAAAAACTGCCAAGCTGTTTTCCAAAATATCTGTACTACCTTGCATTTCTACCAGCAATGTTGAGAGTTCCAGTTACTTTTTATGTTCAACAGCAGTTGTATTTGTTTTAGTTTTAGCCATTATAGTACATATGTAGTAGTATCTCACTTTGGAATTTATATGTATTTATCTAATGATTAGTTATGTTGAGAATGTTCTTATGAGCTTACATGACATTAGTATCTTATCTGTGAAGTGAATTTTCAAATCTTTTGTCCATTTTTTTTAAGTTGGAATTTTTTCTGAGTACAGAGAGTTAAGAGTTTTAATGTATTACTAAATACAGTCTTCTATGGAATATATTTTGTAAAGATTTATTTCAGTGTTTGGCTTAACTCTGTTTTCTTAACAGTATCTTTCAAGGCAAGATAGGTTTTTTGTAATTTTGTGAAGTTAAGTACACATATTTTCCTGTGGTTCATGACTTTTGTATTTTAAGAAATCGTTGCTTAGCCAGTGTCACTAGGAATTTCCTTTATGTTTTCTCCTAGAAGTTTTATTGCATTAGGTTTTGGGTATATGTTCCATTTCAAGTTGTCTTTTTTTTTTGTTTGCTTGTTTGTTGTAAAAATAACCAATTGTTCCAGCATCATTTTTTGAAAAGACTTTTCTTTTTTCATTGAATCATCTTGGCATCTTTTCTGAAGACTCAATTGACCACTTTGTGTGTCAATTTATTTCTGGGTGCTCTATTCAGTTCCATTGATCTGCATGTCTGTTCTCATACCAGTACCACACTGTTTTCATTGTGATCACATTACAGTATATAATCAAATCACGTAGTGTGAGTTTTCTCATGTTCTTCTTCTTCTTCAAAATTATTTGACCATTCCATTCTAGTTTCTTTGCTTTTCTAGATTCAGAATATCAATTTCTACAAAAATCTAGGATATTTATTGGTATTTGGAGATCAACTTGAATGAAATTGATGCCTTAATGATATTAATTTTTCTAATGCATGAACATATTATATCACTCAATTTATTTAGTTGCTATTTACTTTCTCATCAATATTTTATAGTTTTGAGCATAAAAATGTTACAAATATTTTGCTAATTTATCACTAAATAATTCGGTTTTAAATGCTATTATAAATCCGATGCACTTAACTTTTGGAAGCCACCATGCCTCTAGCCAATAGGACATTTAATCTGAGTACTGTGGTGGTTTCTGGCCTTGCTCGAGCAAAGCAAAGCACCTGGAGATCAGAGCTAGTTCAGAATATTAGGAGGAAGATCTTTACAACTTATTTGCTCAACTGTCTAATCTACAATGTCCACTGACTCCATAATTTAGTTCAGCAAGAATGGTGACATTCTAACAACTTGGAACCAGTATTACTGATGATAAAAAGGGAGCCTTGTATATCTTCGTTAAAATTTGTTGGCTATCTTACACATACTGGGAAGAAGTGGCTGGAGCAGAGAAGAGATATCACTATTGTCCTGTAGACCTTCTTTACTGGGTACAAGGTGGAGTCCTAGTTTTTAAAGGCCTTGAAGGTGATTCTGACCTTCAATCAGAGTTGAGAACTATAGACCCTCTGCTAAATCCCCATTACTGTCTTCATCTTGCCAATCTTGTAATGTATTCACTTATTTATTTTTATTCAAAGAAAAACAAAATTATATAAACATATGTTAATGCAACATTATGTGAAAATATGCTCATAGTTCTTTGGATTCTAAATACAGTCAATCCAGCATGAATATTCATAGTACAGTTAACTGAGCTGCATATTCTTGTTTGCATTGAAAATTGATGGGGATAAATGAAACTGCCTTGCATACAAATTCTTTTGACTACTTGCTGTCAACATCTTATTGCTTTACAGCCCTATTTAGCTCCATTTATATTGCCTTTTGCATATCAGTGAAAATCAACCAAAATGATGTAAATACATGTGAGGGATATAATCCATTATTCCATGCTACAAGTGAGGATGAAAAAAGAGCTCAGAAATCCCAGGGAAAAAAAGCATCAGTGGACATGAATGCATTGCATTGGGGGTTGGGGTGCTCTTATGTAGAAAATAAATGTCATTTTGCCAAAACTAAGGTAGTCAAAATGATTTCATTCTGATATACAATAAAGATGAAGACCAAGTTGACCAAAGACTAGCCAAAAGACCCTCTTTGCCACTAACTTGATTTTAAAAATCAGCCAGAACTATTTAAGTCTTGATCTTTTATATTAAATATCCAGGTAGTTGAAATCCAACTTAGCGGTCTATTTTTTAATTCAAGTACTTCAGCTCCAGGTTTATTTTTATGAGTCAGAGAAACAAAAAATTGATTTTAAAAAGTCATTATTCAATAATCTTCTTCTAAATTATTTCCTTTCTATAATTTGTTATATTGAATTTGTTGAAATTAATTTAAATTATTTTTATAAGAGGAGCTATCAAAAATTGGTTACAGTTCACTTGGCATTTCATATTTATATCTTGAGTTTCTAATTATTGTGTATCTTGCTTACAGTTCACTTGGCATTTCATATTTATATCTTGAGTTTCTAATTATTGTGTATCTTTGATGACCTTCTGGCAACCATGTTATATCCTACCCCAGATGAATTAATGTGCATTATAACTATGGAAACATAGTCCAGGTTAACAACAACAACAAAAATCTGCTGCTACCTAATCAATTGAACAAACGTTTTAAAATGTCCTCAGAATCACAGAATTAGTACTTAACTGGACAGAGTAATATGAATGAAAGACAGTCTGTATAGCTATTGAAAGTCAGAATTACATTACATGGCTTCATATCGCACCCACACGCACCGAATTTCAGTATATCACATTTTCCTTTCAAAATGTTTGTTAGGTATCTTTCTAAATGGGTTGAAGGATGATTCCAATTTAAAATTTTCTAAAATAAATTAGAACTTTAAGTAAATTTATTAGACTTTGGAACTTATCATAATGGATTGGCTCAAGTTTAAGACTAAAATAAGAATCTAGCCTTTCAGTTATAATCTTTGAATTTCCATTTTATTTAGATGTGATCAAATTCACTCAAAAAGCAAATTTTAAAATGGTTTGATTTTTCTAATATCTGCCATCTTAAAAATTACTAATATTTTTTGTTTAAGGGAAACAGATTACAGATTCTTTTTTAAATAGCGTATCTTAAAATGAAAAGGTAAAACCAAAACAACAACAAAAACAGAGACTTACTACCGATGTTCTTCGATTTATGACAGGTTTATGTCCCAATAAACCTATCGTAATTTGAAAATATTGTAAATTAAAAGTATGTTTTGCTTAGAATATTTTGTATTTATGATGAGTGTTTCCAGATGTAAACCCATCATAAATTGAGGCGCTTACTAAAAGCCTGTCAATTTAGCACCATTGTAAAGTCCCAAAATCGTTAAGTCAAATCGTTGTAAGTTGGGGATTTTTTGTATTAGATATGTGATATCGTAATTTAGATAAGGTTTAACCCACATGTGAAATCCTAAAGATGACGGGTGATTTCTAGACTATTTTTTTCTTAGAGACTTCATAATCTGGAACTATGTTAAGGCCTAACTTTCACACCATTGACACAAACATGTTAATCATTTAAAAAGAAAGAAAATCAGCTACAGAAAAAAAAAAACAAAAAACATTGTAAGAGCAAGAAAAAAATTTTCCCCCTTTGCTGAAAATGTTGTAGCTAAAGCCCCCAAAATTCCCAGATGAATAAATTATAAGACAAACTTCAGCAATTCTACAGGACTGGTGTCAGCAGTGAACAAACTGGTTGTGAACATCACCGGCACTTGGATCCAGGCCTTCATCGTCCTGGATAAAACTCCTTTTTACCTTCCCAACATCCTGGCACATTCTTTCTTTTATAGGATCTCATTTGTATGCACACTCAGTGTTCTCAGGCTGCCCTCTGGCCCTTTTAAAATATAATCTCAATGGCAAAATGTCACCTAGCACTTCCCTTCATCACACATGTCCATTTCAAATTTATCCCTCCCTCTAATTCTCTTTAAAATCAGAATGCCATCTTTAAAGTAATTCATGCCTTGTTTTGTGATATTACTATACCTGCTCCATACATTTATCCATCATTCTATTTTAATGATTCTAAAATGCACATTTTTTAAAAAATTAGTAGTATTTGAATTAAATCTTACATTTAATGTGTTTAATTGATGTGACTGTATCAATTGTGTTTTTACACTGGTGTTATGGAATTGAGAAAATGTAGTACTTCTTTATGGGCTTTTACCTCTAAAAACGTATTTTCCTAAACAGGGTGTGTATAACATTAATGGTATATGAGTGACTCTAGATGACACATCAATAAATGTGCTATGTTATGTTAATAGTTGTATGTGTATTTTAATGTATTACAGGAAAAATATATTGTGCACTTTAAACTCATGATTTTCAGGCATAAAATTGCTTAGAATTAAACTAAGTTGGCCAGGCGTGGTGGCTCACACCTATAATCGCAGCACTTTGGGAGGCCGAGGTGGGCAGATCACAAGGTTAGGAGTTCGAGACCAGCCTGGCTAGTATGGTGAAACCCCTTCTCTACTAAAAATACAAAAATTAGCTGGGCATGGTGGTGCGGGCCTGTAGTCCCACCTACTCAGGAGGCTGAGGCAGGAGAATCGCTTGAACCCGGGAGGAGGAGGTTGCAGTGAGCTGACATTGTGCCACTGCACTCCAGCCTGGGCGACAGAGTGAGATGCTGTCGCAAAAAAAAAAAAAAAAGAATTAAACTAAGTTTAAAAAAAAAGTTAATTTAAATTAGAGTGAGAAAAAAATCCAGAGTAATAATAATAGTGCAGATGGGACAGGAAAATCATGAGTTCCATAAGGGCAAGGGATGTGCCTTCTTCATTTTTGAATCTCCAAAGCTTCATAATTAGCACATTACGTGTATTGCATTTCTTTGAATATTGAATGCTTAGTCTCATTTATGGTGGATTATATGATCTGAAAAATTTACCCCAAAGAGTGAAATGCTTGATCTATAAAAATACTTCTTCAAGAACAGAAGTATTTTAAAAGAAGAGCTTGTGATTCTCGATGAGTTTTTTAAAAAGGAAAAAATTGGTTTGTGCTCTCTAAGTGCATGGAATGGCTTTAGGTGCCCCCACCACCAGCTTTGCCCATTCTTTCCTCAGCACACCTTAAGACTGAAGTTATTCACATTGTATTTCCTTAGAATGCTTGATCATCCCTGTTAAACTACCATAGCCTAAATCAGAAACTTCCAAATTGTTACTTCATGTAAACACATTTTCAACTACATGGTACATGGAGTAGAATGCAGACTCCACACTTAGGTTTTTATTAGAGTTATGGTTTCTACTTCCCTCTTTTTCTGGCATCTCTTTTTCCTCACTCTGCACATAGCATTGAATGCCAATGGGTTGAACACTGTGATGATGATGTTTGGGGTCGGTATCTTTTACTTTTTTCTGTTTTTCCTTCTTCTTCTTTTTTTTTTTTCTTTTTTCAGACATGATCTCACTTTGTTGCCCCAAGCTGGAGTGCAGTGGCACAATCTCAGCTCACTGCAGCCTCAACCTCCCAGACGCAAGTGCACCTCCAGCCGCAGCCTCCCAGGTAGCTTGGACTACATGCATGTGCCAGCATGCACAGCAAATTTTGTTCAATTTATTTATTTTTTTTAGAGACGGTGTGTAGCTATGCTGCCCAGGCTGACTTTGAACTCTTGGGCTCAAGTAATCCTTTCCCCTTAGCCTCCCAACGGCTGGTGATAGGTGACAACGTGCTAGCAGCCCTTGCTCGCTCTCCGCACCTCCTCACCTTCCCGGCCTGGGCGTCCACTCTGGCCGTGCTCAAGGAGCCCTTCAGCCCGCCGCTGCGCTGTGAGGGCCCTTCTCTGGGGCTGGCTGAGGCCGGAGCCGGCTCCCTCTGCTCGCGGGGAGGTGTGGAGGGAGAGGCGCGGGCGGGAGCCGGGGCTGCGTGCCGCACTCGCGGGCCAGCGCGGGTTCCGGGTGGGGCGGGCTTGGAGGGCCCGCACTCTGGCTTGGCCTGCCGGCGCCTGCTGGGCTTGACTAGGGGAGCCGGAATGCCCAGGCTAGGTGCCGCAAAGTCCTGCAGCCAGTGCCATTGAGAGGTGAAGCCGGCTGGGCTTCTTGGTTGTGTGGGGACCTGGAGAACTTTTCTGTCTAGCTAAGGGTTTATAAAGGCACCAATCAGCCTTCTGTATCTAGCTAATCTGGTGGGGACTTGGAAAACTATTGTGTCTAGCTAAAAGATTGTAAAGGCACAAATCAGCACTCTGTGTCTAGCTAAAGATTTGTAAATGCACCAATCAGCACTCTGTCAAAACAAACCAATCAGCTCTCTGTAAAATGGACCAGTCAGCGCTCTGTAAAAGGGACCAATCAGCTGTCTGTAAAATGGATCAATCAGCTCTCTGTAAAATGGACCAATCAGCAGGATGTGGGTGGGGCCAGATAAGGGAATAAAAGCAAGCCATGCAAACTAGCAGTGACAACCCGCTGGGGTCCCCTTCCAAGCTGTGGAAGATTTGTACTCTTGTGCTTTGCAATGAATCTTGCTGTCGCTCACTCTTTGGGTCTGTGCTGCGTTTATAAGCTGCAATACTCACTGAGAAGGTCTACAGCTTAACTCCTGAAGCCAGCGAGACCATGAACCCACCGGGAGGGATGAACAACTCCAGATGGGAGGAAAGAACAACTCTTGACGTGCTGCCTTTAAGAGCTGTAACACTCATGGTGAAGAGCTGCAGCTTCACTCCTGAAGACAGCGAGACCACAGACCAACCGGGAGGGACGAACAACTCCAGGCAGGAGGAAAGAACAACTCCGGACGCGTCGCCTTTAAGAGCTGTAACACTCACTGCAAAGTTTTGCAGCTTCACTCCTGAAGCCAGCCAGAGCACGAACCCACCGGGAGAGATGAACAACTCCAGACGGAGGAAAGAACAACTCAACTCCGGAAGCGCCGCCTTTAAGAGCTGTAACACTCAACTGCAAAGGCCCAGAAGGAAGAAACTCCAGACACATCTGAACATCTGAAGGAACAAACTCTGGACACAACATCTTTAATAACTATACCACTCACTGCAAGGGTCCGCGGCTTCATTCTTGAAGTCAGGGAGACCAAGAACCCACCAATTCTGGACACACTGGGATTACAAGCGAAAGCCACCACACCTGGCCAATGCTGTTTTCTCTCCATTGAAAGGCCTAGTGAGGGACCATAAGAAAACCAATTCCAGAAATACTTTGTGCTTCTGCAGTTTTCAAGAATGTAAAGACCTAATTCTCATAGCTTGGTGTAGAGAAAGGTTTTATCTCACCCCCCTTAATTATTGTTAAGCAGTAAAATTAGCACTAGACTAGAAATCAAGTATCTTGTTGTCATGTATGCCATAACTGCCTTATTCTAATTCCTTCATCCTTCCTCTGTACCTCAGTCTTCTTTGCAGTAAAATAAAAGCTTCATTTAGATGATTTCCAGGGCTGACTTCCATCTTGAAGTTTCCTTGAGCCTATCATAGTTTAGCATAGTTAGACTATAGCTGGCGTAAGGAGGGACTATAAAATAAATGAGTTTAGCATCATTGCCCACCCACCTGAGTGTCTATTAAGAGAAAAAAAAAAAAAACTCAGCTGTCATCATGACAATTGATTCATTGTTAACTCCTTTGTTACCCTCTCTCACTTCTTTCCAAGTGATTTATTCGTCTGTTGTAAACAGACATAGAGTATGAATAAAAATAACCAGAATGATGGCCTCCATAAGCTGTCACTGAAAGGCCTGGTAGTTTATATGAAATTGAATAGAATCCTTAAAACAAGGAAGATACCACAAAGAACATAGGGTGCGCAGTACATGCATGTGTGTGAGTGTGCGTGTGTCCGTGTGTGTGTGTGTGCGTTTTCAGAGCAGAGTTATTACAATTTACAGAAAAGACTAGGTGAAATATGTTCTCCCTCAGATGAATCCTTTAAACTTTCAAGTAAAATTCCCAAATGGATCTAGATTACAGCCAACTGCCTCCACCCTATCCCCAGTGACAAATACAAGACAGCTGCTAAATTTAACATGCCTTTACTGGAACACCAGTGCCTGCTGCACAATAGCAGGCTATGTGCTGCCAATCCACAGGATGCACTCAATTTCTGAATTGCTGCACAGCAGCCCTGCTGATCCTTAATCCTTGTGAATATAGCACTGACACGTGGCCAAGACCTTCAGAGGACTGATTTTTAAGGGAAAAAATAGGAACAAAAGGAAAGAAAAAGCTCAGCGCAACATGTTAAGACACATCCTGTGAGGCAAAAAAATTTGAGATGGGGAAAAAAATGACTCAAATAAATTTAAAGACACGCAGTCTCCAATATACAGATGGTTCGTATTCTAAAAGTTCATTCGCAGATGAGTTGTTTCAAAATGGGAATGTATTCCTCCATAAAAACAATGTTTTACGTGTCAGTTGGGTACCCAAGTTAGGCCATAAGATCCTATTTAATCCAGAATGTGCCTGATGTAACTAATATACAAATGATATGGAATCCATCACTTATAATAATATGTTGGTTGAAAAAATAATCAGACATGCATCATACATGCTGTTAGCCTGATTCATTCATTCACTGAACACTTAATAAGTTGTAGGTGGGACTACATGGCCAATGATACAGGTCTAATTCCTATCTTCATCGAACTTACTAAAATCATGATTGATATGCTTAGGTACTAGCAATATGTTCAACTGATACTGACTGCAGAGAAGGCAACTGGATACTCCAATATATAGTGTTCATATGACTCAGTCAGCAGCGCCATTCTTATGTTTGGTATATATGGGAAAAGGAAGAGTCAATTCAGTGAGTCACATAAAATATTGCATATAGGTGTTAGCAACATGGATCTGAGTGGTCAGGATCCCAATTAGTGTCTATGGGCTTCAGGAAAACTGTCAAGAGATAGGTAGGTTAAGAGTATCATGAGTGGGAAAGACATTGACATATATGATAGTCATTGATCCCTAAATGAGAAAGAGGACCGTCCAGAGCCAATATATAAATTACTTCTTATGCCTGTCTTGGAGGGTTAAAGGACTGAGTCCCTAAAACTCATATTTGTCTAAGTTTTTTGGATCTGTTGAATTTATTTGAGGCATGATCACTAACCAGAGTTAAAGCTGATTCTTCCTTTTGAATAAGCTTTCTTTCTTTCCCTATTTTCTTCAGCCTCTGGGTCCAGTCTCACTTGTGATCCTGTGGTAGGCACCATTATGGCTAGAACCTATTTGCTTCCCATTGGCAGTTTCGAACATCCTGCAGCGGACTCATTTCTCTTACATTTTAATCATATTAGATCCCCCATCTAAGTTTCTGCCAACAGAAACCCAGTAAATAATCAGGTCATCTGCCAAGGTGACCCTTTAAGGTACCCTAGCAACTTTTTCATAATAGAAACATGTTCTGCACACACAAAAACAATTCAATATAAGTAGGCATGTTCTCAAGAAGAGGGCTTTTTGCTCAAAGAGTGCAAAAGAATTTAGAACTGTGGTTGTGTGGACTACCTGGACTTCTTGCTAACATAGCTATCTAAAGTGGCTCCCAGTTAAGTCTTGGCTCCATACCATCTGCTCATTCCTCATGAAGAACACAGGAAGTAGCCTCTGCACTATTTCTCTTTTCAGTTTCACTGTGTCTTTCCTTCTCTGGCTTGATGCTGGTGCCAAGAATAGTCCTGGAGCTTTCCTGATACTCTATAATCCCAGAATTGGCCACTTTTGAAAATTCAAGGGGCTTTTCTGCTGCAAGGAAAGAAAAATAGCTGTGCACTCAAAGATTCCTGCCTGTCCTCTTTTTCTTATTATTTTATTTTTCTCCTTAAACTCTGTAGAGGAAGACGAAGGGACACATAGGTGATAACAGTGGGACTCAGGGTTTACAAAAGGCAAAGTTAAAAGTTAACTTCTTTATTTCAAAGGAAATTTAGACTTCAGGGGCTCAAGGAATGAGTATTCCAGGAAGATATCCGTCCTTCATTGTGGATAAGCCTTGCTGAGTTGAAAATGAGGATATTTATTTCAGAATAATTGTGATCTCAGGGAGCAATAGGGTAGGGTCTTTAAGAAGAAAAGATGTTTCTAATTCTCTAACCAAGTTTTGCAAGTGAAGATATAGGGAAAGGGCAGTTAAGAATAGAATGAGGCTAGTGCCACAAAGAAATTGTGAGGTGGTGATGAAGGTAAATAAACAAGAAAGTCTAAATACTACTTAGCAGCAGGGCTAGTTTGAGTTAATATAGGTTCATTCTGCTAATCTCACCTCAGAATGCAAGGAAATAAATCCAGTGCCTGGCAAGTCCCATTCAGGATTGTACTAGGGCCTTTGCAATTCAGATATTAAGGGATGGCCCCTTGTAGGTAAAAGAAGTAGTAACTTGGCTCTAGGTCACTGCTTTATACGTATAATTTCTATTCTGTACAACAAACCTGAAAGAAAGGAACTGTTGTCTCCATTATAAAGAAGAGAGAACTGATGTTCAGAGAGGTTAAAAATAACTTGTTCCAGGTAACAGAACAAAAAAGGTAGAACAACTTGAACCCTGGTTAGTTTGATATGCAAACCCATTTTATCCCTATTGCCCCAGGCTGACTCTCCACCTACTAGCTGCAAAGCAAATAAACCACATTGGCCTAGAGCTGAGCAGGAAGGAGACAAATTGTAAGCATTGTAGTCCTACCTTTGACTCTCTTGTTTGAATGTGTCTGTGAGTGTAGGGAAACCGTCTTAACGTGGGAAGGTAATAAAATAGAAAAAAATCCTGTGTCCCTAATGCCATTTTTCTATATAATCAAGCCAACATGGCCCACTTCCAGACCCCAAGTTATAGAATAAATAACTCCCTATTTATGTAATTCATAATTCACAGTATTCTTGCAGTTAAGCCTGATCCCAACTTGTATAATAATAGGGCACCCTGTACAGCAGCAGAGTGCAGATTCTGGAGCAGAATATCTGGCTTCAAATCCCAGTTCTGCCACTGACTGGCTTTATAATGTAGAGCAAGTTTCCCAACCCTCTTTGCCTTAGTTTCATCATATGTGAAACTTAAATGGTATTTACTAGTTCAAACTGATTTAATGAGGTAGAAGTCAATATTTGTAAAAGACTAGGAATTGCACCTGGCATGTAGGAAGTGCTATATACAAAGGCTTTTTTTTTTTTATTTGTTTGTGTGTGTTTCGTGTGTGTGTGTGTGTGTCTTTTAAATAAAATTGTTTCAATTTCCCCATGTAGTAATTTTAATAATTGTACATTTTTCTTTTGTAGTTGTATAAAGTTTCTGTGTGTCAGACATACTCATTTTCAAATATAAAGCTGTCATATTATACTCCTTGTTTAAACTTAGAATACTAGTATTTTCCACTAACAAAATTAAAGTTTATATGTGTGTGTGTATATATATGTAATAAAGACCACTCTATATGATACATAAGTATTTGTGACTGACTTCTGAATCTACTCTCTCATTTTAATTTCTTTAGCTCCTCTGAGAATTATTTAAGTTGGCTATATCAACCTCATTTAACAGATGAAAAAATAGGAAGCTTACCGACATACTCAAAATTATGTAGCTAGTGAGAGAACTGAGACAAAATCCATACCTTTTGATACCAAATTAGTGTAACTTGTATAACTGTATGATAATATGCCATGTGGCAATTTTATATAATTTTCCTTTATTAATATTGTAATAGTGACCTCTCATCAGTAGCCCCTGGTTGGTAAAATGACTTCAGTTATCTTTAATTAAGTGTTTAACATACATTTAAGTAAATATATAAAAGGATATAAATTAAGATTGATCTAAACCAACATGGAAATGATCTTACCCAAATTTCCAGATTCCCTTGCAGCTGAGATGGTCACAAAACTCAGTCCTGGACAATGAGATAAGAATTCTGAGGGAATTCTGGAAACACTTTTGCTAATGTTTCTCCATAAACTTTGTTCAAAGTTCAGCTCTCACTTTTTTCGGCAGGAATCAATCAGTCAGTTTTATGAAAGATGGCAGAAGTGCCAAGTAAGAACAGAACAGAACAGTGCTTGTGAATTTGGCAGCTTGAAGGATTAGTTCTTAACAAAAGTTGAAGTGGCATGGAGTTAATTAGTGATGTGATGAGATGGGGTGTCTACTGAAATTTTTGTTGTTGTTGTTTGTTTTTTTGTAGAGATGGGGTTTCACCATGTTCTGCAGGTTGGTCTTGAACTTCTAGGCTCAAGTGATCCACGTACTTCGGCTTTCTGAAGTGCTGGGATTACAGGTGTGAGCCGCAGCTCCTGGCTGTCTATTAAACTCTCATTCAGAATGTAAGTCATGGAAGTATTTTTTGTAGCATCAACTAGTGATGTCTGTCAAAATGTAAAATGCACTCTTGAGAGCCAGAGATTTTACTTCTAGGGATCTATTCATAGCAGCATTGAAATAGTGAGGATTAGAAATAATTTTAATTTCTCTCAGTAATGGAAGTGTGCGTCTCTGCTGTAAGATAGACAATCAATAAAAACACTGAGGTAGCCTTAAATGTACTAAGGACAGTTGTCCAAGACATATTCTTAGTGAATGACTTTTTTAAAATCAAGGTTTGAAAGAATAAATATGGCTGGGCTCGGTGGCTCACGCCTGTAATCCCAGCACTTTGGGAGGCCGAGGCAGGTGGATCAGGAGATCAGGAGATCGAGACCATCCTGGCTAACACGGTGAAATAAATATATATTTATTTATTTATACTGTGAAGGGAAGGAGGCATTAGAGAATGGTTTAAAACTTGCATTCTTCTGTAATTTTTGTGCCTTATACAATGGTAATGTGCTTACATATTATTTATATTATTTAAAAAAAAGTGTTTTTTTAAAAACTGTAAATTGTGGTAAAGAAAGCAGATAGAGCCTTGTAGAGATTACTCTTGAAAAACCTGTATCAACAAAGACAATCAAATAAATTGAGTTATAGCTGAGGAAAATAGGGGTTCAGATTTATTATATTTTTTAAGATGAAGGACACTGTGTATATGTTAATTGGGAATGATTTTCTGGGTAGAAATATCATATTTCTTCAATTTTAAAATACAGGGGTTTTTTTCACATTTTAGTGATTCTGAATTTGGAATATGTTTCATAATCCATTAAATGAAGTGTAGAGGATTGGCATTAGCTTCTACAAGTCATCTTGAGGCAATATTCACCAAAATCCTTTTTAGATTAAATTTTCCACTTGAGGTCTTTGAAGCTCACTTGTGTTCAATTCTTGGGCTATTTCCCCCCTCCTCTTTTCATTCTGTGTCAAGGTTAAAATTGGCACATTCCATTGCTTTCCCTTTCTGCCTAGTAGGCTTTTGTCCTCACACATCCTTACATTGAAGATGAAGGCCTTTGATGTTCAAGTATTTGGGAATTTTTTATTAGCTTTCCTGTCTTCAAGCATATATTTTTTATCTCTGTGAAATGCAGATAAAGGCTATTATAAAAGTGGTAACAAAAAACAAATTAAGAAATGTTGATGAGGATGTAAAAAAAACAATCAAAACTCTTCTGCATTGCTGGTGAGTAGGTAAAATGCTGCAGTCTCTATGGAAAATGATATAGTAGGTCTTCAAAAAAATTAAACATAGAATTACTCTGTGATACAGCAATTCCACTACTAGGTATGCATTTAAAAGAATTGAAGGCACACCCATGTTTATAGCACCATTATTCACGGTAGTCAGAAGGTAGAATATTCCCAAGTGTCAATCAACAGGTGACTGGATAAACAAAATGTGGTACATACATGTGACAGAGTATAATCAGCCCTAAAAAGGAAGGACATGCTGACATATGCTATAGCACAGGTGGGACTTAATGACATTATGCTAAGTGAAATCACCCAGTGATGAAGAAAACATAATGTATGATTCCACTTATCTGAGATACCTAAAGGTACCTCAAGATGTAACTCACGAGGTCTTATTTATAGAGACAGAAAGCAGAATGGTAGTGCTAGGGCAAGGGAGGTAGGAGTAGGGGAAAATGGGGAGTAATTGTTTAATGGGTATGTCATTTCTATTTGGGAGGATGAAAGAAGTTTTGGAGATGGACGATGATCATACAAAAATGTGAATGTTCTTGTTGTCACTGAACTACACACTTAAAAATGGTTTACATAGCAAATTCTGTGTTTTGTATATTTTACCAGGATTAAAGAAAATAAAATAAATGTACATAAAGTAATGGCACAACCTATATTTAATGGCAGCTTAGATTTAAAGGAATGTTAAAAGCTCCAAAGAGAGAAGGAAACACAATACTTGAGAAGCAAGATTCAGCTCAGAAGTGCAGGGCTGGCCTTCAACAGGAGGAAGAAAAGGTCCATCAGCAGCAGGGAGAGACAAAAGGTGGCAGGGGCAGGTATGTTCACAGATGGATTAATATGAAAATGAGGGAGTTTCCTTCTCAATGCCATCTTACTTCTAAACAACGTATGAAGTGAGGTCATCAGGTGAGAGGGAAGTGTAGGCACGGAGGTGTGTGACATGTGAGAAGAGACCCTAGAAGTAGTAGTTATCCCAAAGAATGGGAAGTTAGCCCCACAGAAAAACATAAATACGCTTGTCAGTAGTACTGAGTCCCCACTTGAGAACATAAAGTACAATCAGTCTGAATAATTGTGTTAGTTATTCCAGCAAAGTTCACCTGTCTGTGTGCAAATAAGAGGAAACACAATTAGGTTGCTTCAGGATCAAGGTTGTGCAAGTTTAGAACAATGGCAAGAAGGAAGCAAGTGAGGAAATTGGGGATCATTTACATATATATATTTAAATGATTGACTATTGATTTCTCCATTTTGAAATGGGGATAATAGATCTTACCTCATACAGTTGGGTGAGTTGAATGTAAAGCATGTACAACTCTTTAAACAGTGTGTCTGGTAAAGTATTTAATACACATCAAATATTGTTACTGTCATATTACCATGGGTTATGAAATATATGCTAGACAATGAAGAAAGTGAAGACAGGTGAAAGCTGATGAATAATAAGAAAGCAGTCAGTCAGCAGATTAGACGTTTGGTGAGAACAGCAATAAAAATAATTATATTGAGGACTTTTGAACAAACAAGCCAGTTAAAAGTTTGAATGCCTGGAGAGCTTGACAAGAGATTGGTAGGAGGCAAAGGAGTGGGTAATTAGGGAGGCAAAGGAGTGGGTAATATAACCTGATAGCATAGGCTTCAAACGAGCAAGGGTTTGCAAAAGCAACAGGTTGTTACACTTGGAAACTGTCAGTGTGGGCCAGGAGGAAGTTCACTTCCCCTCCTGGCCCTGAGGAACATGGTATAAAAGAGAAAAGAAAAACAACTTTGATTCTATTTGAAGAGAAGTAGCTTCCTCAGGGGACAGCTCAATTTCAGTAAAAACACAGACATGAAGGGAACAATCAGAGAAAAGAGTAATAATTTAAAGATGTTCACTGATTACAGACTTAGAGCTCAAAAGGATGGAGAGATAAAGTCTTAAGAAAGATACTTTTCCTTTTCTTTATGACAGATTGAGTCAGATCAGAAGAGATGCATCAAGTATGGGAAGAGATGGACTCAAAGGCAAACACCTCTTGTTTTAACTATTATAAATGGGAATGTGGCTGAGGTGCTTATTTTGATCTTTTAACAGGGTGAAGCTCTCAGACCTGATTGAAATACTGGGGAGACTGAGGGCTCCTTAATGTTAGGGTAAACAGCAATTTAATGATGAACTATTCTGTGCTATGTGTTTTCTGCCTATTGCGTTATTTTAACTCCACATATATTTATTCCTGGTATCCGTGAATAGATTGCAGTCTTCCTCAGAAAAATTATTTTCTTTTAAGGTTATCATACTTCACTAAGTAATTTAGAGTATCATGTAAAGAGTACATACTCAATTTTTTTTCTTAAATTGAATTTTTTATTACTTGAGTCATAGAAGAGATTATATTATCAGTTTTAAATTTATACTTAGCTGTGTGTGTATAAAGAATAATTTTAGAAAAAGAACCTAATATTCTCCGTTCTTAATCTTGGTATGATAATATTTTATATTCAGGAAGGAATATGGGATAGAAGAAAATCCCCATAACCAGACCATAAAATTAAGTTGAAATGAAATATAAAGGATATTGTAGTATCTGCCTTGTATAGTTGTCTCTTTTTTTCTGGGCTTTTTTTTAAAATATTTTACACAGTTTGAGCAAGTCCAAGGCTACTTGAAGATTGTTTTCTTTAAAACCTAATCATTCTTTTAGCAATTAAAGTACCGAAAACAATTTTGTACAAACGTATTTGCCACTAGATTGTCCACAAATCAAACACATTCTTGAAGGTGAAAACAAATATTAGGGGAAAAGAGTACGTAAATATGGGGAAAACATCTGCTTCATCATAGGAATTGAATCTGATATCAGGCTCTGCAATAGCTTATTTATGATAATATCCTGAATCACATTTTGTCACAACTTTAGTCCCTGGGTTACTTCTGATTCAAACCTTTGGAACTCTATCATCTTAGCCCCTCCTGCATAAGGAACACAAGCATTCAATGAGCATAGTGCCAGAAATTGAAAGTAAAATTAGTAAAATTCTTCTTAATACAAATACTCCTAGGATGAGTTAACTATTATATATCAGAGTACTCTCTCCCCTTAGATGTATCATTAAACAATATAAATATTAATAAAGGCCTTTACAAATGCCTTTGATCACATTATAAGCCTTATCTGAAAATTTGGAGTAATTTTGATATTTGTAATTTTTTTTTCTTTAATATTAAAAGAGAGTATATCAAAGTGTTACGATTGAAGTATTATGTTTTCCTTTCTCAAAATAACTTGAATAAAATATCCAACAATCCTAATTACTGCCTTCATTTTTATAAACACTCCATTGTTGACTGCTTGCAAAATTTTTCATTAAATGCAACATATATCTTTAATGTGTATTAAATAGTATTATTTTATGAAAGAAAAATAAATCCTGGGGCCCCAAAATCACTGAGCTAAAGGGAAATGTCAAGCTGGGAACTGCTTAGGGCAAATCTGCCTGCCATTCTATTCAGCCACCCCTCCGCTCACTGAGATAAATGCATATCTGATTGCCTCATTTGGAGAGGCTAATCAGAAACTCAAAAGAATGCAACCATGTCTCTTATCTACCTATGACCTGGAAGCCCCTCCCCACTTTGAGTTGTTCTGCCTTTGCCTCCAGTTGTCCCACCTTTCCAGACTGAACCAGTGTGCATCTTACACATATTGATTGATGGCTCATGTCTCCCTAAAATGTATAAAACCAAGCTGTGACCATACCACCTTGGGCACATGTCGTCAGGACTTCCTGAGGCTGGGTCATGGGCATGCATCCTCAACCTTGGCAAAAATAAACTGTCTAAATTAACTGACACCTGTCTCAGATTTTCAAGGTTTATAATTTGACAGAACAGTTATATTTGTATTATTGGAACTGCAATGAGAAAAGTATTAATATCAACTACCAGATATTTTATCTTTAAATTGATAAGAAAAATAATTTGAAAATAATTAATTTACAGCTTTCAAAAAAGTTTTCTTAGCCCATAGATTAGCAAATTCATTAGCAAAGTCATTGATATTTTAAGTCAAATTATAGTAAACTTTATTGTATCTGTACCTTTCACAGATACAATAATTTGAGAAAATGAACTATATAACTTCATCCTTTTTAAGTCTTATAAAATTATTATACATGAGGACTTTATTTTAAGGTTCCAGTAAAATAGGTAGTTTACATTATGTGACTTCTAGATAAATAAATACCATAAAACCCTCAAATTTTCTGCTAGAAATAATAAAAATAAATACTTTTCCAAGCTCTCAATTTTACTACCTCTTAGAACTCAAAATATATCTTAAAACTTAGTGAAAAATGGCTATAAACTTTCCTTGATTTTGTGATTTTGATTTGAAAGTACCTTAATGAAGTGGCATAAGCATTTGATTTTCCCTATTTTACTTAGTGAACATTTCAATGGATTTTTTAAACTGCTGAATAGCTCTGAAAGAACTAAGGTTCTTTATTTTCAAAAGCAAAATGCTCTTCCCTCACTTTAATAGACACTCATACAATTAAAAAGCAAGCACAGCCATCTAGATGAGCAATCAGCAGCAAAGGGAAAAGTTATTACAAAATTGCTAATTATCAAAATAGGCAATTATAGTTTAGACTGACTTTCTGAAAGCACTGCTAACATATTATGTGTAAGACTAAATGGTAAACGACTTGGGGATATTAAAAAAGAAAATGCTTGTTACTTTACTTTCAATAAAGCACTCACATGTAGACTAACTCATTCGAACCTCATCTTTATGAGACAGATATTGTTGTTCCCATTTTACAGTTGAGAAAACTGTAGAGGAGAGTTGTAGTAGCTTTTGCAAAGCCACAGGGTTGGTAGGTGGTAGAGCTCAGATCATCAGCCAAGTTTTTCCAACTCCTGATATCCTTGTATCTTTGTGATCACACGGAGCTCCTGTCTGTGTAGACACATGGAGCCCTGTGATAAACAGAGCCAAACCAAAAATCAGAGCATTAGAATTTCATTGCAAAAGTGTTGGATGTGTGAGGCTATTGGCGCTCTGTCTGTGCTACACTGTAGTTCTTCTGCAGGCCTGTCAACAAGAATGTTATCTGAAGTCAGCAGTTCAAGCGCTGCACAGAGCCAGGGAAAGAATATCTGCTTTATATCAACATGCTCGCTTCCGAGACTTTCTGTTTGACAGTATTTACTCGAAAGTGACCTCTGCCAGAAATATAACAGGCCTCATTCAATGATAGGAGACTCCACATCTAACATGGTTCTTCCACTCATCTCAAGGAAAGTTATAGCAGTGGTCTTGGAGCAGGAAGACTATCACCTCAGCTCTTTCCAATAAAACGAACCTCGTACTCATGTACATTTTCTTGTTTATCTGTTTATTTACTTATCTATAAATGTTTCTTATAATGTTAAAAAATAAATTGGGCATAATTCTTTCTCTTAATAAAAATCAACATCTCTCTTAGTATATATAGCTGCATAACACATCCCCCCAAATCTTAGGGCTAAAATAATCACTACTAGCATTCTATCCTATCTCACCATTTTGGACAGGAATTTGGTCTGGCTGAGTAATTTGGTGCCATATGATATCAACTAGGGATTCATTTCCAATTAATATCTGTTCTGGTCTGCAGGGTGCTTAATGCTTAAGGCTTTACTCAAATGCCTGGCACCTTGCTGAAAAGAAGTAGAAGACTGGGCTCAGCTGGGCTCTTCCTTCTTTTCACGTGGTCTCACAGTCTCTACACCTGCACTCTCCAACCAGGGAGTCAAACTTCTTACAAAGAAATTAAAGGCTCCAAAATGGAAAGTTCCAAAAGCTCCAAGTCTGAACTGCAAGCCTTGTCTTATCATCTTTGCAATATTCTCACAATCGTAATTAATGATTATTAATTCATTTTTTAATGTCTGTTGTGCTATATTGTAAGGTCCATAAAAAAACAAGACAATGTTTGCAGTCATTCTGCTGAGCCCATGTGTTTATCAGAGTGTCTTGGACACAGCAATAAATATTTGATGAATGAATTAAAGAATAAATGAATTAAGGCCAGGTGGTGGTTCATGCCTAAAATACCAGCAGTTTAGGAGGCCGAGGCAGGTGGATCTCTTGAAATCAAGAGTTTGAGACTAGACTGGCCAACATAGTAAAATCCTGTCTCTATTAAAAATACAAAAATTGGCCGGGCGCAGTGGCTCACGCCTGTAATCCCAGCACTTTGGGAGGCTGAGGCGGGCAGATCACGAGGTCAGGAGATCGAGACCATCCTGGCTAACATGGTGAAACCCCGTCTCTACTAAAAAATACAAACAATTAGCCGGGTGTGGTGGCAGGCGCCCGTAGTCCCAGCTACTTGGGAGGCTGAAAAGGGAGACTGGCGTGAATCCAGGAGGAGGAGCTTGCAGTGAGCCGAGATCGCGCCACTGCAATCCAGCCTGGGCGACAGAACGAGACTCCGTCTCAAAAAAATAAATAAATAAAATACAAAAATTAATTGGGTGTAGTGGCACGCACCTGTAATCCCAGCTACTGGGGAGGCTGAGGCAGGAGAATCACATAAACCTGGGAGGCAGAGGTTGCAGTGAGCCAAGATCAGTGCCACTGTACTCCATTCTGGGTGACAGAGTAAGACTGTCTCAAAAAGAATAAAAAATAAATGAATTAAATATAAACATTTTAACAAAAGAAGTAGAAAAGTATGACACTTAATTACTGAATGTCCTTTGAACAGGATCACTTTTGAGGTAGTATGAACTACTTGTTGAATTTTTTTTATGATAAAAATATTACCATTTTTAAAGTACATGCTGTGTGCCAGGTTTTTTTTCTTTTCTTTTCTTTCTTTCTTTCTTTTTTTTTTTTTTTTTACAAAAGTCATCTTATCTTTTTCTAACAACTCTTAAAGGTAGATATTATTACCTTCATTTTGTGAACAAGTAAACTATGACTTAGAGAGGTTAAACTGACTTGTCTAAAATCACAGAGCTATTCAAAATACCACATTTTGGTCTTCTACCTGGTTATGAGGTGATAGGGGTTGATTAAAGGTGGGTTTTAATGTTACACTGTCCAAGTCAAGTGCAGACCCTAGATATTTTATTTTCCATACCCTGAAAAGCACTCTGCATCAAGTACCCAACCCATTGATTCCGGCAGCTTTGGAGTAACCTTAATCATTGAAAATGTAGTAGATAGCCCTTATGGGACAAGTAAAAGTGGTGTGGCAAAGTTTCAAGGTGTAGGAATGTGTCTATCTGCTTGATATTCCCTGAGGTAGCTTTCAGTAGAAGACCCACCATCCATATAGAAGACATGAAAAGCCAACTGTTCAAATGACTTATTCTGGTCCATAATTAGTAACAGGATACTATGTGGTTCTGTATATACTTCCTTACCATGATCTGACAAATATAGGCCCTTAATGTTATTTTATAACCCCTGATTAACACCTGTTTTAGCAATATTTTATTAGACTACCTACCAAAATTCTGTTGACAAAATCCACCAGAAGCTCTGGCTGACTCTCAATAAATATAAGGACAAATTCTAGCATAACATAAAAGAACTGATGAAAATTTGAGCTGCCTTCCTAAAATAGAGTTTACAATTTGCATCCAACCAAGTTTAAATTGCCTACTATAACAAACAAAAAAAAAATCAGTTCTCTTTAGAAAAATATAACAGAATCTACAACATAATATCCAGACTGCAATCTTAAATTAGCCATCATGCAAAGAACCAGGAAAATCTGACTCATTCTCAAGAGAAAAGACAATCACCAGATATCTACCCTGAAATAATCCAGATGTTTTCTTGAGTATACAAGGATTTTCAAAGAAGGTATTATAACTATGCTTGATCAGGCAAAATTAAATTTTCTCAGAATAAATGAAAAGGTAAGAAATCTCAGCAGAAAAAAAATAGAAACTATAAAAGATAGTTAAAAATACTAAAAGAAAAACCAATAAAAATTCATTGGATGGGCGTTTTGAGGTGTCAGGGGAAGAAGTCCATGGGCATAAAAATTGATGAATATAAGTGATCCAATACAAAGAACAGAGAAAAATGTTGAAAAAAAATAAATGAACACACAAGGGATATGAGAAATAATGCTAAAAGATCCAACATACATTTAGTTGAAATATTGAGAGGAGAAGAAAATATGAGACAAATAAATAATTGAGAAAATAATGGCCTAAAATTTTTCAAAATTGATGTAACATGTTAATTTATAAATGCAAGAAGCTAGTGTAGTGTAAACAGGATAAATACAAAGAAAGCCATACCTTCTTATCTCATAGTAAAACTGCTGATTAACAAAGGTATAGAGAAAATTTTGAAAGCACCCAGAGAAAATCATCACATTACATATAGGAGTGCAACAATTTGAATAACCACTGATTTCTCATCAGAAACGATAGAACTATAGAGACCAAGAAATAGTAAATTATGTTTAAAGTGCTGAAAGAAAAAAAAAACACACAAAACAAAATTTTGACCCAGAAATCTATATCCAGCAAAATATCCTTTTAAAACTGTATGATTTTGCTCAGGCTGCCATAACAAATTAGTACAGACCAGGTGGCTCAAGTTACAGAAATTTATCTTTCACAGTCCTGTAGACCGAAAGTCCAAGGTTAAGGTGTCATTAGGTTTGGTGTCTGGTGAGAGCTCTCCTCTTGGGTTGTAGATGGCTGCCTTCTTGCTGTGTGCTAGTATGGCCTTTCCCTGATGTATGCAGTTGGAGAGAGACAAAGAGAGACAGCGACAGAGACAGAGAGAGAGAGAGAGGTCTGTGTTGTTTCTTCTTGTAAGGACATTAACTCTATTGGATCAGGGCCTTACTCTTATGACCTCATTAACATTAGTTACTTCCTTATTCCAAATACAGCCTCACTAGGGGTCAGAGCATCAACATTTGAATTTGGGTGTGTGTTGGGGGCTTGAGAGGGGCAGGGGAACATATGCATTCAGTCCAAAACAAGAATAAAGGCGACCCGAAGACATTTTAGATACAAAAAAACTTGGAGAATTCATCACCAGTAGATTTACACTGTAAGAAAGGCCTGAAGGAAGTTGCTTAAGTGAGAAGAATATGAGACTAAAGGGAAATCTGGATCTTCATGGAAGACAAAAGAGTATCAGAAATAACAAATATTTGAGAAAACATAATTTTTTTCTCCCAATTTTTTAAAAATATGCAGGAATGTTGAAAGCAAAAAGAATGTAACTTTGTTTTGTGGGATTTATAATGTGTGCACAGGAAATACATAAGACAACTATAACATAAAGGATGGAGGGCAATATAAATGGAGCTATGTGGTTGCAAGGTTCTTATATTTTAATATTTAATATTTAAGAGTTTAATACTAACTCTATGTAGGCTATGAAACGTTAAAGATATATTTGTAATCAACATAGTAATCACCAACAACAGGCCTATAACTGAAAAGGTACCAAAGCTATCTTGAAGGTATTCCCACTGAATGAATTAGGACCACTTTTGTCATAAAAGTCACAAGTTGTGGTGACATACTTATTGAATAAGCCCCAATGTCATCAATAACAGAAAATGGATCTAAACTTTGCCACATCTGTCACCCAAGTTTGTGGATGAATTACTGTGCTGTTCAGTCTGTAATATTCTATAATCTCTTTCTTCCTGAGGAAAAAGGTGTCTATTGCTTGGACCTAAGAGCCTATTGCCTGACTCATTTATTAGCTCCTATAATTCCTTCAAGATGTTAGTTGCTTCAATCATTCTGCAAATATTTATTGAGCTACCACTATGTGCCTTGCCCTATTGCCATGTTATGATGCAGAAAGGAGGCCCTTTCAGCAAGCAGTGCTGAAAATCAATTTCATGGTCAATAAAAGTATCATCCCTGGCCTTGTGGAATGCACATAAGAATTAAAATCTTAACCTTCTTAAAGCTTTCAGGTCTCAGAGACAAACCATCATAATGGTATAGAGGTTGGGGGACACTATGATGAGCAATTATGAGCCAGGGGTTGTCTTCATAGTAACATCATTACATCCTTCACAGCCTAAAAAAATCTCTCCCATTTGGCTGGGCGCGGTGGCTCACGCCTGTAATCCCAGCACTTTGGGAGGCCGAGGCGGGCGGATCACAAGGTCAGGAGATCGAGACCATCTTGGCTAACACGGTGAAACCCCGTCTCTACTAAAAATACAAAAAATTAGCCGGGCGCGGTGGCGGGCGCCTGTAGTCCCAGCTACTCGGGAGGCTGAGGCAGGAGAATGGCGTGAACCTGGGAGGCGGAGCTTGCAGTGAGCCGAGATTGCGCCACTGCAATCCGGCCTGGGCTAAACAGCGGGACTCCGTCTCAAAAAAAAAAAAAAAAAAAAAAACTCTCTCATTTAATTCCACTCCTAACACACAGTTTTAGAGCCAAGAAAAATAACATGCACACTCACCTTGTCTAAAGAGGATTCCTAATTTTAAACCAAACTGAGACAATTAAATTTTTATTAAAGTAACGTTTTGTTCAAAAAAATTCCTGTGGCATATTTTTTATTAAATGTCCACAAGATAGCTGGCACTAATCTAGACCCTGGAAATCCAACTGAAAGCAAAACACATAGTTTTTGCCCACAGAGCTTATATACTAGTAAGGGGAGATAAATTATAAGCCAGCAAATAAATAAAAACATATGTCCTGTATTACAGTGCGTTAAGAGATAACACCAAGTAATGTCTTCTTAAAAAAAAAAAAAAAGCAATGCAAGGATTATGTGAGATTACATGGTCATCTCCAGCAAACACTTCTATAAGGCATAATTAGCCTCATAGGAGTGGCAGGTGTTTGTGAGCACTTTACATGCATACTTGACCTAGGACATGAACTACGTAAGGGAGCAAGTCAAGGCAAGGTTTTGGAGAAAAGATTCCAAGCTCACGGAGGATCAAGGGCCGAGGCAGGAAGGAGCTTGCATTTACACAACTGAAAGGGAGGGGGGCAGGGTCTGGATCTTGGAGGACCTCGTGGGTTTAGTGAAGACTTTGGAGTGCAGTAGGAAACAACCAGAGGATTTTAAGCAAAGGAGTGATATGATTGGATTTACATTTTTTAAAAAGTCAGTCTGGGCACTTGGAGAGAATGAATTAAAGGGAAACAGGAGTGAAATCAGAGTGACAAATCAGAAGACTATTGCTTTGATCCAGACAGCAGATGATGGCTGCTTGAAACAGGATAGTTGTGGTGGAATTTCAGGATGTCTGGGATCTCTTCCTCTTCTGAATTCCTGTAACATTTTGTTTATATCCCTTCTTTTGTACTATAATAATCCTGTACTCCCATTTTAGACTCTTTTGGTAGCAGAAACTAAACCTTGCTCACCTCTATTTTCTCCTGGTTTCTGAATACATTTTATGTAGCAGGTAGTTGATGATTATTTATGCAAAATAAACAAAATTATAGTATTCTCCTTTGATAATTGTATTGTTACATGAAAATGCACATATTGTATTTGGATAACCAAAATTAAGAATAAAATATTTGTTATATGTTTTAAGGTTTAAATCATATGGGATTTTTTTTAGTTTGGCTTTATTTTTATTCCCTTGCGTAATACTGCCAAGGATGAATTTTATATGTACTCCTGAGTTAAATCAGTACAAATAAAGCTTCAAGCAATTTTTAAGCGAATGAAAAATATATTTTTCACTGTCTCATATCTTAAAAATAACTGAGACAATTTAATTTACTCTTTCTAAAGTGAGGGCATTGGGAGAGGAATGGTAGTGAAGAGATGTGGAACAAATAAAAAAATAACAAACCTGTATGTCCTGCACATGTATCCCAAGACTTAAAATAAAATAAAATAAATTTTTAAAAATAATAAATAAATAAAACTTATCTCATAAGACCAAGGCTAACATTTCAATTGCAAGCAAATATCTTGAATGTTGTAAACAAGTTAAGATGGAAATTGAAATGAAAATTCTTTTCACCTTTGAAGAAAAGCTTCTGCAGTTTAACATCAAAGGTCCTAAACTAAGATAAATCTTTTGGGTTTTGAAAGAATAATTCAAGAAAACACTGCTTGAGGAAGATCATGAATACATCTGATACATCCTTAGCGAGAAAAGATTGTGGAAACATATTGTGGAAAGAGAAATATAAGAACATCAAAGGTTGAATCTAATGATCTATATTTGTGCACTGTTTTTTCCTCACTGATTATAACTTCTTATCCCATTCCCTATCCCTATCAACAAGCATCTCATCTGCAATAAGGTTATTCTGTCCTCTATGATAAATATTACCCCAGCATATACATACACATATATCCAAAAAATAATCACATGGATTCCATAATATATAGAAACACTGATTTAAAAAATCAGAATTGAGGAACTAATGAAAAGGTGGAATACAGAGGAAATATTCATCATATATTAAATCATCTCAAGAGCATCCTGTGGAAAAAAAATACATCATAAGGATATGAGCTAACTGTTGGCCAAATGGAAGAAATAGGAAGGAAGTGCTTATTGGAGATTTATTTGGAGAAAACTGGTCAACAACCACTAAAACAAATGCTAAAGACATATTTCATGTTGTGTTATTACAGTGGTTTCCCATCTTTCATCAAAGTCACACTGTCATCCCTTATGATAACCTACTGTCTTATGTCCACTTTGAGAACTGGTGCTCAAAATTCAGCAAATTTCTCCTTGTAGAGTTAGTTATACCAAAACTCATCTCCTGCTTATTCTGCAGATATTGCTCAGCAAAACTTTCCTGACTAGTGGAAATTTACTTGTTACATGCTGTCTTGGAACTGAAATTTTTAGATCCACTACCATGATTATTTGTTAAAGCCTGTCTCATTCACCAAACTGGTGGGTTTGACTGACATTGGTGTCTCAAAATGTAGTACTAGACACTTCATAATATTTGTCAAATGAATGAATGCAGTGCATTTATGCCTCGAATTTCTTAGCTCAATTTTTTGGCCGAAAGAACTGCCAGAGAGAAACAAGTTCTCTAGCAGTTGTAATTAATACTCTTTCTACCATACAGTTGCTTAAAAGGAGTTTTTTCAATAAATTGAGAAATTTTGACAAAATATATTTATGTTCATGTTAAATATATTCAGAATCAGACTTCTATATTGGCATAATAGAGAGCTAATCTTTTTAAGTGCCCATGTAATATACTAAGACAGAGCAAATACTGGGCCATAAAATAATGAAAAATATTAAAAATTGAAACCATACAGAGTGTGTTCTCTGAACAAAATAGAATCAAACTGGAAATCAATAACAGAAAGAAAATAGAGAAATCTTCAACCTCTTGGAAACTAAACAACACATTTCTGAATAATGCAAGAACCAAAGAGGAAGTCTCAAGGAAATCAAAAACACTTTCAACTCAAAACGGATTATGGACTTAAGTGTAAAATGTAAAACTATGAAACATTTATAAATAAGAGGAAAATCTTTGGAATCTAGGACTAGGCAAAGAATTATTAAACTTGACACCAAAAACATGATTTCTGACAGAAAAATTCATAAATTAGAGCTCATCAAAATTACATCCTTTTGCTCCATGAAATACCCTGTTAAAAATATAAAAAAGAGAAGCTACAGGATTGGAGAAAATATATGCAGAACATATATATCAAAAATACTGTATCTAAAATATATATCTATATATCCCATATTATATGTGGAATATAATTTATTCATATCATATATGGAATATTATATACATACCTCAAAATGCAACAGTAGAAAGACCATCCAATTAATTACAAGACAAGCAAAGACAAAAGACATTTCACCAAACAGTATACACAGGTGGAAAATTTGAACATACAAAGATGTTCAACATCATCAACCATTAGGGAAATGCAAATTAATACTACAATGAGATACCACTGTTCATCTATCAGAATGACTAAACAAAAAGTAGTGACAACACTAAATGCTGGTGGGGAAGCTGAGGAGCTGAGTTGCTTATAGTTGGCTGGTGGCTATTAACTGCTGCTCTGGAAAGCAATTTGGAGGTTTCTTTAAGGGAAAAAAAAATGAGTATTATATAACCTAGAAATTGCATTATGGGTATTTATCCGAGAGAAATGAAAACTTATTTTTATACAAAAACCTGTACACAAATGTTTATAGAAGCTTTATTTGTATAGCTCTTAACTGGAAACAACACAGCTATCATTCAATAGGTATATGGTTAACTGTAGTACATATCATGGAATATTACTAGGTAATAAAAAGGAACAAACTATTGATCCAGTCTACTACCTAGATTAATCTCCAGAGAATTATGCTAAGAAAAAAAAATCCAAAAGATTTTTATACTTTATAACTTCATTTATATATCATTATTGAAACAATAAAATTAGAGACATGAAGAACAAATTAGTGATTGGCAATGATAAAATAAAAATGTAAGAATATTTAAATTTTAAAGAAATAGTGATCAAATAAACTCTTTAAAATTTAAATGTGCTTGAGTTTTTCTTTTGTTATATCTGGTGTCAGAAGTGAGAATCTGAAGGACACTACCCAATGAAGACATCTGGGAGCAACAAGCAGGCAGGTGTAGACCCCCTACTGACCTCATGCTCCCTGCTTCTTGCTGCACATTTGCAAGTCATCACTGGGAATCCCCATAGGATACAAGAGCCCCACAACTTCTGTTGTTTCTCCAAGTTTACTTGAGCATTTTTTATTTCAACTGGGTTTGAAAGTTGCAACAGAAATAAGACTGGGTCCGGTAGGGAGGCTTCAGATTTCTGACTGTGTCAGACAGAAACTGAATTGGGTTTAATGAAAGACCTCTGGTAAAAAAAAAAAAAAAAAAAAAGCTTCCAGAAAGACAGAACATAATGGATTTCTTTAAATCCAAGGAGTCTGAGACTCCACATCAGAACCTCTAGAAAAATAGGTAAATCTTACCAAAATTTAGAATTTTTTGGGTCACAATGAAGTTGTAACCCAAACCAAATTGCTCATCTATAGGGAAAAAAAAACAAAACAAAACATCATGAATGCCTCAGAAACAATGGGATGCATTTTGGATTGGCATATAGATGCTTCTAAGCACTGTATCTGTCTCTCTATCCTCCTCTGTACTCTGAATCTGCTAACATTTTTACTGGTTTGCTTGCCTCCCCCCAACAAAGAGTTGGTGGAGAAACAGCTAGATAAGTGATTGCTAATGACAGGTTCTCAGATCAACCAGGTATGCTTTCTTTGAGACAGGATCTCGCTTTGTCAGCCAGGATGGAGTGCAGTGGTATGTTCTCAGCTCACTGCAGCCTCAACCTCCCAAGCTCAAGCAATCCTCTCACATTAACCTCCAAAGTAGTGGGTCTATAGTCATATGCCACCACACCTGACTAATTATTTATTTATTTGTTTATTTATTGATTGATTTTGTAGAAACAGGACCTCACTATGATCCCCAGCCTGGTCTTGAGCTCCTGGACTCAAGTGATTCTCCTGCTTTGGCCTCACAAACTACTGGGATTACAGGCATGAGCCACCATGCGGGGCCCAGTCTGCTTTTAGCCACCCTTATGCATTGGTTACAATCTTGGCGCTCAGAGCAGTAATGAAAGGTATCCCTGTTGGCAAAGGAAAGGCTTTGTCTGTCCTATGCATTAATGAGTTTCACCCTAAACTTAGTAATCTAGTTAAATCCATGTTGATAGGATCCAGAGAAGCTCAAATTGGACGCAAGAGTCAGAATGGTACTGCCTTTAGGATATTAGTGATCACAAACCCCTATCTGGCCCATGTATGAGCCAGTAAAAGAAACACACACACACACAGTCTTTTGAAAGCCATTCCTAAAGTGTTTCCTGTCCATGCTGACTGATCCATCAACTAGACCTGCAGAGAAAAGAAATTGCTACTGATTTCAAAGCCCACTTGGAGAATATATTAGTCCATTCTCACATTGATATAACCAACTACCTGAGATTGCAGAGTTTATGAAAAAAGAGGTTTAATTGACTCACAGTTCTTCAGGCTGTACAGGAAGCATGGATGAAGAAGCCTCAACAAACTTACAATCATGGTGGAAGGCGAAGGGGAGGCAGGCACATCTTCACATAGCAGAGCAGGAGAGAGAGAACAAAGGGGGAAGTGCTACACATTTTTAAACAACTGTTAATGACAACAGATTGTCATTAAATGTCTGCGTTATTTCTTTTTTTTTTTTTTTTTTTTTTTTTTGAGACGGAGTCTCGCTCTGCCGCCCAGGCTGGAGTGCAGTGGCGTGATCTCGGCTCACTGCAAGCTCCGCCTGCCTGGTTTACACCATTCTCCTGCCTCAGCCTCCCGAGTAGCTGGGACTACAGGCCCCGCCACCACGCTCGGCTAATTTTTTTTGTATTTTTAGTAGAGACAGGGTTTCACCGTGTTAGCCAGGATGGTCTCAATCTCCTGACCTCGTGATCCGCCCATCTTGACCTTCCAAAGTGCTGGGATTACAGGCTTGAGCCACTGCGCCCGGCCTAAGTTAAAATACTTTAGCATTAATTGCTGAACATAAGTTTAAAGTATATATATTTTGGCATCTCGTTTTTTATATGGAATAAAGAAGTTGAATGTGTATAAATCCATTAATTAAAGACATAAAAATTGTATTATGAGAGAATGTTTATCTACAAAATGCTAATCTAAAGCAGTTAACAATGCCTACTAGTTTTTAGTAAAAGTTAAAGTTACTAAAAGTTAAAAATTCGGATTATTATATGTAATACAAACTTCTAGAAACAATAAGTGAACGACTCTGTATGCAAGGCAAGTAGGCATGTTTTATAAAGAAAGAAGTATGAGGATGTGTTTTGAAAAGAGAGTAGTTTTTGTCCTAGAGTGACTAATTGCTCCACAATTAAAAAGATAAAGAATATAGGACAAACTGAATATATATATATATATATATGCTGGGTGTGGCGATGCATGCCTATAGTCCCAGCTACTTGAACGGCTGAGGTGGGAGAATCGCTTGAACCTGGGAGGCAGAGGTTGCAGTGAGCTGAGGTTGTGCCACTGCACTCCACCCTGGGTGACAGAGAGAGATTCCAACTCAACAATAACAACAACAACAGAAAAATAAATAAATAAAAGCACCTATATGGCCAATCACTATTCTTACTGTCTTGCTGCACTTATATAAATAGGCCAAGTTTGATGAGACTAAATTTATTTGGTAATCAAATTATTCTTACTCTGATTATCTTCAGTAAAAATTTGGATGACTATAGAGAGAAAAACTATGTTTCAGAAGAAACTATAGTACACCTGTTATTAGATCGTGGCTCTAATCATTGCTTTTGAGTTTCATTATTTACCTATAAATTAAACTGGATCTTGAATTGGTATAGATTCCCACAATCCAATTTTCTCCCACTTTCCTGACTTGGAATCACTAAAAAGAAGAACTGCTCTGTTTCTGAAACACGACAAGCTGTAGATCAACAATTGGATGTAATTTCAGAGGATATCCCTCATGCCTGACGTGTGGGCCACTCAGGAAGTTGCCTGAAATGTCCAATGCCATAAGCAGGGACACTCAAACTGCAAACCGGGAACATATGCCTTGAGCTAAAATCTAGAAACCTTCTTGACTAATTACCCTCTGGACTCAGAGCTGAATTTTTGGTTTATTTTCGTCATTGACCTTTGCTTTTCTTCTGTTTCTTTAGAAATAGTTGATTTGGTTCAAGGGGACCTTGATTAAGGGGCACACTCCACTTTCTTGGTACTATCCTCCTGATAGCCATCATTATAATCGTCCTGGCATGTTATATTTTCTCAAGGGTCTTAAATTTGTGTTTGCAGACATCGACAGTATGCCAGATGGTCTCACTGTGATCAGAGCAACAAAAATAAAATGAAAAACAAAAGGAATCTCTTCAACAAGCCTGATGCCTTAACTTATGAGTTCCACAGAGACAAAGACAACTCTGTCATGATGATCATACAGACTGACTCTCATGCCCGAAATGGTCAATCTCTCATAAATAAGAGGCTCATCAAAAGGAGAGAATTATTTTTTTAAAAAAATCGAATTGGGAAGCCGTTGGTCTCACTTTAAATTCCTATATAAGCAGACCAAAGTGCAATGTCAACAGTAAACAGAAACTAGAAACTGCACCAATAAGAAACCACCAACTAACCTGTAACTAGAAACTTTCCACTCTAACCAATCAAAACTATTCTATTTTTCTTGCTTCTACAAAGATTTCATAAAAATTTTCCCTTTCACCTCTCCCAGCAAAGTGCTAGCCACTTGAGGACTGGTATTGCCCGGATTCATGAAACTGAATGCACAAATAGACTCTAAAATTTATTTTTACCAGCAGGAATTGAGGAAAGTGTAGAAATAGGAGGGAAATAAATGTGGCTATAAAAGTGTACATGAGGGATTGTGATGGAAATGTTCTGTATCTAGAGTGTATCAATATCAATATCCTGGTTGTGAAACAGTAGTATAATTTTGCAAGACAATACCATTGGGGAAAACAAGGTGAAGAATACCTGGAATCTCACTGTACTTTTTCTTACAATTGCATGTGAATCTACAATGACCTCAAAATAAAAAGTTAAATTTATAAATTATAAGGTAAATATAGTTATTACTCCAGTTTACAACTAAGAAAACTAAGGCAGAATTCATTTACATGATTTGCTCATCATGACAGGATTATTAAGGAAGACTTAGAATTTGAACCATTTTGGTTTTGACAGTCGATTCCTCACTCTCTTTTTTTATTGTTTCTTTTATTATTATTACTATTTTTTTTTGAGACGGAGTCTCGCTCTATCACCAGGCTGGAGTGCAGTGGCGCAATCTCGGCTCACTGCAATCTCTGCCTCTCTGGTTCAAGCGATTCTCCTGCCTCAGCCTCCCAAGTAGCTGGGACTACAGGTGCCTGCCACCACGACCAGGTAATTTTTGTATTTTTAGTAGAGACTGGCTTTCACCATGTTGACCAGGATGGTCTCAATCTCCTGATATCATGATTCCCCTGCCTCAGACTCCCAAAGTGCTGGGATTACAGGTGCGAACCACCACGCCCGGCCCAATTCCTCACTCTTAATCCTGAATCTTTACACCTTTTACTTTTCTTCTGGCTGCATATGGTCCATAACTAAGTGGGATTTTGCTTATGATTATGCAAATTACATTTTAGAAAATAATCTTGTAACATTCCAAGATAATCAATATTAGTAAACAGCAAGTTCAAGTTCACTACAAATTATTTCACACCATACATTAAATACCAATATTCGAACCCTCATAAATTATTATAAACATAAAAATGTGTATAATATAATATGTACGTACAAAATTAAATTTTTGTGAACTAGATATATGTGGATATTCTAATTCAAATTGTATTTCGTGCAATAGCTTACAAGGGCTACTTGCTTGTTTATAAAGGTAATGAAAAAGAGCAGCGTATTTTTCAAATAATTGCTTGTAGATCAAACAAAGTCAATGTAAGTCTCAATTCAGCCTTCAGTCTCAAGTAAGTCTCTTCATTAACGAGCATAATGATATAAAATCTATTTTAATTCTTAAACCATTAATGAGATTGATTTTTTGGTTATATTGAGGCAGCAGTTCTACATTGAAAATATTGTGACCTGACATGTTATCATGTTGTGTAACGTTTCTGTGAACAAAGATTTAAAGATATTCTAAATCTCTTCTTTAAAATCAAATATAAGTGGTGATAATTAATTGAAGTTATTTCCTTAACTTCTCACCTGTTTTTGTTTTCATTTTATTCTTACAACCTTATGAGGCAGAGAGAATACGATCGACTATGCATGACAGATGAAGAGAGAGGCAGAGGAAGAACACCTAATCAGTCTACATTCTTCTAACTAATAACCTAAGTGAATGCTAAATTGAATAATGTCATTTGAAATAAAAAGTTTGTGAATTAGCCTGATTTAATTATTCACATTGTAAATATATACCAAAATATCACGTTGTACCCCACAAGTATATGGAATTATTATTTGTCAATTAAAATTAAAATTTCAAAAGAAGAACATGAGAAAAAAAAATTCAGGTAGGTTTCCACAGAACAGAGTGACAAAATAATGAGTCAATATAGTGTAAACAAAAAGGTACCAGTATATAAAGCTGGTCCAGAAGTCATTTATTGAAGCACAACAGATCGATGATGAACTCTGTTTTTGTGGATTTAGGTAACAGTATCAATAGAGGTTAAACAAACAATAGTCGTCCATATCAGACTGTGACTGTGCTTAAATCCCCAAATGGTTATAGGGTCAATAGGCAACTTACACATTGCTCTTTTATAGGGTCAATAGTCAAGTTATACATTACCCTTTTTCTGTCTCATTTTCCTAGCATATTAAGGAAAGAAGATGCTAGCAATTACATGTTGTTATTTTAAAAATGAGACAAGATACTTACATAAAATACCTAGTGAGTTACTGCCTCAATGCAAGTGTTGAGTCAGTGGTAGAAGCAGTGAACATTGCAATTATGATCATCAATGAACAAAAAAGTTTTATTAAAGGAAAGAGGGGAGGAAACCTGTTATTAGCAGGAAAGCTAATAGTGGCAGTTGCTTTATATTTGGTATGTCATTAACTCTAGACAAAGACATACAGATACTCCAAGTTGAAAGAATTTTTTAAAATGGGCATTTTGCCAAATTTTATCAAGGCATTTATTGAGTTAAAGAATGCATCAAGTATTTTGAACAGCACCTGACATACAGCAAATGTTCAGCATGTTAGCTCCTATTACTATCACTATTGCTAAGTAGTGAAGCAATGATTAGAATCTGTTCTGTCTGACACCAGTGCACATCACACATCATAGAAGTGTTAATTAGCAGTGTTTTTGAGGTTAGGTTGTAAGTCATCTACAAAGAACAATAAATATCTACACTCAGGAGACTGGAGAGAAAAAAAAGTAAAATAAAGTCTATTTCATTTGTTCCCAAATTTACCATCACTAAAAGAAGTCTAATTAAAGTTACTGAATTTCTATTAAGGACCAAACCATAAATAGATGTGATGATTTGGGGATGAATAATATACATTGTCTTGCTCCTCAGAGAGTTCATGGATGAGTAGGAGCAACTAACATTTGGGCAAATAATCTTATGCAATGTGGCAGTTACCATAACAGAAATAGGTGAAGAATAATAGGATAATATATAATTAATTTTTTAGTAGAAGAAGAAAAACTACAAATGTTTCTAAAATCACTACCTATATATGAAAACTCACATATATGTGAAAAACTATGTATACATGCCATAAAGACATAAATATATATACTCATTATATATATATAATAAGTAGTATTAAAGGAAGAAGGAGAGGAAACCTGTTATTAGTAGGAGTATATATTATATAGAGAGATAGAGAGAGACTATATATATATATATATATATATACATATATATATATACATATATATATATATATATATATACTCATTCATTCATTTTAAGCATGCTTGCAAGTCAGGGCACCACATTGTCATCATATGCCAATCATTGTATAATTACTTGATCCAAATGTCCAGTTGAAAATCAAACCAAGTAAGGTTTGATAAAACCCAGAAAGTAATCTAAGTCTTTTATATTGGGGTCATCGCTGACACATTTATTGCACTCAAGAAATATGATGTTCTCTAACATTATAAAAAAGGATTTTGAACAAAGTTAACATTGAAAACTTCATAGCCTATTATTTCTGTCATCTCTATATATTATCATTCATAAAAATTAGTCTCTGAAAGCAGAAATTCTATTGTCTTATGCTTTACATAACAGACTATTATTATCTGAAATTAGAAATAGTCTAGTAATAAATATATGAAGACATTTGCTACTGATTGCTTTGGGCAGACGTTTTGCTTGAGATATATTGATATTTGTCTTTATAAAGTTTAACTTCTGTACATTCCAAAACCACTACATTACCATGATGTTCTCATTTATGAGCTATCTCATGGAAAGTATTCCATTTTTTGCAATGAAAGAAATGAGATGCCTTTCTCCAATCATTGTTACATTGTGCAGGTTTTTATATTTTCCTTTTTCAGCTTCCCACATCGCATGTCATTATAACAACTACATTATAAACTAAAACAAGTGATTATATTGGAAAATAATGGGGCTTGGGAAGGAATAGTCTTCCATGCAATAATTTTTTCTCTGCAGAATAAAATATTCTAATTTGCTCCCGACTCAGTGCTTGAAATAATGGACATGATGTTTTCTAAAATTAAAAACAGTAAAGTGACAAGAAAAAAGAAATTTAGAATATCATTTTAAATAATAAAACAGTCAATACTGCAAAAAGATAAACGATGCAAAGTAAACTCAAATGTTTGGAGACTGCATCGCCCAGACCCATCACCATTTACCAAATAAGGTGTGTTCCACTGGCCCTCTAGTGGTGACGTGTTAGAATCATAGATTCTTCCACTCGAAGGGTAAAAAAAGCTGTCTTCTTTCAGAAGTACTAAAGTGAAACATGTTCCTGTAAATGCCATATTCTAGGAATGTATTTTTAAATCTCCGTGTGGGATGTAAGTAGAAAAATTTTCCTCAGCCAATGTGGGGTTTCTTCTTGTACCCCTCAATAAAAGCTATGTCAAGTGAAGATGACAAATTGGGATACCACATGGTACATCATAATAACCCAGTACTTTTGCCACATTAAGTTTTGCAAAAGGTTGCAAATGAGTCATAGCACAAAGTTCTGCAAGCCCTGCAACATCTCCCTCCATTGCACCTTAATTCTTTTCAGCAAGCCCCGTCTTACTGGAGCCCTGGCATTTTCTTTAAAAGGGAGTGCCCCATTGTTATAATGTTTCTATGACGGACAGAAATTACTCTGCGGTTTCAGACTGAAGAGCAAGTGCAGTTACCTCCTGCATTGCCATCCTCTTAGCAAAGCTTTCTGATGTTTCTGGACAGATAATCCTCCTGAGGAAACCCCCTCAATAATGAAGGTATTACAAATAATACATGTTATACCATCCACTAGACCTTATTTGGTTCTTGGCCATAACGAACAGTGGTCTTTAGGAGGATGTCACAGCTCCCCGGCACTAAAGTGTGTCTAGGACTCATTTTCATAACTTAATGCACAAATATCCAAAAAGGAATCAGCAGCTGTCTCTCCTCGAGTTTCTTTTACCTTCCTTTCTTTTTTTTTCCTTTTTCTTTTCTTTTCTTTTCTTTATTTATTTATTTATTTTTGAAATAGGGTCTAGCTCTGCTGCTCAGGCTACGGTGCAGTGGTGCAACCATGACTCACTGCAACTTCAAACTCCCTGGTCCAAGGGATACTCCCACCTCAGCCTCCCAAGTAGCCTGGACTACAGGCACATGTCACCATACCTGGCTAATTAAAAAAAAAAAAAAAAAAAAAAAACTTGTAGAGATGGGATCTCCCTATGTTGCCCAGGCTGGTCTTGGACTCCTGGGCTCAAATGATCCTCCTGCCTTGGCCTCCCAAAGTGCCGGGACCACAGCCATGAGCCACTGCACCTACAGCCCCACCCATCTAAAAAACAAAACAAAACAAAATCAAAACTTTTCTACAGTACAAGAATTCTATGTTTATGTAATAATTGAAAATAATATTTTATCAATACAACTTCTGACTAAAGTATGGTTGCAGAGCTCTGGGATTAGTGCTGTGTACGAGGAATGGGAAATTAGACAGTATGTGTGCTTATTCACTCCACAATATTCTGTTGCAAAAACCATGGCAGTTAGTGGGGACAGCGTTGACTCAAAATGAACAAGTTAGTTGGAAGGAAGGAAGGAAGGAAGGAAGGAAGGAAGGAAGGAAGGAAGGAAGGAAGGAAGGAAGGAGAGGGAAAGGAAAGGGAGAAAAAGGAGACAGACAACAAAAAAGAAGGAAGGAGGGAGAAAGAAAAGAGTCAATGTGTCCTGTTTACATGAAAACCTTTTAAAGCACAATATTTCTTCAAGGCAGGCAGAGATAAAACAGATCACTTTTCAATAATTTACTCTGAGTTACTAAGATCTTTATTTTTCTTTTTCTCTTTTCTTTTTTGAAGGAGAATATTCAGGTTGATAATCAGGGTTAAAGTACCATGATATTGTAAAAGTCAAATACACAACTACATGCTTCTTTTGCAACCAAAATTTCCTTTATTGTATACATTTAAGAGTTGTGATACTTATTCTACTTCACTGTAAAAACAAAGAAATGTCACACTTAACACCTGCAGGTAGAGACAAGTTACGTTCATGTTAAATTCATGGCAGTAACATAGCATCTTTTTCAGTTTCATTTAAGATTCTGCTTTTCAGAATTCATTTGCCACTACCCGTTTTAATGCCTAGAATTGTGTTAAAGAATATTAGTTCTCTAATCTTCACTTAGTTTTATAATATTTAATGCTCTTTTGACTTCAGAATATTTCCTTAAATAAAAAAGATATACATATATTTGCAGTATATATATTCATAATTGTATATGCTATTACATGCATGCAATATACATATATGTATATATACATTTGCATACAAACACACACACACACATTTCTATGTATTTGCATCTTGACCATGTATTAAATACCTGAGTTTTTTCTCAGTATAAACTTTAGGATATATTCTAGAAATGTTATTAAGAATGAAGAAAGAAGACTGAAAGAGAGAAAATGCATTCTATTCCAAAACTAAATAATATTAGGTTGGCATACATTGACTTTCAATGGCATAAACCTCAATTACTTTTGTGCCAACCTAAAAATTCAAAAGATTTTAGTCTAATGTAATTTTATTATACAATGGAAAATTATTTTAGCAGTTAAAAATACTTGGTAAGATCATCAATGCCATGCATACAGTTGGGGCTACAATAAAACACATCCATATTAATGTACATAAATGCTGAAAGGGAAAATCATGCATTATTTTAGGTTGTAAAGTTTTAAGTTAGAGATTTCTATCTAACTTTTTAGGCCTCCTGAGTCCTGATCCTTCAAGGATGCCTTATAGATTGGTGGTTAACACCATCAAAGATGGAGTAAACAGACTAACCTAAATAGAATCCTGGCTCTGTTATTTAGTACCTGTGTGCCTTTAATTTAGATATGTCTAGTCTCTGAATCTATTTTCCTAATGTAAAATACTACCTAACTCTGCATTTATTCAAAGAATTAGAAGAGACAGAATATGCCAAGTTCTTTTGCACAGAAAGTTTTACATTTTAAGAGCTAGGTAAATGGTGACACATTATTATTATTATCATTATTATTATATAAGAAAAATGAATCAGGCAATAAGATTATTTGGGGCAAAGATGGGAGTAGGGAAATTATAGGTTAGGGAAAAGGAGGGCAGGCTTGTTACTTGTTTTGTGAAAAAAATGATATACTTTAAGGAATTGAATTCATTGAGTAATTTCTAAGTTCTCCATTTTAATTGGGGTTTTTGTTCACTGACTCTGTGATTGTTACTTGGTTCATCTGAATTTTATTTCTAAAAGTCTCTTTATCATGAGAGAGGAAAAATGTAGGTAAAAATGATTGATATAACACTCAAACACTGTCTGCTGTTTTATGTACTCAAACAAAAGTGTTAAGTGTATGCTTCAAGAATAAATTATAATTATCAGCTTTTAGAATAAAGAAAGCCTTCGGTTATAGAATGGTTCTGCCTAAATGATACAAACGACTCAGTTATCTCACTGCTACTACATCTTTTAGCTCTATCAACCTGCTATTTGATACAAAATTAGAAGTGATTTTTAAATATTTCTAAATTCCTCCACTTCATAGGTCAGAGTTACCCCAAAATGAACACTACTTTATGCTGATTTCATTAGTCATAGGGAAGCAACTAAACAAAAACTTGAAATTCTGCAACCTGGATTCACAATCCCCACTCCCTGCTTCTCTATTATCTTAATAATCATATGAGATTCAGAAATTAAGCTGGAACACTCTGATCTAAACTGCGCAAAGTTGAATGCAGTTAAAAAATCTTATAACAATTTCCAAGGTGACATGGTTTACCTTGAAAGTGCTGCATATGTATTGAAAGCAAAGCTTTGACTTTAGGAGAACTATCAGGTTTGGGGTAAACAAATAAATTTCAAGGTTTGAGTCCACAACCTAAAGGTCAAAAGATACATGATGTGGATGTATGTGACACTGCTTTACACTGAAATAATTATGCAGAGATTAACTTCATAGTGATTAAAAAAACTAAAATTGTATTCAAATGAGTATTTCAGATTACTATGTTAATTTGAAACAGTGGAACGTCACTGGTCTCATCTAAGGTAGTATCTGATCTTGTTGTCTCATGACTGAGACAATTGAGGACACAAAGAGAGTGAGGTTGGAGTGAAAGTTTAATAAGTGAAAGAAAAAAGCTCTCCTCAGTGGAGAGGGGAACCCAAGTGGGTTGCTGTTTTTACAGTTGAATCCAAAAGCTTTTATGAGAAACTCCTCTCATCTCTATAGCTGTTTGAGTAACTTCTCTTATCCATAAAGCTGTCTGCATAATTCCCCCTTGCGTATGTAGTTCTGGGTATGTCTCTAGGCAGGCACAATGTGCACTTCTTTTGTTTGTATAAATGTGGGTTTGTTTTAGGTAAGCCCCTCTCCTCCCTGTGCAAGTTCCCATCGTATACATGTCTGAGAAGGGGAGGAAACTTTTCCTGGGTGCCTGCCAATTACACAAAGAACAAAAGGCTTCTGTGTTGGACCATGCCTGCTTTGCCTGCTTATCTGTGCAGGTGCAGCCCAAGTTTTCCCCAGCCTGCTCTATTTTTGCCTGTAGCTGTGATTTTTCAGGCAGGGTGCTTCTCTGAGGACCAGCCTTAACTGTTTACCTAATTGGTGTTTATCCTTTTCTTCTGTATCAAATTGATGGCTGCTAAAGAGTTCTGCAGAAACTAGCTAAGTTACATGATAGAATTTTGTAAGTGAATGTTGCTTTTAAGAGGTTAATGTATTTTTATTTGTTGAGTTCCTGTGAAGATGTTACTTTTTATGTCTATTTGTTACCCGTTTTTCTAACTATAATTTATATTTAATCCTTTGGTAATAATAATTACATTTTGCACAAGTACAAGAAATACTACATTAGAAAAAGACAAACACAAACCATGTCATCTACAGACAGAAATTTTGCTTCATTTGTTTTATTTGCACATGAGCAAACAAAAATGTGGGAGAGAAAAATATTGAAAGTTGTGCTTTTTAAAAATTTTTTATTGCAATAATTGTTTCAGAGTCCTCTTTTTAAATATTCTTGGCTACAAAATCATACCTTTTATTTTATTACTCTTCATTTGATAATATGATTAAACATTTTCTGCTTAAAGTATTTAACATTTGGAAAACACAGAATTTCAACAAATAAAAATTTTAGAAACTTTTGGTTATAAACAGTATTTCATTTATATCATCTACTCAATGGGATTGCTTAGGGAAAAGAGAGTACATACAGCTAACGGACATATTTGATAATTGCATACCAAGAACTTTCTTCTGAAACAACAGCTTGCAATTTTAATGCCCTTTCCTTTAATACATAGTAATGAAAGGGAATCTGAGTTAGATTATAAAATGAGTTTATGAAAGCCCACCAAACTCTGGAGAAAAAACACATCATTACTGGCTCTATGAGTGAACTTTCAGGTAGAGAATGTCATACTCAATGTAAGAGTATATTTTAAAGCTTTCTCTGTAACTTTTCTTCAATTAGTTATTAAACATTTGACACCAGAAATATTAATATACACAAGCTGTCCACAGGAGTTCCTATTTCTACAGAAGAAATAAACATGTAAACAGACACAGAATGTAGCATGTTTTCATAGTGTATAGACATATCACTTTAATGACCCATAAAAGGAAATAACTAACTTGAAAGCCTGAGCAAACCCATCCATCATACATACATAAATAATCCATATGTACATCCACATGGTTACAATTACTGCCTATTGATTCACTGCTTCCAAATATTTATCTTTAGCCAAGACTCTTAGTGAGTTCAAGGTTCAAATATTTAACTATATACTTGCATTCCCATGTAGATGTCCCCTGGGCAAAACTCAAATCATTCAGAAGTTTTTCTGTACAAGTCAAGAAAACTTATTTATTGGCTGAAATAGGAAAAAAAATGGGTAACTTTTATAGTTGTTCTATAAAACACGTGAGCTATCCATGGTCTCCGTCCTGGTTTCAAATGGAAGATATTCCCTGTCTGGGCTTTTGTACTCAACATGGGCACTCGGCAAAGGACAGATAGCGATGACCTTCTTGTGCTAGGACTTGGGTGCTTGGGGATCAAAGTTTATTTTGGATTTGTTCTTACAGAAAAAAAGGAGACCTGAGCAGTAGATTTGATACCACAGCATAATCTGAAGGAACAACCAATCTTACGTATTCTCCTTACCCCTTGGTTGGGACTCAGGGTTCCTTTGTGTACTCATGGTCATCAACTCCAGGTCCTGCCTGTCAGAGTACATCTGTCTTTTTCCTGGACCCTTCTCTCCCTAGAAAATATCTTCTAAGTGGGAGCTTATTTTTCATTGACTTATTTCTACTTTAAATCCAGTCTAGGGAGTGAAAGTCAATATTTTATTGGTCCAACTATTTTTATCTTACTTAGAGTGACAGGTAATTTAAGGTTAAAAACATGTTTCTCTGACCAGATCAAGCTATTTGTCTCCAATTCACAAAATGTTTAATCATAAAAATTCTATCTGAACATTAAATATTATCATGATCCACCTGTGCTTTAAGCATATTTTTCTTCTTTTTATATCTTTGAATTTTCAAAAGAAATACATCCTTATTTTGAAAAATTCATTCATTTCAAACTTTTCTAATTTCCCATCTCTTACAGTCCTTCTTCCATCTTCAATTTTAAAGAGACCTCTGATTTTCTATAACCTTTAAGGCCATGAAAGAATTCCAGTTATTACATTAGAAATGTCATCAATTATGCAAACAAATCAGAGCTGCTGCTAATATCTAGCAACTGTGCAAAATTACCTTACGTAGAGTAAGAAATATCTAAGAGATAAATTTTTTGGAAGGAGATAGTGGAGAATAGAGTTCAGGCTTGGAAAATTGGAGAACTGACTTTTACAGATCCTGGGGGGAAAAGACCAAAGGAAGCTTAGAGATGAATATTCTAGCTTTAAAGAATAACCTGGAGACTTAGAAAGTATGGATGATAGCAATTGAATTCATGATATGGAGTTAGAAGTGGGAGAAGTGGAAGGATATACTACCGACTTTATGCTTTGGATATTTAGACCACTTATTTTTTCCTTCAACTTTTATTAAGTTTGTGGGTACATGTGCAGCATGTGCAGGTTTATTACATAGGTAAACGTGGGCCCTGGTGGCTTGCTGCACAGATCAACCCAATACCTACATATTAAGCCCAGCATCTTTTAGCTGTACTTCCTGATGCTCTCCTTCCCCCAACTCCACCCCTGATAGGCCCCAGTGTGTGTTATTCCCACCCATGTGTCCAAGTATTCTCATTGTTCAGCTCTCACTTAGAAGTGAGAACATGCGGTGTTTGGTTTTCTATTCCTGTGTTAGTTTGCTAAAGATAATGGCTTTCAAGCTCCACCAATGTCCCCACAAAGGACATGATCTCTTTCCTTTTTATGGCTGCACAGTATTCCATGGTGTACATGTACCACATTTTCTTTATCCAGTCTATCATTGATGGGCATTTGGGTTGATTCCATGTCTTTGTTATTGTGAATAATGCTGCATTGAACATATGTGTGCATATATTTTTATACTAGAATGACTTATGTTCCTTTGGGCGTATGCCCAGTAATGGGGTTGCTGGGTCAAATGGTATTTCTGTCTCTAGATCTTTGAGGAACCACCACACTACCTTCCACAATGGTCTAATTTACACTCCCATCAACAGTGTAAAAGCAATCCTTTTTCTCTGCAACCTTGCCAGCATCTGTTGTTTCTGGACTTTTTAATAATTGCCATTCTATTGGGCTGCTGCCATTACTTACAATGGCAAAAACCGCAATTACGTTTGCACCAACATAATAACTGATGTGAGATGGTCTCTCACTGTGGTTTTGATTTGCATTTCTCTAATGATCAATGAATCTGAGCCTTTTATCATATGTTTGTTGACTGCATAAATGTATTATTTTGAGAAGTGTCTGTTCATGTCTTTTGCCCAATTTTTAATGGGGTTGTTTGGTTTTGTGTGTGTGTGTGTTTGTGTGAATTTGTTTAAGTTCCTTTTAGACTCTGGATATTAGACCTTTGTCAGATGGATAGATTGAAAAAATTTTCTCCCATTCTGTAGGTTGTTTGTTCAATCTGATGATAGCTTCTTTTGCTATGCAGAACTTCTTTAGTTTAATTAGATCCCATTTTTCGATTTTTGCTTTTGTTGCAATTGCTTTTAGGGTATTCATCATGAAATTTTTGCCTGTGTCTACATCCTAAATGGTATCACCTAGATTTTTTTGTGGGGTTTTTGTAGTTTGGGATTTTAAATTTAAGTCTTTAATCCATTCTGAGTTAATTTTTGTATAAGGTGTAAGGAAGGGGTCCAGTTTCAATTTTCTGCATATGGCTAGCCAGTTCTCCTAGCACCATTTAGTAAATAAGGAATTCTTTCCCCATTGCTTGTTTTTGTCAGGTTTGTCGAAGATAAGACAGTTGTAGGTGTGTGGTCTTATTTATGAGTTCTCTATTCTGTTCCACTGGTCTATGTGTCTGTTTATGTACCAGTACTATGCTGTTTTAGTTGTTGTAGCCTTGTAGTATAGTTTGAAGTCAGGTAGCGTGATGCCTCTAGCTTTGTTCTTTTTACTTAGGATTGTCTTGGCTATTTGGGCTCTTTTTTGGTTTCACATGAATTTTAAAATAGTTTATTCTAATTCTGTGAAGAATGTCGTTTGTAGTTTCATGGGAATGGCATTGACTATAGACCATTTTTATCTAAGATTCCTTTAGTCAGTTTACTAGTGTGAATTGTGCATGGAAAATATTCCTGTCTATATCTTAATAATTCCTTGCCTCCTAAAATACCCTGCAACTTCCATCTACCGCCTAGGTTCAGATTCAGATACGGTGGTAGTTGTCAAAAGGAGTGGGGAGTATTGATTTGATATACCCACTTGCCATCCCAGTGCAGTCATCTGGCAATGCCTGGAGATATTTTTGGTTGTAACACTAGGGAATGCTACTGCATCTGGTGGATAGAGGCCAGGGATGCTACCAAACGTGCTAAAATGCACAGGACAACTCCCACTCCTCACCCTAACGAAGAATCATCTGGCTCAAAATGTCAATCAGGTTTGAGAAACCCTGAAAGGGAGTGTTATAAAATACTTATGTTTATTTGTTATTTGCAAGGCTGTGTTTTCCAGTACATTGTCTTATTTTAACCCATGACATCGCAGTGATCTAGATTGTCCCCATTTTGCAGATTTGGAAACTGAAGTTGAGAGTGTTCAGAGTTGCCCGATTTTCCATGACTCTTAAGGACAGGTGGCAGTCTTAAGGTCTTGAATTTTAAGTGTAAGATTTTATGCAGAATTATCTTTCCTTTATCTCAGTATGTAACTTCTGAAATGTATATCCACATAAATTACACCATATTAATGTGATGAGTTTTTATCCAAATATACATTCCTAGTAACGCATTGTTTAATTGTAGGGTTCATGTTGAAATGAAGAGCTATATACCATCTTTAAATCTTTATTTTTTTTCCTCTCCAGTATTTTCTTACCTCCTTTTTTTCTTATTCAAGTGAATGGTGCTTAATTAACTCAACTGCTCTAAACATATACCTGAGAGACATCCTAAATATCTTGCTTATTTCTACTACTCTTTCCCCTACAATCAATTATCACTGAGGCTTGCCAATTCTATCTCCTAAACATGGCTTACATTGATTACTTCCCCTCTATTCTAATCACTACTGCCCTGGTTCAGGTCTTTATCACCTTCTCTTTGCAACACTCATGCATTCATTGTTTCATTCAATTACTCCTGTTTTTATGTATCCATTTATTCAAAAATATCCCAAACAATTAGTGAGTATACATCCTATGTTCTAGGTTGCTGAGTGGGATAAAAACAAATACAATTGTTATCTAAAAGAACATTTAGTACAATGGAAAGAAAAAATAAAGGTCCTGGCAAATAACAATTATATATGTGCTCATAATGACAAAATAAACTGTTCCAGCTACTAGGAAAGCACATAGGAACACCAAAATTAGACTGAAAGCCAGGCCAACCTATCTAGAAGAAGCAGTGACTGAAATGAAACCTACAGAATCATTAGGCAAGGCAAAGGATAGGGGGTTGTAGATTTTATTACTAGTTCTAATACTTCTTTCACTGCACTCACACTTTTACCATATGACCTTGCAGTCCCTCCCACAAAAGATGGAGGACATATTTCCCATCTTTTTTACTCAGAATAGACACATGTCATTTGGTTTGACCAATTATTAGGCAGAAGTGACTGTTGTCTAGTTTTGTGACTGGGCCTTAAGGGATCTTGCATATTTTCACATTCCCTCTTGCATCTCTACCATCACCACGGAAATAACATGCCCAGGATGGCCCACAAGCTCCAAGGGGAAGATGAGAGACACTTCGAGCAAAGCCCAACTTAAATAAGCTGACTAACCAGCTGAATCCCAGCTGTGTACATAGACACAACTCACATTTTGTGGTTGTTCGATAAGCATCAATTGCAAAGCAGAAATTTTTTGTGATGGAGGTGGCATTTTAGGCAAACAGAAGAACATGTGTACAGGATTAAATAACACTTGGAAAATTACACTCTTTTCAGATAGATTGGGGCATAAAGTTGGGGCATAATGTGAGATTAGCTAGAAATGATATAAAACAAGTAATATGGGATAGATTATGCACAGCATTGTATGTCACACAAAAGATTTAAGAGTTCTTCTTGAAGAATGTAGGCAAATAAGCAGAGAGCATTAAGCAAGAGAAGATGTAAAGAGACATTCATTTTAGAAAAGTCAAGCTGACTGACTATAGTAGGGAAATGGGTTGGAGAATGTGATTGAAATTTAGAATGGCCAGTTAGGAGCTGGAAATGTTGAAAAAAAAAAAAGCCTAAACTAAGGTAGTGGCAATGGGTGTAGAAAGGAGGTAAGAAATTCAAAGAGTGCTATGGAATATATACATATTAATGTTGCTGATCACTTTTTTTGTACGCTCTGGGGATGTGACAAATATGGGTTAGGGGGATCTCAGTCTGTACTTTGATTTAGGCAACTGAATATACATAACCTTAGTAGTACCATTCACTGAGTTTTGTTTTGTGCTCTTTTTGGGAGGAGATGGGGAAGAAAAATAATCCATATGAAGATATGTTGCGTTTCAATGCCTATGAGATACTAAGAAGTAGGTATTCAGTAGAAAGTTGAAAACTTGGGTCTGCTACTTAGAAATAAGGCCTGTTTTAAACTAGATATGTGTCAGATGATTTAGAGAAACACAAGGAAAAAGTCAAGAAAAGATAGCATCAAAATTTAAGGCAGCAGTTGGGACACAAAGGGAGATAAAGTGAATAGGCTTATAAGGAACTGTCAGAAGGAGGAAAAAACAAGATAACGTGGAACAACAGGATGAAAATAGAAGACACACGTATAGTGATTATTATGTAGCAGGCACTATTCTAAACACTTTACATACATACATAGATTTAATCATTACAACAGTCTTGTCAAGTAGATATAATGATTATCACCATATTACAGACTGGAAAGTGAGGCACAGAGAGGCTACATAATGTTCTCAAGGTCTCACAGCTAATTGATGGTAGACAGGGGATTCAGAGCCTGAGTTGAGGCTCTTAGTCGCCATCTGGACAAGAGAAGAAACAAGCCTGAGAGAAAGGAGTGGCTATCAGCATCAGTTCCTGCTTGTCGAATAAAGATCTGAAAGAAGCTCATTGGTTTCAGCAACAAGGAAACATTAATAACATTTACGAAAATAGTTTTGATGGGGAGATAAAGATAGAAAGACAGTCTTTGGTGTTGCCAACTGATATGGTTTGGCTCTTTGTCCCCATCCAAATCTCACATTGAATTGTAATCCCCAGTGTTTGAGATGGGACATGGTGGGAGGTGATTGGATCATGTGGGTGGTTTCTAATGGTTTAGCACCATCCCCCTAGTGCTGTCTCACTGTAGAATTCTCAGGAGATCTAGTTGTTTAAAAGTTTGTAGCATCTCTCTAGGCCAGGTACAGTGGCTCACGCCTGTAATCCCAGCACTTTGGGAGGCCGAGGCAGGTGGATCACGAGGTCAGGAGATTTAGACCATCCTGGTCAACATGGTGAAATCCCATTTCTACTAAAAATACAAAAATTAGCCAGGTGTGGTGGTGCACACCTGTAGTCCCAGCTACTCAGGAAGCTGAGGCAGAAGAATCGCTTAAACCTGGGAGGCAGAAGTTGCAGTGAGCCGAGATCATGCCACGGCACTCCAGTCTGGATGACAGAGCAAGACTCCGTCTCAAAAAAAAAAAAAAAAAGAAGGAAGGAAGAAAGAAAGAAGAAAGAAAAGAAGGAAAGAAAGAAAGAAAGAAAGAAAGAAAGAAAGAAAGAAAGAAAGAAAGAAAGAAAGAAAGAAAACAATAGTGTAGTACCTCTCTCCCACCCACTCACTCTCTCTTGCTGGCCATGTGAATATGTGCCTGCTTCCCCTTTGCCTTCTCCCATGATTGTAAGTTTCCTGAGGCCTCCCCAGCTATGCCTCTTGTATAGCATGCAGAAGAACTGTGAGTCAATTTAAACTCTTTTCTTTATAAATTTCCCAGTCTCAGGTAATTGTTTATAGCAGTGCAAGAACAGACTGAGATTTTCCATGGCAACTTTCCTGACTTGGGGTCCCCCAGCTCTTCTGTTCAGGTTGGCATTTTCCAGAACCAGGGGCTGAGACCATATTTAGGATGCAAGATGTTTATCAGGGATCCACTGTGAAAGGAAGATGGAAGAACTAGATAGGGGAAAAAAAGAGGTCAAACCGTGATGCAGACCTGAAAATTTTCAGTCAATCTGATAGGAAGCTATGGAGTGATGATTTCTATTAAAGTTGCGCTATACTGGGTTAAAATGGCTTGGTTTTATAACCACTCTTGGCTGTCACCAGTTGTGAGCTGCTCCAGGAATGGTGTGACCATGAATGAAGGAAGCTGTTGTAGCTGAAGCAGACCTTTAAAAAGCAAACAGCTGAAAACCATCTGCTGACCAAACCACCTGCGGAAATCCTTTGGGCGGAATGGGATGAAGCCGTTTCATTTCTACCACACCTTGCAACGATTGTTTAAGCTTCTATTTCCTTATATTAAAATTTAATACTTGAATAATTTAAAGTGGTTTTTTTATTTGATTGATTAATAGACATAAGCAACTTTTTGATTATATTTTAATTATTTTCTTGATATCTGCCTCTTTAATAGATCGGTAGCATCCTGAGGTTATAGAACCTATATTTTCTTATTTTTTGCATCATCTAACAGAACATATGACTAATAATAAAATGTGTTAGTAATTGAATAAGAGGGGCATATGAAATAGGTCTTAAATCATTATTAAAGTTTCCCAGTCAGAGCACAGGAATAAAGGCTAAATAGCTTTTGTTCTAATAACTGCAGTCGCGAAACTATTTTCTTTTGTGTTTTTAAGACATATAAAGGAATAGTTTACATTTATTCACTGCCCTGTAAACGCTTAATCATCTCCCCAAGCCGACATCTCTTCAAAAACAATTGAGATAATAAGTAAAATACATTTTTTTATTTTCAGATAATTTGTTTAAATGTAAATATTTCAGTATGTAAACCATTTTCAATGGTTATTTTTGAAAAATCTGAATTGTATTCATAAATTTCATGTTTAAATTCAAACACAGAAAAATAAAGATAACATTTTTTAGAAGTTTTTAAAATACAAAAACATTTTCTATTTGTAATTAATAAGATGTTATACATTTTTCTGTCTATGTTTTTGTGGGTTTTACTTTATGCTAGGCAATATTTCTATTCATCTTCTATAAAAGGGATAATTTATATATTTTTATAAAAATTAAATTACGTAGCATATTTAAAGTACCTTAGGTATAATGGATTCTAAAGTATGTCTCACTGTAGTATGCCTTAATTATCGTTTTATTTGGCAAAGGAATTGCCATTCCATCTCCATATTTTTAGCACCAAACATAGTATTTGACCCAGAGTATGCACTAAATAAATGTTAGTTTATTTAAAGTGAATAAAAAATCAATAAAATAGGTTCAAAATTATGATAGGAATTTTAAACAATTAGAAATCAAAGAAAAAACTAGTCTCAGGTATATAATGGCAGCATTTAAGGCTTATATTGCATTGTTTTCTTCAAATATTAGCTCACAAATGATGTTTGTCCATCACCCAAACAGATGTTCATTTTAAAGTCTGAATGATGACTCAGAAAGAGAATATGAGATTACTTACTTTTCCCTTTCAGTTGAGCATATAAAGGTGTTCACAAAAGGTGTTCATAATATAAAGGTGAACACAAAAAGTGTTCATTTGTGGTAGATGGAGAGCTGGAAATGTAATCTCCAAATACTAAATTCACAAAATCACTATTTCCTAGTTAAAAACATTAATTGTGAGGTTACTATTGTTTCTATCATCCATTCTTCTAGAATTGTAAAGAAAAAAAAATAAAATAGATTCCATTACATAAATCAAGTTATCTTTATGCTTTTATATTCAGCAAATACTTATTTGATGGCTCTCCAATGTGTGAAACAAAGTTCTTTGTTAATGTGATTAATCCTATAAATCAATAAAGCTACTTTCATAAAGGATCTATTGCTATAATAAAATATAGCCAGCTCCTAAAGCTGTTCATTTTACAGTTTACCCAACTGCTTTCCTAAAATACTAACTCCCCTTATCATCCAAAGCCTGCCCAGCCTCCACTGCCAATGTCAAGTTTTGTTTAGCACAAGGTGACTAGGGTGTTGAAAATTAGGATTTTAGTTCTCAAGTCACCTCTAACTTAAGCTACATTATCTGCTGGAGCTTGAAGTCTGTTTGTATATAAGAGGATTGTCTACATATGTGATTTCTAAGTTCTGTTCCTACTTTAAGAGTTGCATGGAACTGCAGAGTGTTTTTTCTTAACTTACCGTTTCTTTGCTGAATTTCTACAGCATTTCATACCCACTGCCATATAATCTGGTGCTTGGAAAACAATATATTTAACTTTGTATGGCTTTCTCTTTGTTTATTGCCTGTACACATGTCTTATTTTCTTTTCTTTTTTTTTCTTTCTTTTTTTTTTTTTTTTTTTTTGAGATGTAGTCTCGCTCTGTCACCCAGGCTGGAGTGCAGTGACGCTATCTCGGCTTACTGCAAGCTCTACCTCCCGGGTTCACGCCATTCTCCTGCCTCAGCCTCCCGAGTAGCTGGGACTACAGGCGCCCGCCACCACGCCCAGCCAATTTTTTGTATTTTTAGTAGAGACGGGGTTTCACTGTGTTAGCTAGGATGGTCTCGATCTCCTGACCTTGTGATCCGCCCACCTTGGCCTCCCAAAGTCCTGGGATTACAGGCGTGAGCCACCGCGCCTGGCCATACGCGTCTTATTTTCTAAATCAAATTGCAAATTCTTCAAGGAAAGTCTTGTACTTAATCTCCACTAGTCTCTCTCTCACTTACAACAATATTTAAGACATAGTTGATACTTCTGGGTTTATTTAATAAAGCCATTGTTCAAAAATTTAAACTTAGAAAAAATTAGATGACAACTATTAATATTATTGTAGAAAGGGGCCCGTTGCTTTACCAAATAAGTAATATTTGAGAAGTGTACAGAATTGTCAAAACTTTTCATTGCTTTCTCCCAGTAAACACATGTGACCAGAGGAGCTTCCTAAACATGGAGTGTCAGAAACACATCTCTGCCTTTTCTCTTTAGGAGCTACCTTCTTTCACAACTACACTCAAAGAAAGAAATAATAAAATCTGGCTTACCTGTTCAGAAGTTGCCAACCCCTGCCAGAAGAAAAAATAAAAATAAAAATAAAAAACAATTGGAGGAAATGGCAGTTTGATGGGAAATGCTAGGTGAGTGTTCTCTTTTTTATTTCGCCTCTCCTTCCCCTATCAATCTGGAATAGTTCTTCTCATTCTGAATATGTCTTTCTCCCCTGTCTTTTCTCCCATCCTTGCACAAGGCTCTGGAAATGATTTTTAATATGTAATCTGAATGGTGCTCTGGAGCTTATGGTCTTATTCAATCCTCCTAAGAAGCTTGTGAAATAAATATAGAATTTAGCATCTGAATGTCACACAAATGAAATTGAACTTTAGAGTGACGGAGCTGAGATCAGAATCCAGGCTGGGTGTAGTGGCTCATGCCTGTATTCCCGGACTTTGGGAAGCCAAGGTTGGCTGGAGGATCACTTGAGCCCAGGAATTCAAGGTAGAAGCCTGCAGTGAGCTATGATTGTGCCACTGCATGCCAGCGCAAGACTAGTCTCTAAAAAATAAAAAAAATAAAAAACTATAAAATTAAAAATTCACACCTCCCAAAGAAAATTTCTTGAAGTAACTGTGTAAAACCAGAAGCCAAATAATATTAACATAACCTTTCTTTCCTATTTACTTCTTTTGAATTGTCTTTAACTTTTTGTTCTTAAATATGTTTCCATTATACTCATGTTGTTTAAATACAAGATAATCAATAAAAGATACGAAATATTCTGAAGGTATAAGACATAAGACATAGAGCAATCTTTTTAAAAAGTCATTATCCTCTATTATGTGAATGAAACAAACCTGTATTATATTATAATATGAACAATAACTTGATAAAGCATATTTGTAAATTTCATTGATATAAGCGTTTTCAAACTTGATAAAATTTAAAGGGAAATTATTTTGAAACGTTGCATCAGTTTTACACTCTTGCCTCTATTTTGATAGATTTTCAGGGGTATTGTCCCAGAGCTAGTACAAGGGAATGGTGAACTCTCATTTCTTTCACAGTCCTGACCTGGACTTTTTAGAGCATCATAGTTTCCTTTTAAACACTCTACAAGTACTCAAGTACAACCAATTTAATTTTGAAGAATATATGCCAAATATTTTCCATAATGTGTGATGCTTTCCTTACAGCCAGTTGAACTGTGATCTTCAAACTGATTAACTCTGCTTTGTTTTCTTTTTTCTGCTTGTGAGAGCCTGCAGGTAGGTACTGATCCATTCCAGTTAATATCTAATGATGATGAGCTGAAGACAAAATCCCAGCTAACAGCTCCCATCTGTGGTTATGCATAAAATATCTGCTTCTGGCAAGTGACACCATATGCAAATCAAAAATGTGAATACTGCAGAAGTTACATAATATATTCACATATGCCTAAAATAGAAATTTCCCCACTTTTACCATCTTCCATTTCTATAATGCTCAGGAACCCTATAAATAGAGTTAGAAATATATTTTTATTTATATTTTCTAGTATGCTTGTTTTGGCTCTCACATTAAAGAATACTTTACACAACAAATTTAATTTAATGGATATTAATTTTTTAAAATTGGCATTGCTTTTCATGTCATTATAATATTCTTAAGGCTAGTGGCTATATGTAATTATTATAGTATTCCCCTAGGACCTAATACTTAACATATACTTGCTGCCTTAAGGCCTTCTCCGTATTTGCTGCCAGCAAAACCATCCATCCATATGATTCACTGTTTTCAGACTTAAAAATGAATGTAAGTAATATATTCCATGTGTAGATTTTAAACTCTTATTATTTCAGAAAGAAAATTGTCTAGTCTCTCTCTCTCTTTGCAGTTAGTTTCTATTTGGTATTAGGTTGTTTACATTTTAGTGGCTGTATATCTGTAAAATTAGTCTAAGATTCGTCTTAAGGGAGCATCATTCTTAGGGAGCCTTGTCCTTGAGAATAAATTATGAAATTAATAATTAACTTGACATTGCATGAGCAATTCTTGATGGAATCCAGTGTTCAAAAAGAATGTTAGCATCTTGGAAGGAGTCACTGGGGCAACCTTTTAGAGACAAAGTGCTCTTCCTGAATGTATAAGACTTTGCCACTGTGTGTCAGACATCAGAAAGCCGGACATTTATGGCTTAATAATACAGCTCTGTTATCAAATAGTAAGTATGCCCTCTTACTTGGAAACTTTTTATTCACTTGGAAACCAGGTAAACTCCAGAAGTTAAAGAAGAAAAGTGATATCATTTTAGGAATATAAGGATACATCTTATAACTTCTATAGCGCTCCATTTTTTTAAGTCAAGTGGGACATAGGAAGATAAGTTTTAATTATCTTTTGATTGGACAGTACAAATTTTTTTTATCATCTCCAGGAAAATTATATGTGTTCCTCATATTTCATTAACTCACAAAGTACACACTTTAACTTTAAACCACTCAGGCTAATCCTTCTCTCACTTGAGGAATTTAATTATAGAACATTGCCTCTATAAATCATGCTGCTATAAAGACACATGCACACGTATGTTTATTGTGGCATTATTCACAGTAGCAAAGACTTGGAACCAACCCAAATGTCCAACTATGATAGACTGGATTAAGAAAATGTGGCACATATACACCATGGAATACTATGCAGCCATAAAAAATGATGAGTTCATGTCCTTTGTAGGGACATGGATGAAATTGGAAATCATCATTCTCAGTAAACTATTGCAAGAACAAAAAACCAAACACCGCATATTCTCACTCATAGGTGGGAATTGAACAATGAGAACACATGGACACAGGAAGGGGAACATCACACTCTGGGGACTGTTGTGGGGTGGGGGGAGGCGGGAGGGATAGCATTGGGAGATATACCTAATGCTAAATGACGAGTTAGTGGGTGCAGCACACCAGCATGGCACATGTATACATATGTAACTAACCTGCACAATGTGCACATGTACCCTAAAACTTAAAGTATAATAAAAAATAAAAAAATAAAAAAAAACATTGCCTCAAGTGAGAAAAGTAATTTTGAAGGTGTATTTGCATAGGTGCTGGGCTGTGTCTTTGTTGACCTTTATTTTATTCTTTTTAGATATTCACTGAGTTCAGCTGGGCTCTCTGAGTCTCTGGGGTGTTAGAATACTAGCAATTTTATGATCAGTAAATGTTTATTAGGAGAAAACGTGAGTTTTGAGAAACTTAGGAAAGCTGGGATGTTTATCTTTTGGAATAAGGCAAACAATGATGAATCTCTCTTACTGAGAGATTTATTCATTTATGGGAAGTTTGACATGAACAACTCCCACTCCTAAATACACGACTGGGAGTAGTAACAATTCTTATGGAGGTGAGGACTCTAGATATGACTGATCAAGAGTGAATGAATGGGAATATTATTCAGCACTAAAAAGAGATGAGCCACCCCTGGTAGCTCATGCCTGTAATCCCAACATTTTGGGAGGCAAAAGCATGTGGATCGCTAGAGCCCAGAAGTTTGAGACCAGCCTGGCCAACATGGTGAAACCTCCATCTCTACAAAAAAATACAAAAATTAGCCAGGTGTGATGGCATAGCTGTAAACCCAGCTACTCAGGAGGCGGAGGTCGGAGTGAGCCAAGATCCCACCACTGCACTCCAGCCTGGGTGACAGAGTCAGATTCTGTCTCCAAAAAAATAAAAAAATAAGAGAAATAAGAAATGAGCTAACAAGCCATGAAAAGACCTGGAGGAATCTTTTTAAAATTTTTTTACTTTCAATTTTTGTGGGTACATAGTAGGTGTACATATTTATGGGGTACAACCTTAAACATATATTACTAAGTGAAAGAAGCCAATAGGAAAAGGATGCATGCTGCATGATTCCAAGTACATGGCATTCTGGACAAGTCGAAACTGTGGAGAGAGTAAAAAGATCAGCGGTTGCCAGAAGTTGAGGGGAGGGAAGGATGACTAGGCAGACCACAGGGATTTTAGGGCAGTGAAACCATTTTGTATGATAACACAATGATGGATACTGCCATTATACATTTTCTGAAAACCCATAGAATGTAAAAACCAGGAATAAATACTACTGTAAACCATGGACTTTGGATAATAATGATGTGTTAATGTAGGTTCTTCAATTGTAACAAATGTACCACTCTGGTGGGGGATATTTGCAGTGGGGGAGGTTATGCATGTGTGGGGGCAAGAAGTACGAGTATTTGAAAAATTTCTGTACTTTCTGCCCAATATTTCTGTGAACCTAAAACTTCCCTAAAAAATAAAATTTATTTGAAAGGAAAAAAATTATAAATGAATGTAGTGTTTTAGAAACTATATTAAATATATTAGATGAAATAATATACCAGAGAAATGGTTCGGGCAGCATTGTAGGCCCACTAACCTAAAATTATTTTAACCTAAGTAGATGTGCTCCTTTATTGATGTTCAATGTCTTATTAAGCTTTGTAGCTCACAATGTGAAGATACTGCCTAGTCACAGACACCAGTTATTTAGTGCCCAGCTTCCCTACCATGATTAGACCAGCCATTTAGACAAATGTGTCTCCTGTCCTTAAGGCCTTGCTTGGCTAAATCAGAGGCCAATAAGAGTCTCTCACTGTCTGTGATGGTTAATATGAGTGTCAACTTGATTGGATTGAAGGATGCAAAGTATTGATCCTGGGTGTGTATGTGAGGGTGTTGCCAAAGGAGATTCACATTTGAGTCAGTGGGCTGCGGAAGGCAGACCCACCCTTAGTCTGGTGGGCACAATCTAATCAGCCAGGAGTGAATATAAAGCAGGCAGAAAAACATGAAAAGGGAGACTGGCTTAGCCTCCCAGCCTATATCTTTCTCCCATGCTGGATGCTTCCTGCACTGGACTCCAAGTTCTTCAGTTTTGAGACTTGAACTGGCTATCCTTGCTCCTCAAGCTTGCAGACAGTCTATTGTGGGACCTTGTGATCACGTAAGTTAATAAACTCCATATATATATATACATATATATACATATATATATACACACACACATACACATATATATATACACACACACACACACACACACACACACACACATATATATATATATACCCTATTAGTTCTGTCCCTCTAGAGAACCCTAATTAATATAGATTTTGGTACCAGGAGTGGTTCTAGAGGAACAGAATATTAAGGATGGAGTTCCTTCATTGGTTTTGGGGTTTCTGGAGTTGGCTGCTTAACATGATTACACCTCAAAATACTAAAGACTGTACTTCTAATGGTGTGCAGAATACTGACAGTCCTTGGAGTGAACTATTTAGAGAATATGCAAAATAAATGCATTTGACACTCCTGATTCACCGCTTGTGAGAGGCAAGGAACTTAGTGACACTATACATAATACCTTTGACCATATGTGGAGAACCAAGGAACATAATGAAACTGGTTGGGTGTTCCTAAGTTCAGCGGAAAAAGTGATGAAAGAAAATGATGAACTCAGGGATTCTGTCTCCCAGCTTCAGAAGCAGATACTGAGGCTCAAATCTGCTAAGATTGCCCTGTATGAGAGTATTCTCTCCTTTAGAGAAAGAGCTGAAATGGTGGAAAAACAGATACAAGATCTTATCATGCGAGTGGCTGACCTGCAATGAAAGCTGCATGGACAGCCTCACCAAGTGTCTACTGTTAAAGTGAGAGCATTGATTGGAAAATAAATGGACACTGCAACCTGGAATGGGGACATGTAGGAGGAACTTGATGAAGCTGAGGACACTGAGTTTGTAAACTCTGGTGAACCTTTTTGCCAGAAGAACAGCTTCCCCATTCCCAGTAGTGGCAGCATCACCTCCTGACCCATGCTGCCATCAGCCTTTCCACCTTTGTCTGAGGGAAGAAACCTGAGCTGCCTGGGGCAATAGTGATGGCCTCCTCTGAGGCAGTTGCCAGGTAAAATAATGTTGATTCTCCTCAGAAGCCACCCCCAACACCCCTGTTTGCTTCTAGACCTATAACTAAAGTCCCAGCGGGGCCCTAGAGGTGAGGTTGAGAGTGTGATCCATGAGGAGCTGTGCTACACTCGAAAAGAACAGCTTGAATTCTCTAATTTATGTAAATGGAAATCTGGAGAACAGGCTTGGGAATGGATACTAAGGGTATGGGATAATGGTGGAAGAAACATGAGTTGGATCAGGCTGAATTTGTTGCTTTGGGCTCACTAGTAGGGACTCTGCATTTAATGTTGCAGCTCGGGGAGTTAAAAAAGGTTCTAATAGTTTATTTGCTTGGTTAGCTGAAATATGGATTAAAAGATGGCCCACTGTGAGCGAGCTGGAAATGCCTGATCTCCCTTGGTATAATGAAGAAGAAGGGATCCAAAGGCTTAGGGAGATTGAGGTGGTAGAGTGGATTAGTCACTTTAGACCTACTCATCCGAGCTGAGAGGGTCAGAAGATATACCCTTGACCAATGTCTTGCAAAATAGACTTGTGAGGTCAGCACCTGCATCATTGAAGAGCCCTGTGATTGCTCTTCTCTGTATGTCAGATCTAATAGTGAGAACCACAGCCACTCAACTGCAAAATTTAAATACAATGGGAATAATTGGATCTGGAGGTAGCAGGGGCAAAGTGGTGGCACTCAACCATCAAAGGCAAGATGGGCATAGCTACCATAATGGACAGCAGAGACAAACCAGCAATCAGAATAATCTGACTCATGCAGAGCTCTGGCATTGGTTAATTAATTATGGTGGTCCTATAAGTGAAGTTGATAGGAAGCCTATTGCATTTCTACTTAATTTATATAAGGAGAAAACTTCTAAGTCAAATAGAAAAAGATTACTTTGAATTTTAAAAACAGAGAATCACTTTCCCTCAATCAATTTCCAGACTTGAGTTAGTTTACAGACACAGAACCCCTTGAATGAAGGGGAGGCCGGGTCCCGTTGAGGAAGGACCCCACTACATTACTGACAATTTATGCAGTGAATCTTTCTCCCATCCTTCCCCAAGGAGGCCTCCAGCCTTTTACCAGGATAACTGTGCACTAGGGAAAGGGAAATGATCAGGCATTTCTGGGACTACTAGACACTGGCTCTGAGCTGACCTTGACTCCAGGGGAACCAAAATGTCACTGTGGTCCTCCAGTTAAAGTAGGGGCTTATGGAGGTCAGGTAATTAATGGGGTTTTAGCTCAGGTCAAACTTACAGCGAGTCCAGTGTGTCCCCAGACTCATCCTGTTATTTCCCCAGTGCCGGAATGCATAATTGGCATAGACATACTTAGCAGCTGGCAGAACCCCCACATTGGCTCCCTGACTGGTAAGTGAGGGCTATTATGGTGGGAAAGCCCAAATGGAAGCTATTAGAGCTACCTAGAAAAATAGTAAATCAAAACCAATATCACATCCCTGGGAAGATTGCAGAGATTAGTGCCACTATCAAGAACTTCAAACACACAGAGGTGGTGATTCCCACCACATCCCCATTCAACTCTCCCATTTGGCCTGTACAGAAGACAGATGGATCTTGGAGAATGACAGTGGATTATCCTAAGCTTAACCAAGTGGTGACTCCAATTTCAGCTGCTGTACCAGATGTGGTTTCATTGCTTGAGAAAATTAACACATCTCCTAGTACCTGATATGCAGCCATTGACTTGGCAAATGCCTTTTTCTCCATTCCTGTCCATAAGGCCCCCAGAAGCAATTTGCCTTCAGCTGGCAAGACCAGCAATATACAATTACTCTCTTACCTCAGGGGTATATCAACTCTCCAGCTTTGGTTCTTGATCATTTTTTGCTTCTGCAAGGTAGCACACTGGTCCATTACATTGATGACATTGTGTTGATTGGATCCAGTGAGCAGGAAGTAGCAAACACACTGGACTTATTGCTGAGACATTTGCGTGTCAGAGGATGGGAAATAAATCTGACTAAAATTCATAGAACTTCTATCTCAGTAAAATTTCTAGGAGTTCAGTGGTGTGGGGCCTGTCAAGATATTCCTTCTAAGGTGAAGGATAGGTTGATGCATTTGGCCCCTTCTACAACCAAGAAAGAGGCACAACATCTAGTGGGCCTATTTGATTTTCAGAGACAACACATTCCTCATTTGGGTATGTTGTTCTGGCCTATTTATCTAGTGACTTGAAAGACTGCCAGTTTTGATTAGGGTCCAGAACGGGAGAAGGCTTTGCAAAAGGTCCAGGCTGCTGTGCAAGCTGCTCTGCCACTTGAGCCCTATGACCCAGGAGATCCAATGGTCCTTGAGGTGTCAGTGGCAGATAGGGATGCTGTTTGGAGCATTTGTCAGGCCACCATAGGTGAATCACAATACAGACCTCTAGGATTTTGGAACAAGCACCTGACATCTTCTGCAGATAACTACTCTCCTTTTCAGAGACAGCTCTTTGCCTGTTACTGGGCTTTGGTGAAAACTGGCCATTTGAATATGGGTCATAAAGTCACCGTGTAGCCTGAATTGCCTGTCATGAACTGGATACTCTATGACCCAGCTAGCCATAAAGTGGGTCGTGCACAGAAACATTTCATCATCAAATGGAAGTGGTATGTACATGACAGGGCTCAAGGAGGTCCTGAAGGCACAAGTAAGTTACATGAGGAAGTGGCTCAAATGCCCATGGTCTCTACTCCTGCCACCCTGCTTTCTCTCCCCCAGCACACCGATGGCCTCATGGGGAGTTCCCTATGATCAGTTAACAGAGGAAGAGGAGACTAGAGCCTGGTTCACAAATGGTTCTGCACGATATGCAGGCACCACCTGAAAGTGGACAGCTGCAGCTCTACAAGCCTTTTCTAGGACATCCCTGAAGGACAACGGTGAAGGGAAATCTTCCCAGTGGGCAGAACTTTGAGCAGTACACCTGGCTGTGCACTTTGCATTGAAAAAGAAATGGCCAGATGTGCCATTATATACTGATTCATGGGCTTTAGCCAATGGTTTGGCTGGATGGTCAGAAACTTGGAAGAAGCATAACTGGAGAATTGGTGACAAAGAAATTTGGGGAAGAGGTATGTGGATTGACCTCTCTAAGTGGGCCAAAACTATGAAGATATTTATATCCCACATGAGTGCTCATCAATGGGTGACCTCAGCAGAGGAAGATTTTAATAATCAAGTGAATAGAATGACCTGTTCTGTGGACTCAGCACCATTCCCCAGCCACCCCAGTCCTTGCCCAATGGACCCATAAACAAAGTAGCCATGGTGGCAGGGATGGAGGTTATGCATGGGCTCAGCAACATGGTTTTCCAGTCACCAAAGCTGACCTGGTTACTGCCACTGCTGAGTGCCCAATTTGCCTGCAGCAGAGCCCAACACTGACCCCTCGATATGGCACCAATCCTTGTGGTGATCAGACAGCTACCTGGTGGCAGGTTGATTATATTGGACCTCTTCCATCATGGAAAGGACAGAGATTTTTCCTCACTGGAATAGACATTTACTCTGGATATGGGTTTGCCTACCATGCACGCAATGCGTCTGCCAAGACTACCATCCTTGTACTCATGGAATGCCTTATCCACTATCATGTTATTCCACACAGCATTGCCTCTGACCAAGGCACTTACTTTATGGCTAAAGAAGTGCAGCAGGGGGCTCATGCTCATGGAATTAACTGGTCTTACCATGTTCCCCATTATCTGGAAGCAGCTGGATTGATAGAAAGGTGGAATGGTCTTTGGAAGTCACAATTACAATGCCAACTAGGTGCCAATACTTTGCAGGGCTGGAGCAAAGTTCTCCAGATGCCATGTATGCTCTGAATTAGCATCCAATACATGGCACTCTTTCTCCCATAGCCAGAATTCATGGGTCCAGGAATCAGGGGATTGAAGTAGAAGTGGCACCACTCACATCACCCCTAGTAATCCACTAACAAAATTTTTGCTTCCTGTTCCCACGACATTATGTTCTGCTGGCCTAGAGGTCTTAGTTCTGGAGGAAGGAATGCTGCCGCCAGGAGAAACAACAATGATTCCATTAAACTGAAAGTTAAGATTGACACCTGGACACTTGGGCTCCTCCTACCTTTAAGTGAACAGGCTAAGAAGGGAGTTACAGTGTTGGCTGGGGTGATCGACCCAAAGATGAAATCAGTCTACTACTCCATAATGGAAGTAAGGAAGAGTATGCATAGAATACAAGAGATCCATTAGGGCATCTCTTAGTATCACTATGTCCTGTGATTAAGGTCAATGGGAAACTACAACAACGGCACAATTCAGGCAGGACTACATATGGTCCAGACCCCTCTGGAATGAAGGTTTGGGTCACTCCCCCAGGGAGAAAAAAAAAAAAAAACATGACCTGATGAGGTGCTTGCTGAAGGCAAAGGGAATACAGAATGGGTGGTAGAGGAAGGTAGTCATTAATACCAGCTGTGACCATATGACCAGCTGTGACCATGTGACCAGCTGCAAAAACGAGGCTTGTAACTGTCATGAATATTTCCTCCTTCTTTGGTTAAAAATATGTTTGTGCGTGTATACACTTGTACTAAAACAATTTCTTCATTTTATTTCCTTTTTCTTTATCATGTGACAGAAGATTTATTGACTTCATATCAGTAGTTAAGTATTGCTAACTTTATGTAATAGTATTTGGGTTGGGGATTGATGCATTTCCAGTTGTACAAAGGATAGTTGTATTATGTTAGGTGTAATTATGACCTTATTATTGTCTTTATTTGAAGATTATATGTGATCTCAGGAGATGTGTAGGGGTTCAAGATGACAAGGGGTGGACTTATGATGGTTAATACCGAGTGTCAAGTTGATTGGATTGAAGGATGCAAAGTATTGATCCTGGATGTGTCTGTGAGGGTGTTGCCAAAGGAGATTAACATTTGAGTCAGTGGGCTGTGAAAGGCAGACCCACCCTTAATCTGGTGGGCACAATCGAATCAGCTGCCAGCAAATATAAAGCAGGCAGAAAAACGTGAAAAGGAAGACTGGCTTAGCCTCCCAGCGTACATCTTTCTCCGTACTGGATGCTTTCTGCCCTCAAACATGGGACTCTAAGTTCTTCAGTTTTGAGACTTGGACTGGCTCTCCTTGCTCCTCAAGCTTGCAGACAGCCTATTGTGGGACCTTGTGATGGTATAAGTTAATATTTAATAAACATATATATATATGTGGATATATATCTTATTATACTGACATATATATATCCTAGTATACTAAGACATATATATATATATCTAGACATATATATATAGACATATATATATATCCTAGTATACTAAGACATATATATATATATGTCTTAGTATACTAGGATATATATATATCTTATTAGTTCTGTCCCTCTAGGGAACCCTGACTAACACAGTCCATAGAAAAGACCTTTGTTTTGAATGGCTGAACTAGTAAAGCACAAGTTTAGGAGGCATGAATGACCATCTTCTATCAGACATATGAACCAGAGAGGCTAAGTGGGAAAAAAAAAAGGTACACAGAAACAAAGATATGAAAACAAAAGTTTATATGGCTTGGCAGTTCCCCATTGTTGTATATTTCTCTGACCTGCCTCTGTCCTCTGTGTTCCCATTAGAAAGCTCTAATCTAAGCCACCTCCACTCTGTTTTTCCCCTTAAGCTAGTTTATGTAGGTCACTGCTACCTACATCCTAAATCTTGACTAAGGTGTTTCTTCTGGTAGGCGGTTAACTGTTTTCATTTTTATATGTCCTAATGAATTACATTTGCTATTATTAATAAGGAAAGCCTGCAGAGGTGGACGATGTTACCTTAAATTACATTCAAAGTGAGGAATCTATCACTTATTATCAGCAAGATGAGATTAAATGTGGAAACAAATTTATTATTGTGATTTTTTGCTATGGTTATTTACTTTTATTACTGATAAGTCTATAAATTAAAGGTAAATAGACAATATTTAATTTTAATATTTAATATATAATATTTAAAATACAAAGTTTGAAAATTGTGGTCCTAATTAAGATGATTTTTTTAATCTTATAATGGGAGAAAAATTGAATGTAATTGAAACCAGAAATTAATTATTCAATGGGGTTGACCCACCCTATCACTTTCATGTATACAAAAATCACCTGAGAAGCTTGCTAAGAAAGTGTAGGATGGGATACAAGGTTTACAATTCTGATACTGCTACACATATATATTGGAAGTGAAGAAATAAGTAAATGGAGGGTGAGTGGTGGGAGCCAGGTTTCTCACTGTTGGAGTGAGAATTTAAATTTAAGAAAAAGAGAAGGATAGAAAGGCCCATGTAATGAAGGATTACAGTTGGAGACATCAATAAAAACTCATGCTTAGATTAACATAGACACAGTTTGCTTATGAAAATACTTACAGATATGTGTATATACACAAGGGTAAAATAAACTTCTATATTTCCTTGTTCCGTTAGCTGAAAGTACTTTAAAAATTGCCCAAGTAGCAACAAGCACACCTAGCACAGAGATCTTAGTATCTAATACTATTCTCTGATAAAAGGAAGCATGGCTTCTCAGAGAAATTGGTTATTCTAGAACCAGGGTGGGAAAGGTGACCCTGAAGCACCTTGGATTACCAAAAAGTAATAACTCACACACACACATTGATGGAGAATGTCAATGGGACATAAGGGATAACAGAAAGAACTCCTAATGGCCAAACCTGGAATAATTGGAGCAACAGAATAAATAAAGTAATATTGGATAATAACCCAAAGTATAAAATAAATATTCATGAGTCCATACTGATCTAAATAAATGATTGATTTGATTTTTTAAATCCCACAAATAAGAAGTAGGTGGGGATAGTTAATGGATACAAACAATAGAAAGAATGAATAAGACCTACTGTTTTATAGCACAAGCAAGTGACTATAGTCAATAACTTAATTGTATATTTTAAAATAATTTAGAGTGTAATTGGGTTGATTGTAACTCAAAGGATAAATACTGGAGGGAATGAATACCCCATTCTTCATATAATGTCCTTATTTCATATTGCCTGCCTGTATCAAAACATCTCACGTACCCCAGAAATATATATACCTACTACGTACTCCCCAAAATTAAAAATTAAAAAAAATAAAATTAAAAAATAAATGATTGAATAAAGTGATAAACGGGGAGAAGAGGCAAATCTCCCATGCATAAAAATTCCACATAATTGGCCGGGTGCGGTGGCTCATGCCTGTAATCTCAGCACTTTGGGAGGCCGAGGCGGGCGGATCACGAGGTGAGGAGATTGGGACCATCCTGGCTAACACGGTGAAACCCCGTCTCTACTAAAAATACAAAAAAAAATTAGCCAGGCTTGGTGGCGGGCGCCTGTAGTCCTAGCTACTCGGGAGGGTGAGGCAGGAGAATGGCGTGAACCCAGGAGGCGGAGCTTGCAGTGAGCCAAGATCTGGCCACTGCACTCGAGCCTGGGCAACAGTGAGAGACTCCGTCTCGAAAAAAAAAAAAAAAAATCCACATAATTTATGTAGACACACATGAAGGTTGAGCATAACTTCCCACTTCTTAAGTATGGGCTGAGCATAGTGACTTCCTTCCAAATAACACATCATGGAAAGGTAGGTGGTGGAACAGTAACTTTACAGCAACGAAACCTGCGAAACACAACCTCAGCCAGGTGATTGAGGACAGTATCAGTAGTCATGTTGACATTTTATACATATGATATATGATAAAAAGAGACATTTACCTCTGCCGTATTCCTCCCCTAAACCCATGACTTCAGTCTACGCATGGAAAGATGTTCAGACAAATTCCATATATCCTATTGTAGGTGCGTTCTGTAAAACACTTCTCCAGTGCACCTCAAAATTGTCAAGGTCATCAAAATATAAAGAAAATCTGAGAAATATTCATAGCCAAGAGGAGCCTAAGGAGACATGACAGTTAAATGTCATATGGGACCCTGGAACAAATAAAGGACATGAGGGTAAAACTAAATAAATCTGAAAAATATGGACTTAATAATAATACATCAAGACTGGTTCATTCGTTGTTACAAATGTGCCATGCTAATGTAAGATGTCAATAATATGGAAAAATATATGAGGGGTATATGGGGACATTCTGTACATTCTTCTTAATTTTCCTGTAAACCTAAAACTATTGGTAAAAAAAATGGAGGAACTATGATGTCTTGTTCATTGTGTAGCTCAAGCCATCAGGTGTTTAAGTGTGTAACAGGCAAGCAGTAAATGTAATACATGTTGATTATTGGTTTCATTTTTCATCAGTTGATATATTTCAGTTGCATCTCTAGTTAAGACAGATTCCTACTTTCCTGTTAACATCACTATTTACAAGCTTCTCATATTGTTTTATGGTTAATTTTTCTATATAGAAATTCATTTAAAGTACTTCTTTACAATGCTTGTATATATTAAATTTTAGTCTCTTCCCATAAGCATTCTTGGAACTATTGATAACTTATTGATGAAAGTTTTCAGATTTGTACTATGTACATTTATATACACAGAATAAAATTTAATAGAGATCTAAATATAAAAAATTACTATTCAAGGAATCTTTACAAGTGCTAGAAATATCATATACACACACATATATATGTGTGTATATATATATATATATATATATTTCCCATCTGCCTCCCTCCCTCTTATGAATGTGCATGTATTATTTAGAGCATACCTAGATAATCTATGGTAATCTCCCCATTTCAAGATCTCTAACTTAATCATATCCGCAAAGTTATTTTTGCCACATGAGGTAATTTACATGTCCCAGAGATTAGGTTATGGATATATTTGGGGGGACGCCATTATTCAGACTAACATAATCAGTTATGAATCTGGAATTCTCACCATACTGTATCCTGCTGATAAAATGACATTATATCCTATTTTTTTTAACTTCAGGTATCATTTCTTGGCTGAGAACACCAAAATCTTTACATTTTTTCCTTTTCTTTCTTCCAATTTCTGCTCCCTCTTCTCTAGTTGCCTACTCTACATTTTTTATAAGATTTATCTTATGTCTTCTAAACGTAACATAGCTGAAATCAAAGTCACTAATTCTCTTTAAAATGCAACTTCCTACATAAGTCAATTTTTTTAGTTTTATTATAATCATAGTCTGCTATGCTGCAAAATACACTCATCTCTTGAACCCCAATATATCTAATAAGGCATCAACTGAGTCATTTTCGTAGATTCTATAATGTTCAATTTGCATTATATCCAGTCTTCTAGCTTTAAATATATTATATATGCTAACGTGTACAAAAGGTACACCTTTATGCTTCAGGTTTCTCCTAAACTCCAAACTAGTAAATCCACATGGCTGAGTAATATTCTCATCTGATTGTCCAATAAATGTCTCAAAGTCAACATTTTCAAAAGAATTTAAAATCTCACCATGGCCTATATGACTTAACTGTGACTATTCCTTTGACTTCAACTTCTATCAATTTTCTTTTTTTCTCTCTCTTTTTTTGAGACGCAGTCTTGCTCTGTCTCCCAGGCTGGAGTGCAGCACCATGATCTCTGCTCACTGCAGCCTCTGCCTCCCAGGTTCCAGCGAGTCTCCTGCCTCAGCCTCATGGGTAGCTGAAATTACAAGCTCACACCACCACGCCTTGCTAATTTTTGTATTTTTAGTAGAGACGAGGTTTCACCATGTTGGCCAGGCTGGTCTCGAACTCCTTACCTCAGGCGATCCGCCCACCTCGGCCTCCCAAATTGCTGGGATTACAGGAGTGAGCCACAGCACCCGGCCTCAATTTTCTACTTGCTGTCTAATGTCTCGTCACTTACTCCTTTCCCTACCTTTACTCAGGGTTCTTGTAAATGAGTTTTTTTTCTGCCTGGAAGCCTCTACCCTGGAAAGCTAATGGATCAATCCTTTACTTTAACTAAACATCTGCTTAAACACTGTATCTCCTAAGAGGCCTATTGATCCCACCCTATCTAAAATAGCAACCTATTTAACTGTCCCCTTAAATGACTTAATTTTTACATATAACACCTTTCAGCTTCTGACAATATTTCACATAACTCTTTAATTATTTATAATCTGCTTTTTACCTAGAGTGTAAGCTTCATGTAGGCAGAGACTTTGATTTGTCTACCTTGCATTCCCAGAAACTACTAAATCTGTGCTTGATGAACAAAAATTGAATGTATTTCCACCGCTGTGGCCCCAATCCAAGTCCCTTACCATACCATACTCATTCAAATATGTACTAATAGATTTTCCTATTAACTTACTCTGTCAACACTACCATCATTACCACTACTCTCTATAAAACATCATTAATTTCCCTCAAAGAATTTTATTATATAATTTATCTTCAAAAATACATAGTGGTTCATTAATGTCCACTGGCTTCATCTTACATGGCTTGTTCAGCTTTCAGTGAGCAATCTGGTTATATTAACATCTAATCTTGCCTTTCATGACTTCTATACATGCGTCTCAACCAAGTCTTTAGCATATTTAACAGCCTTGTACATCACCTCAGTCAAGATTCTGCTACAATTGTTCCATGGAAGGCTGTCATCTTACACAAACAGTACCTCCAATGAATGTTCTGCTCCAGATCTGCCTCCTGAGCACATTCACTCCCTTTTGTCTGATCACTTTGTTTTGGGTCAGTTCTCACTCACAGACCCTCCCCTTCACCTTCCACTATGATTGCAAGTTTCCTGAGGCCTCCCCAGCCATAAGGAACTATGAGTCAATTAAACCTGTTTCCTTTATAAATTGGAACTGTGAGTCAATTAAACCTCTTTGGTTTATGAATTGCCCAGTCTTGGGCAGTTCTTTATAGCAGTGTGAAAATGTACTGCCCATGACTGGGTAATTCATTGTGGTAGTTTGTTACAGCAGCCTCAGGAAATTAATACATACTTCTATCCCTAAAAACTTAAAGGGGATCCTCCATACTCTTCCCCTGTCACCTTGCAACTTTAAAGGATCCAGTAGATGATTCCAAAGATGTACGGAATGACAGAAAGGTAAGTTATAAGGATCTAAACCTGTGGCCATTTGCCAAATAACCACATTGAATTGTTATGCAAGTGATACTGTGTTATAACACAAGTTATATATAGTGTGATATGTACATACAAATATATTTCATAAGTTATATATAAAACAAGTTATATATTGAATTATAACACAAGTCATATTGTGTTTTTCCAGGTATATTGTGCTACTTATATTGTGTTAAAATCTGCTGAGATTTGGGGATTCGTAGGTTATAGCAATGAGTGTTAACCTTAATTAGAAAGTGATATACTTGAAGATGGTTGCTATCATAACATAAACCTAAAATGTTTGGGACTGGCTTAGCAGTCTGGTAGAAGCAGGCAACAAAGATACTGAAATCTGAGGATGAACAGCTGAAAAATGTGTGTGTGTGTGCGTGTGTGCGTGTGTGTCCATGTGTGTAGGAGACTTTCTTAATGCTCACCCTGCAGAAATTAAAAATTGCTATTGAATAGTAATGACTGTGTATATCTTATTGTTTTGCCTTCTCTATGTAAAATTGCAGTTTTTCTATACTTGGTCCATCTTTGTTTACTTGGTGGGATGGTTGGGTGTCAAATAAGTCATTTGGATGTTTTTTGTTTGTTTGTTTTATAGTTTATAGGACCCGAGACCAACAGGAGACAGATCCAAAACTGACAGAAAGCACTTTGGATAATCGAGAGATCCTTGAGTTTGAACTAGATGCAGTGACTGGATGGACCTTCAGGTTGGCAGTTAAGTCAGACCATGTAACTAAGTTTTAACCAATGAAAAGAGGGCAGCAGTTATGTAAGCCTTTTCCAAGTTTGAGTCATAAAAATATTATTTATGAAATGTGGTTTCCTTCTTTTCTGTCTGCAGGCCAGATTTCAAGGATCTAATGCAAGACTCTAATGCCCTAAGGAGTTAATTTTCAAATATCCACAACAAACTATTACATGAGTAGGAAATAAAATTTAATTTTGTAAAGCTAGTGATATTTTGAAGTTGTTGGTTCTAGGACTTAGTCTATTCGTATAATACACAAAATTTACCAAAATACATTAGCCCAGAATTATCTCATGTATACCTGAAATCTAAAACTATGTAATTTGAGTTTATTTGTCCTTTGTCTATTAGCGATGATATTTTCAGATGTATACTCTTTAACCCAATAAATATAAGTCCCATGAGGACATTTCCTTCCGCAATATACTCTGGATACTGTCTCTTCTCGTACTTTGCCAGACAGCTTTCTCCATAATCTGTTCTCTCTCCTATTAATCTCTCCATTGCACTAGCCCCTTCCTATTATCATTTAAACATTTTTATGTCTCCATCATGAAATAAAATTTCTCCCTTTATTACATTTTACCTCACAGAAACAACTACAATGCAATTTTTTTCACACATTCATAGCCAAACATATTCAAAGTGTTGTCCATTCATTCTGCACCCACATCTTTACTATCTGCTTGTCAATGTATTCCATTCTGGCTTATAATTCCACAATTCAAGCAAAAATGACTTTTGATAAAGTCAGAAATGACCTTTATCTTGCTAAATACGATGGACTTTTGTTCTAAGTAACCTCAATTTCTTTCATTTAATGTTTCTTGTTGGAGTCCTTTTGAAGCACATTTTCAAAATAATTCAAGTAAGTCCAATTTATCCATTTTTCTTTCATTACTTGTACTCTGTTGTCATGTTGAGGAACTATTGCCTAATCCAAGGTCACAAAGATTTGCTCCTCTGTTTCTAACAGTTTTATAGTTTTAGTTCTTGCATTAAAGTGTGCAATTCATTTTGAGTTAGTATTTGTATATGCTGTGGGATAAAGCTTCAACTTTATTTTTTTCTTGTGGCTATCCAGTTGTCTCAGTACCATGTATTGAAAACACATTTCTCTTCCCAGCATTATGTTGTTTTGAAAACTTTGTCAAAGACAACTATCATAAATGTAAATGTTTATTTTGGGGCTGTCAATTCGATTTCACTGACCTGTATGTATTTCCTTAAAATAGCATTACAGTCTCTTTCTTGATTACTAAAGTTTTGCAGTAAATTTTCAAATCAGATTATGTAGAGTCCTATAACTTTGTTCTGTTTTAAAAAAGATTATTTTGGCTATTCTTGGTTTTTTTCCTCATAAATTTTAGAATCAACTTGTCAATTTCTGCAACTAGGCCCTCTGGATCTTGATAGCAATCATGTTGAATCTGTAGATCTATTTGGGGAATATTGCCATTTAACCAATACTAAGTCTTCTAATCTGGAATATCTTTTTATTTATTTAAGTCTTTGTTTTCTTTCAATAATGGTTTATAGCTTTTACTGTATAAGTTATGAACTTTTTTGTTAAAATTTCCCTAAATAGTTTATTCTTTTTGATGCTATTGAAGATAAAATTTTATAATTTCATTTTTAGGTAGTTAATTGCTAGTGTATAGGAATATAATTTATTTTTGTATATCAATCTTATATATTATAGCCTTGATGAATTCATTTATTAATTCTAATTGTCTTTCAGTGGATTATTTAGAATTTTCTACGTACAAGATTGCATCATCCGAAAGTAGAAATAGATTTACAACTTTATTTTAGTCTAGTTAACTTTTTTTATTGCCTAATTATCCTCACGAGAACGTTCAGTATAGCTATGTTATGGGAAACAGCATTCATTTTTTCACCAGGAAGTGTGATGTAAACTGTAGGATTTTTATAAATGTTCGTTATCAAGTTAAGGATGTTTCCTTCTATTCCTAATTTGTTGAGGTTTTTTTTTAAACAACAACAACAACAACAACAACAAAAATTAAAAACTGTTGGATTTTGTCAAATGCTTTTTTGTGTCTATGGTAATAATCATGTTTTTGCTTTTACTATATTAATTCTTTGTGAAAATTGATTGATTTTTAAAGTATTAAACCAACCATGTAATACTGGGATAAATCCCAATTGGTCATAGTATGTACAAATGTTTAGATGCTGGTGGATTCGATATTTGCATCTATATTTATAAGGAATATTGGTCTGTAAGTTTTTCCTTGTAATGTATTCTTTCTGGTTTTATTATTGGATTAATACTAACCTCATAGAATAAAAAGGAATGTGTTTATTTCTCTTCCGTGTCTCAAAAGAATTTGATAAGGATTTATATTCATTCCTTTTTAAGCTTTTTATAGAATTAACCAGTAAAACAATTAGGTCTTGAGATTTACTTTGTGGAAAAATTTCAAATTGCTAATTTAATCATTTTATTTACTATATGTCTAATCAGCTATCCAATTTCTTCTTGAGTCAGTCATGGTAGTTTGTGTCCTTCTAGGAATTTTCTCATTTCATCTATATCATCTAATTTCTTGGTGTGTAGTTGTTCATAGTATTCTCTTATAAGCCTTTTTATTTCAACTGGATTAGTGATATCTCCTCTTTCCTTCTTGATTTAAGTTACTCGAGTCTTGTCTTTTTTTTTTTTTTTTGCTTGACAAAGTATTGCTCACACTTTGTCAATTTTGTTAATTTTTTTTCAAAAAAATGGTTTCATTTTTATTCTTTATTATTTTTCTATTTTTTAGTTTCTTTATTTTCACTCTAATTTTAAATATTTTATTCAATCTCCTTCCTTTGGATTTAGCTTGCTCTTTACAGTATATTTTTAAATTTTGAACTCAGCAACATTTGATACTTTGAAGTACTTCATCCTTTACAACATACTTTCTTTCTTAGTGTCCATTACCCAACATCATTCATTTTTCCTACTTGTATGGCTTCCTCTTCTAATTCTTCTTTTCTGGCTTATCATCATCTTCTGGACCTTTAAAAGCTGGGAGATGCTCAAGAGTCAGCCTTACACGCTTCTCTTTCATTTGTGGTGGATGCTGCCATGCACTTCTCAAAAGCGTCATGGAAGTACCCTTTCAGCCAGTCACTGGGCATGCTGGTGGCAGAGAGCCCTTATCGTTGGGACAGTCTACATTCAATGACTGGTCAGGAGAGTGCTATAAAGACCTCAAAACATCCCTTAACTTTGACCATTCTGAAGATTTGTCTTGGTTTCAGTTTCCCTGTTGGGTCATCTGAAGTCTTTGTTGATATCTCACCATAGTCTTTTTTCTCCTGCTGCCCAATCCTGCCTCCTTCTTTTTCATTTATTTTGATCCTATAAACACTTTCTAATAAACTGTCAGTGTGTTAATCTCCACCGCAGAGTCTTATTTCCTGGGGAACTCAAAGTTCATTGCTGTTGTATACTGTCTCCATAGGTAATTTTCATCTATCTTAATAGTTTTTTCCCCCATCTGTATATTGACAATCATTAATATGTATCTCTAGCCCGGATGACCTTGGAACTCCAGATGATTTACTGCACAGATGTATACAATGTTCACTTGGATACCTCATAGCAAGCTAAAAATAAACATGCCAAAAATGGAAATCTTGATTTTCTCTCCGAAACCCTGTCTTCCTCTAGCTTTGTTTTAGCACAACTGTAGTATATTATAATAAAATATGTTTGATCCAAATTTTTTCTTAGCATCTTCTACAAGACTCTCTTAAGACAGTCAGCAGAAATGCTAAGTAGAAAAGTTGTATGTCTAAGGTCAAGAATTTTTCTATCCATTTTTCATGTATTAACTAATTTACTTCTCAAAATAACTTCATAGAGTAGATTTTATTTTTTTTTACTCTTATAGAAAACTACCATACAAAGAAATACATAAGTTTTCTAAGGCCCTAATATCAAAATAAGGATTTGCACATCAGAAAGTTCTGTCCTGAAATGCACATGATAATTTTTTCATCATACTGCCTCACTGATATGTGCATGTATTGGTTTGAACTGTGAATGTATTACATTGAAATGGATGGGCAAAATAAATACTTGGTCATATTTGTTGTTACTGATAAGAACCACAATGGACATAAACATGTTACTTGAGCATACTATCATTTTTATATCTGTTACGACTTGCTGATCAGCTCCCAACAACCAAAAATAAAGATCCTTTATCCTAGGGTGTCCAGAGTTTGCTCAAGCTCGTACTATATTCCTTTTTGTTAGTATGTTTGGAATAATAACATCTGAAATGTAAAATCTATCTATCCATCTGTTTACCTACCCATCATTCATCCATTTATCCCCACACGTGTCACCAGAGTCAAAGCTCTTATCCATAACTAAGATACTCACTATCCATCAGATGAACAAGCCAGAAACCAAAACTCTGGAGTTATCATAGAATGCTCCCTCTCCCTTTCACTCCTCCAATGTAATAAATTATTGTTATATTCTATTACAAATATTCTAAATATACTCACTTCTCTCTAACCAAAGTGTGAATCTCACCACTACCCCTACATCTACTCATGGGACTCTTCTCACCACCATCCGTGATGCTAGCTCCTTGTTGATGGACTCCCAAAATACTTTCTATCTGATCTCCCACTATCTACTTTTGCCTTTTTAATAAATCCTCTTTCAAAAGAGTGGTATTTTTAAAATAGAAATCTGATCATGTCAACTTTCTGCTTAAAACCTTTTTGTGGCTTCCCTTTGCTCTTAAGAGAGAGACCTAAATCCGTTAAATGGAGTGTAAGCCTTTATATACTAATTATCCTTGCCTGTCTTTCCAGTTAGTACTCAGTTACTACCTCCCCATCCAACTTCTTGCAGGTCAATTAGCATGTATTATGGCCCTACACATCTTAGGACCATTGTATATGCTGCCTTCCCTTTGCGTAAAACTCCCAATTCCATATCTGAGTTGACTCATATTTCAGATTTCTGCTCAATCAATACTCTTTCAGGAAGGCATGAGTAACTTGCAAAACTAAAACAGAGTTCCCTATTACAAACTTTAATAGCACTTAGCCTTTTTTGTTTGTGGCTAAGTTGGCTAATAGTTGACCACTGTACATATTTAAAAGTATGGCCTAACCATATATAAGAACATTAGAAACCACCTTTAAATACATTTGAGACATTTTGGTACATTGTATTCACAAGCAGTTGAACCTTTCTTAAGCATGTATTTGATATATTGACCTCAAGTGAGAACACATTTTATTTCGACTATTGCATTTGGCTGGAAGTAAGAGGAAAAGCTGGGCATCTCAATCAGTATACAGAGATGCCTGTTGTTAATCTACTAACCTAAAACCCAAACCTTCTCTCCATAAAATCAGTCTTATTTTAAAAAATCATAAATCATGTGAGAAAAATATTTCAGGCTTTAAAATTATAAGAAAAATATCCAACTTGCTCATTGATAACATTGAGATTATTGATAAAAATTGTAGAAAAATTGAGTTGTAAGGCATTTCACTTGATACCAGTATCCCTGCCCCTACTATGAGAGGGAGCTATGTGGATTGAGGAGATATACAGAGTAGATGCTAAAACTGAGTGAACAGAGTAAGGAATTTGATTGAACTTGGTAGAGGAAAAGGAGTCTAATTAGACATCCTAGATCAGGAGCATGATTTAAAAGTCGATATATCAAAAAGTAAGTGTGAAAGGAATAAGAAAATTGATGAGGCTGGCCATTAAAAACAACCAAGTCAGGACCTCTTCCCTAAAATTTGCTATTTAATGTTATTTGCTGGATAATACTCAAGAGCCAGGTCATAATGCTAATGCATGGGAGTAGGTTATATTCAAAGTCTCAGTTGTATCATTCCCACTATGTTGCAAATTCTCCATGCCCCATTCTCCATGTTGCAAATGTATTCCATATCTTGAGTGAAATGTGAAGCTTTAAAACTGGGATTATATCATATTCTCTACTTTCTGAACCATTTGTCTACCTTGAGGAAAAAAATTTCCCCAAATCCAGGAAAGAAAAAAGGAACATTTTTCATTGATTACCTATAATGTGCCAGAACAATATTGTCACATTTAATCCTTGCGGCAACCCTGATAGAGGTGATAATAATCTCTGTTTCACAGGTTGGGAAACTAAGGATAAAAAATTCGTCCGTAAGGATGAATTTTTTCCTATATCTTGGGAGTTCAGAGTTGAATCCATGTCTCATTCTAATGCCCATTTTCTCCCTTCTGTCCTGAGTTAGTTATCTGTTGCCTTTCAGGTCTCTTTACTGCCCCCTCTATGCACATGCAAACTGATTTATCTTTATTTTACACAATCTAATTCACACTTTGACAAAATGATTTAACAACAAATGTTTGCCTAAGATAAGATATTATTTGTTTTAAACAGTTTTGTATCTCCTTGTGACTTCAAAGAGTTAGTAGAATTCTAATTTGCTGAAAGCATTTCAGATTTCAGATAAGCTGTGGAGGATTAGAAAAGCATATTAGAATGAGTTGGTTGCCATGGCAGGAAAAATTCACTTAATCCTTTTTGAAGGTGACTGTCCTGAAAGGAAGTTCATGTGTCCCATCAGGTTGGGTTTCTCCTCAATGGAGAATCACCTGAGGACAGGAGAGATTGCAAATTCTCTGCCTATTTCAGGCAACTGGTGACTGTAGGGTAGCCAGGGTTCTTTCTTCACTGACTTCTTCTAAGGGCTTTAGGGGAATGTTTCTACAGTTACAGAGCAGATAGGAATCACATTTTGAGACAGTAAATTGGAGACAGTCCTCCGAGTATACAGTTGCTGGTAACAGTTGCTCATGCAAAACTTCCTGTATCTCTACGTCTTTTTGATCATATTTACCTGAGTTTCTTTCCCTTCTTTTGGCAACTTGTTGACATCATTTTAATTACCAATGTATTATTTGCCATTTCTCTCTATACACTACATACTGTTTTTTTAATCTCTAATGATACAGCTTTTGAAAACAATGTGGTAGATGAGAGAGTAAAATTTCTTTATTAAAAGAATCATTACACTCTTGGCAAAGCATATCTTCATGCTATTAATAATGAGAGGGTTTGTGAAGTTGGTTTCAGCTGTCGTAGTAATATACTATATCAACACTTTCCATCTCCAAAAAAGAAGAACACAATGTTGGTGAAGGGAACAGAAAAACAATTCTTTTATGTTTGGTCTGGCTTGACCTACATCAAGATGGTAGACTGAAATGACCCAAAATGTTGAAAGAATACTTTTGCCCAGATAACCGGATACCACAGTAAATTGAAGTAATTACAGCTCAGTAACAAAGCTGATTGGATAAAATTAGGCCACCTGCCTTCTAAATACAGAGAGGCATGTTGTTATATTTATTTTATCTTATGTGGATGACTTTTGTCTGTATGGTTGAATAGGAGTTAAGTTTCTCTACTTTATTACCTAGGTTCCCAAATAACAACATTACTATATGTGGCATTTTAAGGACTATCTCTGGATAGAGTCTCTCAAAGCCTTTGGGCTATAAGCTCTTAATCTCATTGTTTCAACTACCATAATTATTAATTGCAGGAAGTTTTGCATGAGAAACCCTTACCAGCAAGTGTATACTCAGAGGACTGTCTCCAGTTTAGGGTTTCTCAAAATCCTAAATTTTTATAATTATGATACTTGAAACAATGAGATTAAAATTAGTCTCTCTCTCTCTCTCTCTCTCCATATATATATATATATATATATATATATATATATATAGTCTCTCTCTCTCTCTATATATATATACACACATATATATAGACTTGATATATATATATATATATATATATCTCAAGACTTATGATTTATTGGCATATGTCCTGAATCTCCAACACAAATTCAATATTTCCAACACACACAAAAAAATCACTTTCTCCAAAAACAACTTCCTTTCTGGACTTAATTCTGAGAGGCACCCTTAACTTATCCCATATCCTTAACCACTCAAATTCATTTTTTAAACTAAGTTATTAAAATCTTTGCTTCCTAATATTTTTCTTATTTCTAGCATCATGACACTGGTCTAGCATCATGACACTGGACCAAGTCTTAGCTTCTCCATGATCTTCCACACATATCTCCTACTGGTCTTTTGTCTCCAGTGTCTTCCCTATTCAGCAAATTCTGCCTTTTGCAACCAGATTAATCTTTTTAAACCATAGTCCTCTTCTTGTCACTCAAATTTTCAATGACTTACCAATGTCTATAAAATGAATTATTAAGTTTGTCCTTAGGTATTGAAAGCTACTTTTTATATTCTAATTATATTCCAAAGTTCCTCTTTATGTACTTTTTAATTCCAAAAATAAAAGTGTTATTTTGAATAGTGGCCTCCTAAAAGGTATGTCAACCTGGAACCTATTAATATGAAGTTATTTGGAAATGGGGTCTTTGCAGATGTAATTAAGTTAAAGATCTTGGGATGAGGATGTTCTAAATTATGGTGAACTCTAAATCCAATGACCAGTGTTCTTATAAGTGAAGAAAGGGGGAAAATACACAGAGGAGACACCCAGGTGAAGATAGAGAAAGAGATTGGAGTTACCCAAACCAAGGAATGCCAGGAGTCACCAGAAGCTGGAAGAGTCAAAGAAGGATCCTCCACTAAAGCCTTTGGAGGTAGTGTGGCCCTTCTGATGCCTTGATTTAGGACATATAGCCTTCAGAAATGTGAGGGAATAAATGTCTCTTGTTTTAAGTCATCCAATTTGTGGTAATGAGTTGTGACATTCCTAGGAAACCAATACAATGAGTCAACTTAGCCCTCATGAAGATATGTGTTCTTGCAGATATCCCTTGCTTGAGAGGGTTTCTTTTGCTGGAATTCTCACCATATCTTTACATCTACTGAAATGATAGTTAACATTTTGAAGCACACACAATATAAAAGACACTGTTCTGAGCTTTCCCATATATTAACTTTTTAAAGTATTTAATGAGATCTATAAAGTAGATATTATTGTGTCTAAAGATACATAAGCACATTTTCCAGATAAGCTGAAGTTTGGACAGAAGCAGTCTTATTCTAGAATTTCTAGAATTCATGCTCTTATTGACTTCAAAAGTATCAAGATCAAAGCTCAAAACACACCCACTCCATGAAGTCTTTCCTGATCACCTGATGGGAAGGGATCTTTATGATTTCCTACAGTTATTCTGGTAACTACCACTCACAAAAGAGAGAAACAGAGCATAGAATTCCTTACATAGACTTTATTCACTCTATAGATTGTAAAATGCCTAAAAGAACTGACTATGCCATATATGTGTATACACACACACACACACACAAATATATATACACACATACACATATATTTTAAATTCCTTCCGCAGAAGCTGGCACAGCATTTTTCTAGGTTTGTAATAAATAAGTCATTAAATGAGTACATCTGGTAGAAGACAAATCAAAATGGTCATGTTTAACACAAGTTGAATGGAGGGTGAAACTATTTGTCTGAGGTTATTTTTTTTTTTAAAGTTTGACCTTAGATCACAGACTCACCAATGTATTTATTCTCTCACCCTTGAGTTTCCTCCTACTTTAACAAACTTAAATATAGAAACGTGTTTGAAACTTTTGGTTTTAGTACCTTTGTTAACAATAGTCTCTCTGAAGAAGAAATATAAAATAGTTAAATCTGACAAACCTAGGAATATTTTAGGTTTTTTCGCAAATAATATAACAGATGAAGTGGATGTATTTTTAATGTAATTTTTTATTTAATTTTATTTCCAAATGTAAATATACAAAAAAAACACCAAGAAAGTCAATGCTTTGGGAACACCAAATCAAAATGCTAAATTCAGTGACTTATTTACTCTGTGTAGAGATGGAAAGGATGACGCACCTCCCTCTTTTCTTTCTAGACTCAGTCATCCTTCCTGAACAACAATTTGTAGGAAAATAGAATCATTTCAACAAAGATGGGAAACCCAACCGAAGGCATTATTTTGTGAATTCTAGAGAAAGGCTTTTCCAAACTGCAATTTTGAAAGATTATAAAGTTGTATGTATGAGTTGTAAAAGTTAGTCAATACTACACCTATAAAAATTAAAATAAGCATGATTCTTATTATTTTCTTTGTTGAAATAACACAAAGGAACATTTTAACAAATACAGTTTTAGAAACCATTCATAAAGAAGCAGCACTAACAAATCTGAGCATGCAAGAGAAGAATAAAGTTATTTTCCCCTAAGATTTAGTTCCTTGTCACTGAAGAATAAATTGTTTGAAGAGAGGGTGTAACCAAGGAGGAATGAATAGAAGTCGTAAGAAAATGTGTGCATGTCTGAATGCAGACCATGCTTGTGTCAGTTAGAAATGTTCTCAGTTGCAAGCAATAGAACACTCAGGTAATAATAGTGTAAATACATTTTTATACATAATATGAAATCTGAAGGTCATCAACTACTGTTGCTGGTTCTTCAACCCACTAATACCCAGAATCACTAGGATTCTCTTAGTTTTTTCCCATGCTTCTTGGAGCTTTAGTCATCTACCTAAAATAGAGCACAGAGCAAAGGAGAAAAAGCTCCTTAATCAGAAAAGCAAAAGGCTTCCAGGAAGCCATATCCAGTTAACATATTATTATGTTAAAATGTTAACATTTTATTGGTCAGAGCTGTGTCACATGGACACCTCTGAAAAAGAGGCCATAGAGGGTAGAGGTTGGATCATCATCAAAACATCCAAAATAGTGTCTACTACAATAGAACAATAGGAAATGTGAGCAACAGGTTTCACTGAGAATTTTGTAATCATATTCTAAGGATGAACTTTCTTGAAAAACACAATTGGGGTAAATTTGATAGTATATTTACTTAATTTGAAAGCACTTTTGCAGTTAAAGCTTCCTCAAAGTGATGATATCTGTAAAAGAATTCTGTATTTTTTGAAACCCTCTAAGATATTCATGTCACTGAATTATTTTCAATGAATAGACCCAAGTTCAAATATCACCTTCTTATACTAATTCCCTGACCACATTAACTAAAGTAGCACCCCTACCAATTCATTAATCTCCTAAACTACTTGCTTATATATTTATTTTCTTTCATCCTGAATAGAGTAAAAGCTTTATGAAGGAATGGACTTTGTTTTGGTTACCACTGTACCCCTTTTACTTGGAGCAGCACCTACTTACAGTCTAAGTACTCAATAAATCTTGATATAATGCACAAATACATACGTGTGTATATCTATGTAGATCACTTATATTTCTATCTGTATCAAGATGGATCTGTCAATCATCTATGTTCAGTTTGGGGAGTTTTGCTAAAAAGTTAGTAACAACCAGCTACAGAATTTATATCTCATTGCAATAAGCTAGTTTGCAACAACTTCAAACTAGCATAATATATCTGATGATAAAACTAGTTTGTGCCGAGTGACTTTAATATGGAGTTGTATCCATTACTCCTGTCTCTGGATAAAGGAGCACATATAAACTTGACTTTATGTAAATAAAAATTTATAATAACATTATGATAAATTTTCCTCATACATGCAACTTCTTTAAAAAATGTCATACAACTTCTTTAAAACATGTTTTATCTTCTTGATAAGCTTACCAGTTACAGTAATTCAATGACATATTCTATGAATAGTGAAAAAAACAAAAAAGTTTAATTTTATAATATATCTATATTATATATCTATATATTATATGTATATCTCAATATATTATATATTTATATAGTATATATCTCTCTCAAATGTGTGTGTATATATATATATATGTATATATGCAAACACACATTTGAATATAGGACAGAGACTTTGATATGTTTTGTTTACTAACACATGGACAGAGCCTGGCGATAAATAATAAATATTGTTGAATGAAGCATAAATGAATGAAAAAAGGTGGGAATGGGAGAAAATCACTGTATTGTAAAGCCTGAGTTAATAGGAACCAGGAGGAAAATAAGCGATGAGTTGTAGGACTGCAGCAGAAAGGTTGATTGTAATGCAGCAGCAATGTGCCGGGAAGGCATGACACAGAGGACTTTGGAGTTGGGCCACATAAAAGGAATATTAGGACTGAATAGAATGTTACATGTGTAGAAGCAAGAGGTTGAGAGAATACCTGAACAAAAGCACAGATGGACAGTTGGGTGGACATTTGGAGTTTTAATGTGATTAAAGAGTGAGATGGAATTGTGCAGTAGGAAGGGCTAGAAAAGGTTCATGCATCCATCAGACTACTTTTGGCTGTGAGGAATGAAACCATAAATGAAATGATATCCCAAAGAACACTGACCTAAGCAATTAGATATTTACTCTGTGTTACACTTATATACCCACAGCAGGGATGAGTAGAGATGAGTCAGCAGCTCAGTGATATAATTAAGGATCCAAGCTCTTTCCACCTCTCCACTTTCTTTGGTCTTTGCATAGGTTTCCTCCTAGGCCTGGTTCAGTCATGACTACTGAAATCCTAGGTCTCATAATTTTAACATAACTGCATCTAGAGGAAAAAGAGGGATTCTTGTTTCTTCCCGTGGGTCTACCTTAGGTATGGTGAAGCTTGTTCAGAAAAATCTTAAAACACTTCCTCCCACATGTCGTAGACCAGAGCTGTACCATGATTCCTGAGTGGCTTATCCATTTAACAAACATTGAGTGAGGCCATACGATGTGCAAAGCATAGCTCTGGGCACTTTTAATACTACAGCATTAAACTAAATAAAACCCTTGCAGTCATGCAGCTTATACTCGAATTGGATAAACTGAAAATACATAAATGAATAAAAATGTATAATGTCATATTATGACAAGTTCTATGAACAAAATCAAAGTAGAGTACAAGATAAAAAAAAAAAATATATAACACCAGGAAGGGATTTTAAGTTGGGTGAATAGATACAGTGGTCAGAGAAGGACTCTTTGAGAGAGGTGCTTTTAAGTAAAGACCTTAGTGAAATGAGGGAGGGAGCCATGTGAATATTTGAGGAAAGCTGTTTTTATACAAGGAGAATGACAACTCCAAAGCCTTAGAACAAGAATGAGCTTGGTATGTCCCAGAAACATTGTGGAAGGCCAAGTGGCTAAAAAAGAATGAGAAAATAGAGTATGTAAGGAGCTGAGGTCAGAAAGTCAGCAAGAAGAAGAGATTGTGAAGGATCTTACAGGTCTTGGTAAGGACGCTTTATTTTATTCTAAAGGAGATAGGAGGGCATTGCAGAGTAGATAGGCATGATCTGATTTACATTTTGAAAAAAAAAATTCATTCTACCTGCAAAGAATAGACTGTAGGAGGAAAGTGCAGAAGCAAAGATAAGAGGCTACAGTAGAAGCACAGGTAAAAGAATAGTGTGATTGAAGTAAGATGATACTGACTGAGGTCAGAAGTTCAGGACAGATCTCTGGGTGGCCTTGGACCAATGTAGTTCTCATCCTTTTCTCCCTGGTAGTTGTCAAGAAAAACTGTAGAATGTTCTGGGAATGCAATGTCCTGAGGTAAGGGGGAACTAGCAGAATAGCCTAGGTTCTGTTCCGGTCCCTGAAATCCTTTATTATAATGTATCATGCTGCTCCAGGGTATAAAACCAAGAGCAGGATGTTTTCCCAAGTCTCTTAGCTGCAGTGCAAGTGGAGCCCATGCAGATGAGATTCCATCTTTTCTGTGCAACTTTCCTGAACTTTGGGGAACCAGCTTCTAATGCAACTTGCTGGGGTTTTTTGTAATTAATAAACTTGTTTCACTTAACTTGCTGTATATGAGTGTTCTGTCTCATCAGACTCATGCAAGTGATAGAAATTGGTACAACTCAACGTGTACTGGATGAGGTGTTTACAATCCCTTTCCCCCTTAGCCCCCAGGATTGATGCCAGTGCACAGTGAACTGCTTCACAGGAAGTTGTTGGGGCTGGGAATACATTGTGAGAGTAGTGAAAGGACCGACTCCAGCCAAGGGAGTGGACTAACTCTGACGGTCTAAACGAATCATTGGTATGGGAGGGATACAGACTGGACTAACTCTGATGGTCTAACTGGATCATTGGTATGGGAGGGATGCATACTGGGAAGTCAGGCATAATGTTTGCAAACAGAGTGTATTAGTATCAGATTATGAGAGAACTTTAGCTATGCGCATTTCAACAAATATTGGTTGAGTAGCTAGTATTCATGTTGTGGATTGGTGTGTCGAAGAGGCACTGAAATGATGTTTAAGGTTCAGGATGATGATTAGGGCATCCCGTGGAATGTATACCTATGATAGCTGGACTTTCAGCTGTCCCTTTAATAGGAATTTCCAGTGTTCTATCAGGCTGCAGTATCTGGGTGGTTTGATATGTGATACGACTATAGTAGTTCTCGTAGTAATGAGCCTACTCCTTCTTCTTCTTTGATATAAAATGCATTGCCCTGATCTCATAAAATGATGTGTGGGAACTTGTGCTTGTGCATCAAACACTCTATGAGCCTTAAACTGAGGCTCTGCATGTGAGGAAGGAAAATCCGTATCCCAAATTAGTGCCTATTTCTGTTAGAATAAATTGCTGGGCCTTTCAGAGTAAAGGAGCAAAATGTTATCAATTTGCCACCATGTGGCTAGTTGGTCTCCCTGAGAGATGGTTTTACATCAGAGATTTGGCATTAGTCTGGGTTGCTGGCAGGTTGGCATTTGGTGGCAGCATTTGCTAGATTGGAATCAGTGAATGGAAGCCCACGCTACTGGGCTCAGACACAACTTCCATCACTAACACTACCGCCAGAAGTGGGGGATAGATGGTGTCAAAACCGGGCGGCTTAATGACCAAATCTGAGTAGCATCAGTTGGTTAGGTTATTTTATCTACTTTTTTTATTGTGCCATTTCAGTGGAAGATACTGCTCTTACACTCTTTGGAAGGCATCAGCATGTAATAGAAAGACTTGAAAGACTTTTAAACTTTTTGATCACTATCATATATCCACACACTCACCTTTAATCCTGGTCCACTTGTTTCTAATATTGCAGTCTTTCACCTTTCAGTTATGTCCAGCCAGCCGAGCCATTCACCATTGCTCATGGGTGTGACTATAACCTCAGTCGGTTCTCTTTCCACACAAAGTAGAGGGCCAGGTGCACCATTCAAAATTTTGCCAATTGGAATGTTTTTCTCATGCTTTTTTCTATCAAAGCCACCCCTGAGTGCCAAACATTTTTAACTTGTAAACACATACTTGGACTATCAATCCATAATCCAAGCTAGATATTTTTCTTTCACCTTCATCTGATAATAAAAGATCCCTCATAAGGCCATGTGGGTCACCTGGGGAAGTTCATTATTTCAACAGTAGTGAAAAAAATGATAGTCTGTGCTACCTGCTCATGCAGTTTGCTTATAATCTTTTCTTACTTATACTTTATCTTGGGTGTGTCACTTCCATTCTTCCAATGTATGGACTATTTCTGGGTCTGCTAAATCTTATGACCTGGTAGGTCTGACAAAATGCAGCTCATAATCACTTGTTATCCTATGGTAAGATTTTCCAACTTTACTAGGGCTCAGTAGCACTTCAGGAATTGATTTTCAACTAGTATTTAATTGTTCACTATAGAAGGCATCACCTTACCCCAGAATCCTAAAGGTCTGTCTTGTGATTTTGTTGTTAGGACTTGCCATAAACTCTACCGAGTATTTTTTCCCATGTATAATACTATAAATGCTCTGCTGGGTCAGGGTCGTGTGTCAATTCAAAACTGGTGGCCTACCAGACATTGTGCTTTCTTCTTTGTGAAATGCTTCAAACCACTGTACTCCTTAAAAATTTGACTTATTCGGCAGGCCTCTGAATTTTCATACATTTTATCTTCCCTTCTCTGGAGTGGGTTTGTCTTATCAAGGCTCCTAATGAACTAGTCACTTTTTGCTCCATAGGTCTAATTAACATGATGTCTGTCATCAATAAAATAAGTTTGATTTTCAGGATAACCAGATGTCAAGTTCCCTTCGTATCATATTATGACAGAGGATACGGAGTTAACATAGCCCTGGGGCAGGACTCTAAATGTATCTTATTCTCTGTTTCATGCAAATGCCAACTTTTACTTTTTTATTTATAGAGTCAGAAATGAATGTATTCACTAAATCAATAGTCTCATAGGATGTACCTAATATTCTTCTAATGTGCTCTAACAAAGATTCTTTAAGCACAGTACTATATGCAAATGGCACTACTGTTAGTTATGTTTGATAAATTAAATGGAGATATGACTGACAACCAACTTTGCATCTTTTAAATTTTTAAGACTAGTATTTATTTCCACCATCTGCTTGGAGACATAGTAATTTTTTATTTGCTATTTTGGAGGGAGAAAATTTTAGAGGCTTCTACTTGGCCTTCCCCATTATGATAGCTCTTATCCCAATTATAGGAACTTGTAAATGAAGGTTATCCCAATTACCAAATATATCTATATCAATTATACATTGGGAGAGTTGCTAAATAACCACCATTCATACACTTGGACTCAATGAATCCACTGGATATGTTTATTGGCCAGAACTCCATTTAGTACTCGGCTGACCCTGTATGTCCATACTTAAACAGTAGGGCCATGATTGGTATGTTTAATAGTTCTTTGAAAGTATTAATATTGCATTTTTCACAGTGCACATTTATCTGAGTAAATGATTATAGTTACCTTTGGAAATAGTTGGAGAAATTACTACCGTGTTTATTTGTCAAAGCAGTGCAAGATCTTTCCTCTTGGCAATCCTACCTCTTCTTCAGACAATGAGGTTTGGTTTGAAATCTGGCTCAGATACAGAAAGTGGGCAATTGCTGTAGGCCACTGTCACGCCTGATCTTAGAGAATTGTCACTGAACTTCTGAGAAATGCTGGTGCCTTGTTCCTCAGAGGATTCCTTATGATCATCTTAAATTTTAAGTCACCTGACCACTCATAATCATCTGGAGAGTCTTTTAGCTGGATATAGTGTGTATATATATATATATATTCTTGCATGCCCACTTCCTCAAGCATTTTAATCCCATCTCCTATCACCTGCTGTAGCAATTCTAGCATTCAGCTTCACTTAATGTACTCCATCATTTTTTTGTCTAGGAGTCATTCTATTAATGAGTTTGCACCATCTCCTGGGGTTCTCTCCAAAGTAGTAAATCCTGTATCTTGGGCAAATATTCCCAAATCACAAACTCTCTCTTATCAAACTATGTTCCAGCCCCTTTGATTAAACACCTGGAAAATCTAGTCCCACATATACTCTCTGGCTTTTGCTAGGTCCTTAACCTTCTTTAGTATGTAGTCTTTTTTATGTCTTCTCAGCCCCAATAGGTCCTTGCTTGGTTATTCTGTGACTTAACACTAACAATAGACTTAGCGGATAAGAAAGGATGTGGAGCCATATGGTGGTTGTTTGGGGGGACAGTGCAAATGTCTTCTGCGGAGGAGGATCTGTATTGTCTCCAGGGGAAGGGAGAAGCCTAGACTTTGATAAGGAGAGGTAACCATTTCTTGAGGCTCAGATACTTTACGGGAAACTATGGATTCAAAATTCAGACAGAGTGTCAACCCAAGTGTCCCTATGCCATACGTTAGAGCATGCGTTAAGGCATCATTCCTCCCCAGCAAGGGACCTGACCCTTATAGCAGGCCTTTTCTGTTAGGGAACTTAAACTATTTTCTAGCTCAGTTATTCTAAAGATCAAGTCTCTAATCCTCAGTTTCTGGTCCTCAGTATTGCTTGCCCTCCTTCTACAGGAGATGAGAACTTCCCTGTATGCTACCAAAGAGGCCCTCCGATATTTATATTAGCTTTCAGTTGGTGAATAATTGTTTTCCACTTGTTATTTTCTAAAGTGTCAATTTAGCTTAGCAAGAACCACTCAATTCCATTGACCTTATAATTAACTGTTTTTTTCATGGTTATCAAACCATTGACATAACGCACCAGCCAGTGCATTCTTTTCCACTACTATGCACCATTCCAATACACACTAGTGGAACTTTTAACAACTAGACTACCATTTTGTACCAGAGTCTATCTGTACCCATCAAATTAAATATTAGGATCCTATTGCTAGCTTGATGGTGAATAAGCATATTTTCCAAATTCCTATGAATCTCCTGCTGCTTTGAATTGTTCCTAGTACGAGTTGTTACTTGTTGAGTTCTTCAGGAAGTAGACTCTGAGATGGAGTGTCTCATGCAGATCAGTAGGCAGTGTTTTGTTATCAACACCTGTACAAGAAAGAGTAAGGAAAAAAGATTAGTCATGGGGAAAATTAAAAAGCATTCCACACCCAGTGACAGCTTCAGATAATACCACAGGAAGCTCTAAAGCTAAGCCTGCCCTTAGAGTTCCCTCAAGTTGAAGCAAAATGATTAGGGATTTATACCCTTTCATTAACTATTCACTGGATGAGGAACCCATGAAAGGGACATGATCTTGGCCAAGGTGGCTTTCTACAGCTAAGTCCATTCCTGAAAGTGCTGACAGCTGAACACTGTCTTTTTCTCTTTCATGAGAACAAGTCCTTCAGTGAGTCACAGTGTTCAGAATAATGTGCAAGGTACTCAACTGGAGATACAAAGATAAATAAGAAATGTTGGGCCCTTTGGGAGGAAGACATATATCATTTTGCCAAGTCATAGTGATGAATAAAGAAAACACACATTAAAAGTAATGGCAAAAACTGCAATTATGTTTGCACCAGCCTAATATAGTGAAGAATTGTAGATGGCCCAGAGATATTTGCTTCTCTAAATTTAATTTATTTCAAATTACTGGTCTCCTTTTAATTCATCTCTGACTTGAGGTTTTACTTATCATGTGAGCTCTTCTTTATCTCGATACACGATACATTTTACCATGGCACACTCTAGCAGTTAGTTATTCTACATCTCATACCACCGAAGCTGCATTGTAAAACTGGAATAAATAAAAGAAGCCAAATACATAAAATGTGGCTATATCCTAGTGCTCAGTGAAAAGAACTCTACAAAGCAAACATAATGTAATCATGGGTCAATAAGCATAAAATTAAATGGTGAACTGCAATAGTATTTTAGTATAAGGCTTCTCTGTGAATGAAGAATTGAACTTTATGCACTTGACCTCTAGGACAAAGGATATGGAGGACTCATGACCCATGTCTGGGTACCCTCTGTCTGTAATTTCTCTGTAGTGGACCACAAAGTGGTTTGAAATGCACAAGTGAAAAGTAAAGAGAATGCCTTAGAGATTATTAATCCTGGGTTTACACCCTACTCCTGCAAGAATGGCCATAAATAAAAAATAAAAAATAAAAATAAGAGATGTTGGCATGGATGCAGTGAAAAGGGAACACTTTTATATTGGTGGTGGGAATGTAAACTAGCATAAACAGTATGGTGGTTCCTTAAAGAACTTAAAGTAGATCTACCATTTGATCCAGCAATCCCACTACTGGGTATCTACCCAGAGGAAAAGAAGTCATTCTATGAAAAAGACATTTGCACACACATGTTTTTAGCAGAACAATTCGCAATTATGAAAATATGGAACTAGCCTAAATGCCCATCAACCCACAAGCGGATAAAGAAAATGTGATGTGCGTGTGTGTGTGTGTATGTGTGTGTGTGTGTATATATATACACACACACTATATATATATACACACAAACACTATATATATGTGTGTGTGTATACACACACACACACACACACACACACAAACACAAACACCATGGAATACTACTCAGCTATAAAATGGAATGAAATAATAGCATTTGCGCAACCTGACTGGAGTTGGACACCATTATTCTAAGTGAAGTAAATTAGGAATGGAAAACTAAACATCGTATGCTCTCACTTATAAGTGGGAGCTAAGCTATAAGGATGCAAAGACATAAGAATGATATAATGTACTCTGGGGACTTGGGGGGAAAGGTGGGAGGACGAGTGAGGGATAAAGGATGACATATTGGGTGCAGTATACACTGCTCAGTTAATGGATGCACCAAAATCTCGGAAATCACACCTGAAGAATGTATCCATGTAACCAAACACCACCTGTTCCCCAAAAACTATTGAAATATTAATAGTAATAATAACAGAAATCCTGGGTTTAGCTAATGTATTCAAAGTTAAGGATGTAGGGATGTGGTGTTAATCTTGAGCCTGCAGGAATCAGTGGCTAATTTCTTTTCCTGTGGAAAGAAGTGAAGTAAAATGTCTATAGTTCTTGGCAAGCTAATGAGAGACCTGCGAAGCAAGCATTAGATTGCTGATGGACTCCTCAGAGCAAACCAACCTTAAAGAGAAGACCATTGTAGGAGCCAGGAGCAGAGAACTCAGAAATTCCCAGCTAGGACATAACCAGTTCAAGAGATCCTCTTAGGAGAGGCCAATCTAATCCTCTAATTTCTGTGGTGTAAAGAAGTCATTCTAACTTCTGCAGAGAGGCCATTTGACAAAGGCCATCAGCAGAGTGTTGGGAAGGTGGTGCCATCACCAGCAATACAAGAAAGGTGTCTTCAAAATACTTCAATTCTAATTATTGAGGAAAAGCATTTGGCAGAATAAGAACATTGATAAATCTTCAAACACTGTAAGGAAAAAGAGGAAAGAGAAAACTTGTAGAGAATGTTCCAAGAAGGATTAAATAGTTCTTTAAAATATATTTTTTAAAACTTGAGGTTTTTTAAAAATCAAAATTGATTGAGAATGCATATGCTGCTACATAAAGATCTGTACATATTATAAGTGAAAAACTACAAATAGCTTATCATGGGGATCACTTGTTCTCTCCTCCCTCAGGTCCTGCCTGCTTTTCTCTGCACGTCAGCTTTCTCATTATTTTCTGCTCTGTCATAACTTCAGTTTTTCTATGGCTTCTTTAGGCCTTTTCTCTAAGTCATATCTTTTCACTTTAAACTCCCAATGTTAAGTAGAAGACATTTAATGTTTTTGTTATTACAAATGCAATCTCATAGAAGCAAGAATCTGACAGGCCTGAGTCATCTTTTCAAGTCAGTTCACAGAGGTCACTGTTGCCTGGTCAGCCCATAGTGAAGGAACCATTTGTTACATAATTACAGTTTAGGCAGCCAGGGCTGTCACAGACTCACTTACTTTCAGAAGTGAGTGTGGTCAGAGATGGTGTTTCAGCCCATATCTATGCAGCACACTGGCCAAAGTTTTATATGATGTTCTCAGAACCCTTTGATAGTATATATATGTAGATAGATAGATAGACACATATATATACTATCTATACAATATATATAGTCTATTATATATATAGCCTCTTTATATAGAATATATATTTATATAATATATAATATATAAATATATATAATATATATTTTATATGTATATACACACACACACACTCAGGCCATCCATACCTTTATTTATTCATACACTGGACATTGCAGGTAGAAAAATCCATTGACTATATCTTACAAATAAATTATTTCTCCAAATTGAGGAAGGTTTATACTGCATCTGCTCCGTACTCCCTACCATCCTCCACACCTTTTCTGAAACCCTTTCTAGAATAAGCCTCTGATTAAAGCAGCCTCAACGTCCCATGGCTATCCACATGGATACCAAGCAATTTTCTTTAGGAAGATTCAGGTCTCACTGCCCTCTAGTGGGAGTGGAACATGCAGCAGTTTTGCTGCTAATAATAGGGGTTGAAGTTTGGATAAATGGGATACACTTTATTGCTCACAAAGAACCACGTGAGAAAAAAGAAAGAAGAGGGCTTTCGTATGGAAGCATAAAAAGGCATTGTGTATAGAAAATCCACAACACTCTGGGAAGAAAGGAAGAACAAGGAGAAAAGCCCACACGCCAGGCAGGAGCCACAAGCTTAGAGAACAAACTCGAGTGAAGATGAAGTACAGCAGGTATCAGGCAATGAAGAGTTATCTGGATGCCCAGGAGCTGTGTGGGAGCAAAGTTCTCATTAGAGGACTGCCTTATCATCACGTGAATAGGGATGTCAAACTCAGCAGTCACTCATTTTCAGTATTTTCAGACTTCAAACCACCTGCATTCAGGTATGAGTCAGATATAATGTCAAATTCATGCCACCTTTGATTTTCCCTTGGGATACTTCCCTGCAGTATCACCTCAGGTCTACCAATACCTGGAACATAATTAAATGCTTCTCAAAAGCTGGCTTCATGAGCTGTAAGATCAACAGGGACCTCTAGACCATATATACATATATATTTAAGATGACCATACTGCCCAAAGCAATCTATAAATTCAATACAATTGTTATCAAAATACCAATTTTATTTATTACAGAACTAGAAAAAGCTATTTTTAAATTAACACGGAACCAAAAAAGAGCCCAAATAGCCAAAGCAATTCTTAGCAAAAAGAACAAAGCTGGAGACATCACATTATCTGAATTCAAATTATGCCACAAAGTTCTAGTAATCAAAACAACATAGTACTGATATAAAAATAGACACATAGATCAGTGGAACAGAATAGAGAACCCAGAAATAAAACCACGTATGTGTTACCCACTGATCTTTGACAGAGCTGACAAAAACATGCACTGAAGAATGGACACCCTATTCAATAAATGGTCCTGGGAAAATTGAATTGACATATGCAGAGGAATAAAACTGGGCCTTTCTCTCACACAACATATACAAAAATTAACCCAAGATGGATTAAAAAGTTAAATGTAAGACTAAAACCTGTCTAAGTACTAGAAGAAACTCTAGTTTCTATGAGAAACTCTTCTGCACATTGGTCTAGGTAAATAATTCACAACTAAGACCTCAAAAACACAAGCAACAAAAATAGACAAAAGTGACTTAATTAAACTAAAAAGCTTCTGCACAGCAAACAAAATAACAGAGGGAACAAACAACCTTCAGAAAGGGAGAAAATATTTGCAAACTATGCATTCAACAGAACACGAATATCCATAATTTATAAGGAAATCTACCCAATGACAACAAAAAACAACTCTGTTAAAAAGCAGGTAAAGAACATGAGCAGACATTCAAAAGAAAACATACAAAGATCCAACAAGCATATACAAAAAAATTCTCAACATTAGTAATCATCAGATAAATGCAAATTAAAACCATAAGGTGATATCACATTACAACAGCCAAAATGAAAAAAAAAAAAAAAAACATACACTGGCGAGGATGCAGAGAAGAAGAAAATTTACTTACTGTTGGTGAGAATGTAATTACTACAGCCTCCATGGAAAACAGTATGGAGATTTCACAAAGAACTAAAAATAGAACTATCATTGGATCCAGCAATCTTACTACTCAACATCTTCCAAAGGAAAAAAACAAGTCAGCATATGAAAAAGGTGTGTGTATGTTTATCATTTATTGTGGCACTATTCACAATAGCAAAGATATGTAATCAACAAATCTAAGTGTCCATCGACGGATTAGATAAAGAAAATGTGGCCTATGTACACAATAGAATACTACTCAGCCACAGGAAAGAATGAAATCATGTCTTTTGAGCAACATGGATGGAATCGGAGGCCATTATCTAAGTGAAACAACTCAGAAACAGATAAAGACTGCATGTTTCACCTATGACTGGGATCTAAATAATGTGTACACCAGAGTGTGGAATAATAGACATTGGAGACTTGGAAGATTGTGGGAGTGAGAGGGGAGTGGATGATGAGAAACTTCTTAATGGATACAATATACATTATCTGAGTGGCTGATACACTAAAAGCTCAGACTTCACCACTATTCAGTATATCCATGTAACAAAGCTGCATGTATACCCCTAAAATGTAGATAAATTTTTAAAAAAGTTTAAAGAGGTTTGTTTGGTTCACAGTCTGGGTGTAATGGCTATCTATATTTTTCTTAATAGAATATTGTGGGTTATACAAATGAAGGTTACTTATGTACTAGATGTTAAGCCTCAGTTGCTAGAGATGAAACATCACCCTACAATTTTGATCTTATTTTACTATTAATTATTTTCCAAAAAGCCTCTTAATTTCCTAAGTGGTTTTGAAACTCTAACCCAAGTGAATTGTGTGCAATATTGAAAATCAAACAAAACAGGAAAATTATATAAAATCGCAGCAGTTCTCAGGATAAAAGCTATTAATGAATCTAAATTGAGACCCTCCTCACTCATCCTAAGTCACTAACAACGACGATTTTATGATGGCATGTTCTGTAAAATTGTGGTGGTCTTCTTCTTTGGAATCTGACACTTAAAATATCATATGTGGATAACTGAGATCATAATGAATTTGTGCCAGTGTAAGACACAGCTCTTAAGCAGAGAAAATAAAAATATTTTTAAAAAACCTCCATGGACTCTTGAAGATCAAAGTTTGTGCTTGTATATAAAAGATAACATTAAACTGTTATCTCTAGAGAATATTTCTCTTGAGAATCTGAAGAAAATTTTGAAGAAGATACAAATATATGTTGGTGTGAAGACATGCGGAAAAGAGGATAAAAGAATCCATGCCCAGATGCCGTTTGGCTTCATGCTCTTTATTGCTCCACTCTTATCATCTCTCCTACTAGCTCCCATCACAGGATTATTTCTATTCTTATAGTGGATCTAATTCGCCCCCTACCTCCTGGACTGGTTTAGCTCCAAGATTGTGTTCCCAAAAAACTTTATTTGGCATCAAGACTATTCTTGCTTCTGAGCCTTATATTTTGTTCAGTCTGTGCTTAACAATGCAGTCACTTTCTCTGGATATCAGTAATGAAACTTCCTTTCCTTGGTCCCCATCCCATGTTGTCAAGTCCCCATGCTATGGCTTTTGAGATTCTCAAGTCCCTGAAGGTGGATCTATTTTACCCTCCAAACCCATTTCAATGAACTGATGGCCTAGAATACTTTTACTGTCTTGGAGCCTGAGCTGAAAGCTCTCAAGGCCTTTATGAACTGCACTGGAGTCATGATCCTTGTTTCCCACACTATGACCACCAGTTAGAATCTTGTAGTGAGACATGCATTCTAGTCCCACACTCCTTTATTTTATAAAGTACCATCAAAAGTCTCAGTGTTGACTGCATGTGCCAAATAATCCCATCTTTATAAAACAGATCTAAATATCAACTATAAAGATCCAAGGAGTCACGAAAATGAGAACTTCCGATGGTGCTTTCGAAGACATGGAATGGAATGTATGGAAAATTCACTGGGGAATGAAGAAGACATGAATAAAAGAGAACCAGGCAGTGGCAATGACCAGTTGAAAATAGAGGGCACAAATATCTCATTGTTTAGATCTTCATTATGTTTTATTTTCCCTAAGGATTAGTGTGTGGGCTTGTGTTGTGGACTGTATGTTTGTGTCTCTCCAAAATTCATATGTTGAAGCCGTGTATTAGTCTATTTTTATACTGCTATAAAGAACTGCCTGAGACTGGGTAATTTATGAAGGAAAGAGGTAATTAATTCACAGGTCAGCATGGCTTGAGAGGCCTCAGGAAACTTATGATCATGGTGGAAGGTGAAGGGGAAGCAAGGCAATTTCTTCACAAGGTGGCAGGAAGGAGAATTGCTGAGTGAAGGGGGAAGAGCCCATTATAAAACCATCAGATCTCATAATAACTCACTCACAATTATGAAAACATCATGGGGTAAACAGCCCCCATGATTCAATTACCTCCAACTGGTCTCTCGATTGACATGTGGAGATTATGGGGGTTACAATTCAAGATGAGATTTAGGTTGGGACACAAAACTTAACCATATCATTCTACCCCTGGCTCCTCCTAAATCTCATGTCCCTTTCATATTTCAAAACTAATCATACTTTGCCAGCAGTTCCTCAAAGTATTAATTCATTCCAGCATTAACCCAAAAGTCTAAATCCATAGTTTCATCTGAAAAACAGGCAAGCTTCTTCTGTCTATGAGCCCATAAAATCAAAAGCAAGTTAGTTACTTCCTAGATACAATGGGAGTTTAGGCAATGGGCAAATACACCTGTTCCAAATGGGATAAATTGGACAAAACAAAGGGATTACAGGCCCCATGCAAGTCCAAAATTTTAAAGTTCCAAAATGATCTCCTTGATTCCACGCCTCACATCCAGGACATGCTGATGCTAGAGATGGGTTCCCATGGTCTTGGGCAGCTCTGCTGCTATGACTTTGAAGGGTACAGCCCCCCTCCTGGCTTCTTTCATGGGCTGGCATTGAGTTTCTGCAGCTTTTCCAGGTGCATGGTACAAGCTGTCATTAAATCTACCACTCAGAGGTCTGGAGGATGGTGGCCTTTTTCTCACAGCTCCACTAGTCAGTGCTCCAGTGTGGACTCTGTGTGGAGGCTCCACTCCAATTGCACATTTCCCTTCCACATTGCCCTAGCAGAAGTTGTCCATGAGGACTCCACCCCTGCAGCAAACTTCTGCTTGACATCAAGGTGTTTCCACACATCCTCTGAAATCTAGGAGGAGATTCCCAAATTTCAATTCTTGACTTCTGGGTACCACAGTCCCAACACCACATGGAGGCCACCAAGACTTGGGGATTGCACCCTCTGAAGCAACATCTTGTGCTGTACCTTGGCCCCTCAGGACCAGAGTTGGAGCAGCTGGGACACACAGCACCAAATCCTGAGACCACATAAAGCAACAAAGCCCTGGGCCAGGTCCATGAAACCATTTTTCCTCTAGGCCTCTGGGCCTGTGATGGGAGAGGCTGCCATGAATACCTCTGACATGCCCTGAAGACATTTTCCCCATTGTCTTGGTGATTAACATTTGGCTGCTTGTTATTTATGCAAATTTCTGCAGCTGGCTTGAATTTCTCCTCAGAAAATGGATTTTGTTTTTCTATCACATTGTCAGCCTGCAAATTTTCCAAACTTTTATGCTCAGCTTCATTTTTAAACCTCTTTCAATTCCAAACCATCTCTTTGTGAATGCATAAAACTGAATGCTTTTAAGAGCACACAAGTCACCTCTTGAATGCTTTGCTGCTTAGAAATTTATTCTGCCAGATACCCTACATCATTTCTCTCAAGTTCAAAGTTCTGCAGATTTCTAAGGCAGGGGCAAAATGCCACCAGTCTCTTTGCTAAAGCATAGCAAGAGTCACTTTTATTCCAGTTCCCAATGAGTTCCTCATCTCCATCTGAGACCATCTCAGCCTGGACTTCATTGTCCATATCACTGCCAGCATTATAGTCAAACCCATTCAACAAGTCTCTAGGAAGTTCTGAACTTTCCCACATTTTCCTGTCTTCTTCTGAGACCTCCAAACTGTTCCACCTTTGCCTGTTACCCAGTTCCAAAGTTGCTTCCGCATTTTTGGGTATCTTTATAGCAGCACTCCACTCTATGTGGTACCAATTTACTGTATTAGTTCACTTTCATACTGCTATTAAGAACTTCCTGAGACTGGGTAATTTCTAAAGGAAAGAGATTTAATTACTCACAGTTCAGCATGGCTCGGGAGGCCTCAGGAAACTTACAATCATGGCAGAAGGTAAAGCAGAAGCAAGGCACCTTCTTTACAAGGCGCAGGAAGGAGAAGTGCTGAGCAAAATGTGGAAGAGCCCCTTACAAAACTATCAAATCTCATGAGAACTCACTTGCTATCATGATAACAGCATGGGGGAAACTGTCCCCATGATTCAATTACCTCCAACTGGTCTCTCCTTTGACATGTGGGAACTGTGGGGATTACAATTCAAGATGAGATTTTGGTGGGGGACACAAAGCCTAACCATATCATACCCTAGCTCCAAATGGCATGATATTAAGTGGTGCCATCGTTGAGAGGTAATTTGCTTATGGGAGTGGAAACTTCACGATGCAATAAGTGCCCTTATGAGAAGAGACAGGACATAATTTGCTTTCTTTCTTGGTTCTCTTTCATGTGAAAATAAAGCAAAAAGAAAGCTATCTCCAAACCAGAAAGAGGAACCTCAGTAGACAAAGAATCTTTTGGCACCTTGCTCTTTGACCTCCTGGCCTCCAGAACTGAGTAATAAATGTTTGTTGTTTAAGCCACCAAGTCTATGATAATTTGTTACAGCTACCCTGACTAAGATAGCTTGTTAGGAGAGCTGAGGCAGTGGTTAGAAGGAAGGAATTCTGGTTTGAAATTGAAATAGATGGCTTAGAAAGTTTCAGGAAGGTAAGGATATTGACTGTGCAAGTCCTGAAGTAACTGAGCCAAAAGGTAGAAAAGTTAAGGGGTTACTGCTGCAGAGATCTCTAACTGCTATCTATGATTCAATATGTTTTCATTATATATTTTTTGTTATTTAATTATAAAACAGCTGAGTGGGAGTATTAAATTGAAAGTAATCTGTGGTTGAACAGACAAGATGCTGAGCTGGAGATCTCAGAGAAGACACAACACCTCGATTGGCTACTTCTAGTGTCATGTGACATGAGAACGAAGTCCTGTGAGGGTTAAGCAGGCTTATCAAAATTGGAGGCTAGAATATATAAAACTGATGCAATGAACAGGCTGAGGAGAAACACATGAGGAGGTAGTGCCAATAGTGGTTCTAAAAGAATGATCCAAAAGAAAACATAGGCTTTATCATATATAGATAAACATATATCTATATATGGCATTTCTAATGTCCTGAAAAACAGTAATAGGAATTGAAGAGAAATTTGAGAATAGATTTTAGAGGTTTTTTTTTTTTTTCAACCTGCAATGGAAGAGAGACAGTAGAAATAAGGTGAGGTGAATCAATGCAGATGCTATTTAAGTAGCAAAGTTATAATTGGGGTTGCTTATTTTCATAATAGAAATGACAAAAGAATTGAGGTGGACACACAATGTGAGACAAAAGCAATAGTTATTTTGGGGCTTACTGGAAATGCTTTTATACAGAGCCAAGGGGCGGGGGGTGTTTGAATATTGGAAGAACAAAAGATAGAGTAGATTCTATTAATGTCTGAAGTTGTGACCTTTTTCTAATGCAGAACTTGTGCTTATAAAAATTTCTTCAGTGTTCACCAATGTTTTAATTAATTGTTTCTGGAAAGTATATTTCCCCAAATCATCACATCTATTTAATTTTGCCCAGTTCTGTAACAACAACAACAACAATCTACTTCATCTTTTGTTCTTGCCTAACTTGGAAAAATTCCTAGAAAGTGCAACATACAAATTGTCTTCAGTAGTTTAACTATTTTTATACATGTTTGCATTAGAATCTGTCTACATCATAAAATTATTGCTTTGTAGGAGAGCCTGGAAAGTCATTTTTACTCTGGTTGAGATAGTATATGCTGGATCTCATATAAATATTTTAAAAAGACAAAAATTAAATGCAATTGAACAGCTGGTAACTCTAACAATTTCTGTGGCATGTATTGTGTTTTCATTAATATAGAATTCTTTTCATCAATTTAGATAATTCAATTGGTAGGCAGTTAACCAACTTGCTCAGGGTTCATACCTATTGAGTAATAATAAAAAGTTCAAACAATGAAACTGAAATTGCATATTAAGCCTTGTCACAAAAGAATCAAACAACACTACTATTATTCTAAAACATAATATTGATACAGTTGCTTCAATTAAGAAATAACTTTATGGACTGTATTGGTAATCTGACTGTGAGTAAGCAACAAAGAGGATCTAATTAAAGGACCATACTTTACAATCTTTTCCATAATACATTGAGATTAAAGCAGACTTTTGTTTGCAGGAAATTTGTGCTGATGCTAACATTCTTCATGATTTTCTTCATGTCTGAACAGGTTTATGTTGTGCAGAATGCAAAAATAGTGGTTGCATTTTGATAGGTTTCATATATATCCGAGCAATTTTCAATAAAATCTACTCTGATGGTATTAACATAGACACGACTTCAAATTTCTAATATCCTAATGTTAGTGGGAAGTGCAGAAATCCTGGGTCCTTTGTCTTTCTTGGGAGAAAGAATTTGGCCAAGAGACAATTTAGCCATAAAAGAGAATTTATTGAAGGAAAATAGAGAGCAGAGTTTATTTAAAGATACAGTACCCTTTGAAGGATGAGGCACAGCTGGCTGCTGAAAGAGAGTGAGCCAGCAGCCCTCCAGAGAGCTCTGCATTGGGGTTTTTATGATGTCAGAATCTTTTTTTAAGTTCCTACCTCGGTCTGGGCTTCTTTTGTCTAGTTTTTTCCATTTCTGCCTTTCTCCACATAGTTCCCATCCCAGGTTTGTGGGACTCTCCCTTACTATTGATTAATGAGCATGCTTCAGCTTGTGTTGACTACAAATTTTAGGTGATGGTTGCCTTGCTAATTACTGCTACCCAAGGAAGGTTATATAGCTGTTAAATCTATACTTGTTGCACATGTGCATTTCTTAGGAAATTCTCCTTTGCCCTTTCTCCTCCATATCAGTATGTAGCTAGCTACAGTTTGACGGTTTGACTGCAGAGTGAGCCGTTACTGGGCATCTTAAGAGGCGTTCCTTTTTGCATAGGTATTTTCTCTTTTCCTTGCTTACACTTGACTAATTGCCCGCCCACTTCATCATTAGAGATACTATTAACATGCAGATTTTGGGTGGTCCCTGGGAGTGAGTGAGGCTTCCCAGACCTTCTTTTCTCAGGGCTTCCTCTCCTGCTCACGTATATCTATCTGCCTACTCTAACGCTAATACTTTTGCTAAAAACAAACAAATGGAAACAGTTATCTCATTCATGTTAGGCAAAAGAATCAGACTTGATAGGCTCCCATGAACACCAATATTCAACTATATTATTAATCCAACATCTTCCTGGGCTGGCTACTTGGGCAACACAGGACTGAATATCTACTTAGAGGATGGAGATGAGCAAAGGTTCTCAGGGAGTAGCATTTGATCTGGAAGTTGTAGATTTCAGTAAGATTTTGTTAGGAGTGTTTGGTAGGGGGTAGGCTCTTGGACAGACAGCAGAAAATTTCCACAGGTCTAAACATACTTTGGTAAGCCTGGGAAATGCCAAGTGCTCTGAAGTGAGTTTGGAGTCCAAGTTGGTGAGAATGAAATTAGATGAGACTTTAAATATTTTTATAAGAAAGGATGGACCAACAGACGTGTTTAAACAGAAGGGAAAAAGGTTATATCTAAAGTTATAAAAGATCAGACTGGCCTCTGAATGGAGCATCAGTGAGCTGGAAAACAGGAAAGCCAGTTAGAATCCTATACTATCAATCCAGGTAAAAATTAATAGACACCTGAATTTAGGCAAATTCAGGAAAATATTCTTTCGAATTTAATAGCCATTTCCACCACCCTCCTGGCCCATTTTCATCCTTCACATTCATATTTCTTAGAGGGAGAGAGTACATACTTCATTATTATTCTTTCTTTTCCAACTTCTGAGTAAAATAGTTCTTGTCTTCTTTTAAATTCTGTGGCTCCTGACCCACAGTATCGCACTGAGAATCCAATGAAAGAGCACATTTGAACATATATACTAACATGTATAAACTATCTATTTTATATATGTATATCTACATATATAACATACAGTTCAGTTGCTTTCATTTTTTAGGATTTAGTATTATTTTTAAGAAGATGTCTTCAAAATAATCCCATTCCAACCACTCTCATGATACATATTTACCAACTCTCCATTTAAATGTTTTCACTTTAATGTCTCTTGTCCCTTGAAACTTAATTTGTATAACATGAAACTCAGTCAGTTGCTTCTGAAGTTCCTATGACCATGAATGGTGCATCCATTCTTCTAGTAACTCAGACTGGAAGGTCTAGCTGACTATGTATGCAACCTCTGCAAAGCTTCACACCTGTCCTCTTTTTCATTTTTAAATCCACCACCATTATATAGGCCACAAAATCTCTCCTAGGAACTACATCCAGAACCATTTACCTGTTGGATATGCTTCTTCCTGCACACTACCTAATAAGATGAAACTTCCTGAAGTTCTCCTCATAATTAGTCCCCTGCTCAAGAACCTCCAATTGCATTTAAAAGTGCAACCTGCTTTTCTAGTCACAATTCCTGCTTCTTCTTGCCTTTAAAAAGTTTATAATAAAGCCAAACTGGGTGCTTTCTTCACTGAATTTAATGCCTTGGGTTTTCCTGACTTTGGATATGCTCTTTCTAAAGTATGGTGGAATATCATCTCCATATGAAGATTTTTTTGTGATATTCTTCTTCCCACTACCAAATAGGGTTTCAGTCACCATTAAAAGTTCATAGTACTTTAATTCATTCTCTTTAAGTTTTCTACTTGAATTTACATCTTGATAAGTAATTGTCTTAACATAAAAAATTCACTATATTGTAAACTCTTTGTGGGAAGAGATTGTTGTCCATAATTAATACTAGCACAGAGACGTGCATGCAGAAGCAGTTCAATAAACATCATATTTATATTTACTTAATTTTACTGGACATGCCCTCAAAGCACATATTTCCCAGCCTAGCTGCATTTGCTCTATTTTGGTTGAACATGCAACATTCACTCATGCAACTTTTTGTCTTTCATTGTTAACATCACCACCATTATGTTCATCATCAATAAAAATTCATTGAATTAATGCAAATGCAAGACATTCCTATTTTAGTAGAGTTGTATGTAGTCAGCAGAGAATCAATGCAAATAATAACTTGCACTCCAGAACTTCACTGATTTTGATGGTCAAAGTTAAGTATGGTTTGGCAATATTGGCAATGCATTTAAATCAAGAAATATCTTCAGGTACCCCTCATATTGATGGAATTTAGAAGTTTAGGCACTGCAATGCTTTTGTTTGGAGATGCAGCTCAGTTCTTGTTAGTGTAGCCTTTTTACTTGTTGTTTTGTTGTTGTTGTTGTTGTTACCAGCTGGTGTGTTGCACAATATGCAGTTGATTCTCCTTATTCATGGTAGTTATATTCTATCACATTGCTGAAAACACTGAATTAGCAAGTGCTGAACTATTGCTCCTAGGGGAAATACAAAATTAGGTTTCTGCAAACTCTGGTCACAATATTTTTGGCAACCGATCAATACATAACTTTGTTTTACATATGTTTCTGTTAAAAGGCAACTAAATTTAATGTATATTGTTGATTTATTAAAATTAAAGTCACATCCAACAGTGTTTTAACTCAGGCCCAAAGGAAGCTTGTCTAACATACACATAGCATTTTGTCCATAAAGCACATTGCTACCTTCTTGTGCTTACGAATGCTAAACAGCACTTCCTATACTTTGGGGCCATTTTGAGCAAATAAATAAATAAATACATAAATAAATAACCAAAAAAAGTACAAAAATGCAAAATTTATGGCACAAAAAAGGCCTTGCAAAGGATACTTGTTTACAGTCTCAGAGCTGCAATAAGAAGATGGAGCATTGCCTTGTCTAACGTCCAATGGGAACATGCAAGTTGGGCAATCAGATTTTTCACCACTATGCGCCATGTACACTAATTCCCACAGAAGTGCTGGCAGTATTGATTGGGAAATTACAAAAAAATTTTAGTATGTAGGTGAACTTACAAATATGGAATATATGATAATGAGTATTGACTGTAATAAAGACAATTCAACCATGAGACACCAAAGATAACATGTTATTAGGTTGGTGCAAAAGTAATTGTAGTCTTTGCTAGTACTGGTTTTTGTTTTCTTTTGTTTTGTTTTTATGCCTATCCTCTGAGGCCTCTCTCCTTTGCTTGTATGTATTTATTTAGAGACAGAGTCTCACTCTATCACTCAGGCTGGGGTGCAGTGGCATGATCTCAGTTCACTGCAACCTTGCCTCCCAGGTTCAAGCAATTCTCGTGCCTCAGCCTCCCGGTAGCTGGGACTACAATCACGTGCCACCACTCCCAACTAATTTTTGTATATTTTTTTAGTAGAAATGGGTTTTTTGCATGTTGACCAGGCTGGTATTGAACTCCTGACCTCAAGTAATCCACCTGCCTCCACCTCCCAAAGTGCTGGGATTACAGGCGTGAGCCAACGTGCCCAGCCCTGCCATTACTTTGAATGGCAAAAATTGCAATTACTTTTGCACCAACCTATTATTAGTTCTTCAGTGAGGTTGAAATAATGTTTTTAACTTTTTCACCATTTTTCAGCTTGCATTTTACACTAGTGGTAAGAAGCTGTTTACAGTTTCCAGATACATTTGTTCTTACAAGCCTCTACATTTTTTATTGCATGGCTCCCTCTGCCTGGAATGCTGCAGTCCTATTTTCTTTCATTACTTAATTTTCATGCAATCTTTAAAGCTCAATTCAGCATAATCTCCTCCAGGAAGCCTACTTCCAAGGTGACCAAGGGTACTCTGAATTTTTGCATTCCTCTATTTCGCACTTGGAATTTAACAGATTTTTCTGTCACCTCTACATTGAGAACTTCTTAATAAGGCCTGTATTTACAATTTTGTAGACTTAATATCTAGCACAATGCCTGGCTGATAATAGGTGATAAATATTGACTAGAACTGAGCTGAATGAGGAAAAGCATTGGAAAAAAACTGCTAATTTAAAAAAGGATGATAATTCAACTTAAATATGTTTTTAAAAAACCTAGGACTGAATTAAACAAATTTAAATTAAAGATTACAGTGAGGAACAAAGTACAAATTTGATTGATTTAAGAAAGGAAAGATTTTGTGTGCTCAAGTACAGAAGAAAAAAATGACTTACACTCATCATATAATACAAATCAGATGAGTCAGCTGCATAAAGCAATTATTTATAAAGGAAACATTATGCTGGAATATATTAATAGCAGTATGACTAGCTTATCATGAGTGAGTAGTAATCTTTCTTCCATATTTGGCAATAATCAAGCCTTTCCTAAAGTATTTATGAAAGTTGTAGACAAATTGGAGCACATTCAAAGAAGATCAACAAAAATGAAAATAAGACTATTAGAAAAGATGAAAGGGACTCCAGGACTCCAAGCAGGGCAGAGTACAGCAAGAAAGACCATGAATTAAAACTTGTCATCAAGCCCAGCCCAATACTTGGCACAAAGCTCAATAAGAAAGTTTTTGATTAATTAAAGTACTTAAATTGAGGCTCAAAGGACAAAGATCAGTAGTCCTACATTAGCATAGTGGCCAGAACTGTATGAAATATATTAAAATTCAAGAAATAGATTAAAAGTTATTTGAAGGAGAATCTCCTGATGGTACCAAGCAATTAAATACTGGAACAAAAACTTCAGGGGAATCATGAAATATTTCGGCATCCATATCAATTAGAATCATTTAGATGATAAACAGCTTTGAATGGTGTAAGTTTAGCCTAGAAACAGAGAGCTGGGCTAGTTGCCCTTTTAACCACTCTCTCAGAATGATAATGTTGATTGGTATACCTAAAAATCTGTTACCATAGTTTTATTTAATCAATTTAACCTGTATGTTAAAGAAAGAAAGAAACAAGAAAGAAAGAAATATTGATTGGGAGAGTAGACTATATCTCTTGTATAAATAGAAAAAATAATTATTTTTATAGTGTCTATTAAGAACATAATTTCCAGGCGCTATGATTCTGGCTTTATATGCTTCATCTCCTTTAATCCTAAAATAATCTGAGAAAGGTACTATTGTAACCTCTTCCATGGATAATTTTAAGCAAATTAATCTAAGTCGCAGGAATTAAGAGAAAGAGTGAAGATTGCAATATAGATTTTTTTGACTCCAGAACACAGATTCTTAACATTTTCTATTCTAGTCCATTCTTTTCTATTCTATTTTAGTCTCTATTCACCCGTTTATTCAAAAAGTATTTATTGAAGCATCAACTGCACATCATGCTTTTTACAGGTGCAAGGGTATAGACTGGGTTCCCCAGGAAACAAAGTCTGAGATGGTTTGCCTGCAGGAAGTTTATTGAGGAATTCTCTCAGGAACAACATTTGGAGGGAAGTGAAAGAAGCAGATGTTGGCAGAGGGAGAGCTGAATCACAGCACAGTTGCAAAAAAGACCTCCACCTTTAAGCTGAGCTCATGAGCTTGAGCTCCATGCACCTTGAACATTGTCCTTAAATGTGGCAAGGAGTCTTGGCCTTCATACTCTCATCTACCAGTCATGGAATGGTGGCTTCTCCCAGGGGAAGCACTTACCTTGCTGAGGTATATCCTATTTGGCCAAGGGCATTTACAGGGAAGAGATTCAACTGTGGGCCCACTCCCAAGTGGATACCACAATGCACCAAAACAGAAGAGTACCTACCCTCATGATGCTTATTTACCAGTGGGGAATGGGATAAACTATCAATTAATCAGTGTGTTGTTTTGTATTTTTCCTATGGCAGATGGTGAAATGTTGTAAGGAGAAAAAGATGAGAAGAGGTAGTTTAAAAGGAGAGGGCTGAGTGTGATAATATTTAAGTAAAGCTTCATTGAGAAGGTGATATTTGAGCAGATTTGAAAGAGATGAGGAGGAGATACATGAGTACATATGGGGGAAGATCATCGTTGGTGGGGAGAATAGCTCCATGCACACACTCCAAGAGGGAGCATGCCTAGAATGGTTGAAGCACTGCAAGGAGGTCAGCTGGCCAGTGTGGATAACAGCCTAAAAGTAACAGAATTATAAGAGATAAAAGTCAAAGAAATAATAAGAGACAGAAGCCTAAATAATGCAGGAACTCTATGACACATTAAGGACTTTGCTATTTATTCTGAACGAAGGAAGTCCTTTGAGAGTTTTGAGGAGGGGTGTGAATGATCTGACAAATTTTAGAGGGCTCCCTCTTATGTGTTAAGAACAGACTCCAGGGAGATGGCAAAAATAAAGTATGAGTGAACTACTGCAATAGTTCAGGCAAGAATTGGTGGTAGCTTATGCCAAAGTGGTAATCGTGAAGATGGTGAGAAGTAGTTAGATTCTGGACACATTTAGAAGATGGAATCAGCAGAATTTGCTAATCACAGCTCCACAATTTACTGTTTAGCCTTAAGCAAATTAGTTAATTTCTTAGAGCCTTAAAATCTTTTCCTTAAAATAGGGATAATATGTCCATTCTACAGAGCAGATTGTGAGGCTTAAATTGAAAAGATATGTGATGTGCTTGGCATTGTGCCTGAAATACAGCAGATGTCCAATAAACACGACTTTCTCTCCTATCTTGTGACTTATATTTTTCACTGTGCTTTTTCTTTTATCACTACATGTGGTCTTAAAAAAATACTCTAAAGTACCAGAATACCTCAATAATACCTTAAAAATAAAATACTCTAAGGTGCAATACTCTAAAATACCAAATCAACCTTGATTTATAAATAAGGCAATCAATACCATTAATTTAAATGATTTATATAAAATTGCATCTAAAGTTAATGAAAACATCTCCGGACTTAACTCCCCATGCAGTGTACATTCGAGTGTAGAGTGAGATTTCTTACATGTTGATGTTTGAATCTTTTCAGATATCTCAGAAGAAATTAAACTCACCCTGGTGGATTTTAAGAGAGTGCTCTCCAAATTTTAAATTTTAAAGGTTTCTTTTAAAGAAACATATGCTATCCCAGCTGTCTACATCTAATAAAGCAACCACTGACATAAGGGGGAGAAAAATGGAATATAACATTTCAGAGGTTTTTCAGATACACTGGGGACTTTTGAATAATATGAATGCCATTAAATCAAGTTAAAATGTATGTATAGGAATTATGGAAGGGTGAAAGTCTCTAAAAGGCACATAGTATCTAAGACTTTCAAAGGCAATACTGTCTACAATGCATATATTATTAATGAACTAGAAATATCAGAAGTTATTAAAAACAAAATCTCAGTTGTTTCAGCTATTGACACATTTAAAATAATGTGTTTTTTAAAAGATTCTTATATAAGGTTTTATTATAACAAGATTTATAATCTTGTTCATCCAACTTTTATTCACTATGTGAATAATTATGCAGAGTACCAGTGCATATCTCTGTGTTATACTTGCTCCTGGTTCAAACTAGAAGTATTGCAGCATTCTGTTGGTAATATTGCCACCAAAAAAAAATTTTATTGAAGGCCACAATGGTCAAAATCTGTGGTAGCTCTCCTCACACCAGGCACCAACTGTGGTAGCACTCTTATATAGGCCTAAGACTAACCTTCTTCCTACCACAGATGCTTAACTGCCTCCTTGGGGGGTCGGCAGAAGTTTATTACCCTCAAATGGTGTTTGCTTTAGGCCTCGGGACCTGACCTTTAATCTTCACCCTCTAGTGGTGTTTACTCACAACCCTTTAATCTTTACTAAATAAATGCAAGTCTCACCAATGAAGGCTGAGTTGCAACTGTTTACAGGACTCTGCTGGAGTCTGTAAGTGGCTCGGACACACTCAGTTGGACTGGTAAAGCAGAATATCTGTGTGTCTGTGTACTTGATTCATCGGTCCCTGGGTCAAGGGTCTGCAAGGGACAGAACCCCCGCAGCTGTTGCCCCCATGAGAGGAGCACTACCAGAAAAATCAGTTAAAAAAAAAAAAAGTAACAGTATTATTAGACTTGCTAATAACTAATGCTTTACTTTCAAGTTGAGTCAATAACTTAAGTAAAACAATTTTTCATATAACTGATTGATCATGAGAGCTAATATTTTCTGTTATTCATTGTATGACTTAGTTTTCAAAGTCAACTTAGTTTCTGGCACAAATAATTCTAATCTTAATTTGTTCACAAAGGGCAAAATTAATGAGCCAGGGCTGAAAAGAAAGAATACGGGCTCCCCAAGCTGTCTACTCCCTCTTGATAGTCTTTCTTCTGCTGGGCAAGTCCAAATAAAGACCTAATAAAAGGAGCGTTATGAAAGGCCCAAGTGAGCCTCACTATCAGAATCATTTGGAGGTTTATTAAACATACAAATTCTTATACCACACCCACCCATCCAAAATCAGAATCTCGAGGGTGGGACCTAGAAATATTACTTAAGATTTTAGATGGTGTTGGTCTACAGAACTCTCCACCCCAAATCAACAGAATATACATTCTTCTCAGCACCACATCGCACTTATTCTAAAATTGACCACATAATTGGAAGTAAAACACTCCTCAGCAAATGAAAGAGAACAGAAATCATAACAGTCTCTTAGACCACAGTGCAATCAAATTAGAACTCGGGATTAAGAACTCACTCAAAGGTGCACAACTACATGGAAACTGAACAACCTGCTCCTGAATGACTACAGGGTAAATAACGAAATTAAGGCAGAAATAAATAAGTTTTTTGAAACCAATGAGAACAAAGACACAATGTACCAGAATCTCTGGGACACAGATAAAACAGTGTTTAGAGGAAAATTTATAGCACTAAATGCCCACAGGAGAAAGTAGAAAAGCTCCAAAATCAACACCCTAACATCAAAATTTAAATAACTAGAGAAGGAAGTGCAAACAAATTCAAAAGCTAGCAGAACACAAAAAATAACTAAGATTGGAGCAGAAGTGAAGGAGATAGAGACACGAAAAGGCCTTCAAAAAATCAATGAACCCAGGAGCTGTTTTTCTGAAAAGATTAACAAAATAGATAGACTGCTAGCTAGACTAATAAAGAAGAGAGAAGAATCAAATAGATGCAATAAAAAATGATAAAGGACATATAACCACTGATTCCACAGAAATACAAACTACCATCAGAGAATACTATAAATACTTCTATGCAAATAAACTAGAAAATCTAGAAGAAATGGACAAATTCCTGGACAGATACACCCTCCCAAGACTAAACCAGGAAGAAGTTGAATCCCTGAATAAACCAATAATAAGCTCTGAAATTGAGGCAGTAATTAGTAGCCTCCCAACCAAAAACAGGCCCAGGACCAGACAGATTCATGGCCCAATTCTACCAGAATTACAAGGAGGAGCTAATAACATTCCTTCTGTAACTATTCCAAACAACAGAAAAAGAGGGAATCCTCCCTAACTCATTTTATGAAGCCAGCATCATCCTGATACCAAAACCTGGCAGAGACACAAGAAGAAAAACAAAAATTTCAGGCCAATATCCCTAATGAACATCGATGCAAAAATCCTCAATAAAATACTGGCAAACTGAATCTTGCAGCACATCAAAAAGCTTATCCACACAGCCAAGTTGGCTTCATCCCTGGGATGGAAGGCTGGTTCGACATATGCAAATCAATAAACGTAATCCATCACATAAACAGAACCAATCACAAAAACCACATGATTATCTCAATAGATGCATAAAAGGCCTTCCAACATCCCTTCATGCTAAAAACTCTCAATAAACTGGGTATTGATGGAATGCATCTCAAAACATTAAGAGTTATTTATGACAAACTCACAGCCAATATCATACTGTATGGGCAAAAGCTGGAAGCATTCTGTTTGAAAACTGTCACAAGACAAGGATCCCCTTTCTCACCACTCCTATTCAACATAGTATTGGAAGTTCTGGCCAGGGCAATCAGGCCAGAAATAAAGGGTATTCAAATAGGAAGAGAGAAAGTCAAATTGTCTCTGTTTGCAGATGACATGATTGTATAATTAGAAAACCCCGTCGTCTCAGCCCAAAATCTCCTTAAGCTGATAAGCAACTTCAGCAAAGTCTCAGCATACAAAATCAATGTGCAAAAATCACAATCATTCCTATACACCAATAACAGACAAAGAGCCAAATCATGAGTGAACTCTCATTCACAATTGTTGCAAAGAGAATAAAATACCTAGGAATACAACTTACAAGGAAAGTGTAGGACCTCTTCAAGGAGAACTGCATACCACTCCTTAAGGAAATAAGAAAGGACACACAAAAATGGACAAACATTCCATGCTCATGGATAGGAAGAATCAATATCATGAAAATGGGCATACTGCCTTAAGTAATTTATAGATTCAATGCCACCCCCATCAAGCTACCATTGACTTTCTTCACCGAATTAGAAAAAACTACTTTAAATTTCATATGGTACCAAAAAAATCACATGCATAGCCAAGACAATCCTAAGCAAAAAGAACAAAGCTGGAGTCATCACACTACCTGATTTCAAGCTATACTGCAAGGCTACAGTAACAAAATGGTACTGGTACCAAAATAGATATATAGACCAATGGAGCAGAACAGAGGCTTCATCCCTGGGATGCAAGGCTCGTTCAACATATGCAAATCAATAAACATAATCCATCACATAAAGAGAACCAATCACAAAAAACACATGATTATCTCAATAGATGCATAAAAGGCCTTCAAACAGAATGCTTCCAGCTTTTGCCCTTCATATTTGCTGTGAGTTTGTCATAAATAGCTCTTATTGTTTTGAGATACATTCCTTCAATACCTAGTTTATTGAGAGTTTTTAATCACATGAAGGGATGTTGAATTAACACCACACATTTACAACCATCTGATCTTTGACAAAGCTGACAAAAACAAGCAATGGAGAAAGGATTCCCTATTTAATAAATAGTGTTGGGAAAATGGGTAGCAATATGCAGAAAACTGAAACTGGACCCCTTCCTTATACCTTATACAAAAATTAATTCAAGATGGATTAAAGATTTAAATATAAGACCTAAAACCATAAAAGCCCTAGAAGAAAACCTGGGCAATAATACCATTCAGGACATGGGCATAGGGAAAGACTTCATGACTAAAACACCAAAAGCAATGGCAACGAAAGCCAAAATTGACAAATGGGATCTAATTAAACTAAAGAGCTTGTGCACAGCAAAACAAACTATCATCAGAGTGGATATCCAGAATCTACAAGGAACTTAAACAAATTTACAAGAAAAAACAAATGACCCCATCAAAAAGTGGGTGAAGGATATTATTGGAGGAACATGCCCCCAATATTTCAACATAGGTTCTTTCTATTTTCCATAAGTGTTGGCTAGCTGAGAAATAAAGAGAGACAGTACAAATAGAGGAATTTTACAGCTGGGCAGCCAGGGGTGACATCACATATCGATAGGACTGTGATGCCCACCTGAGTCTCAGACCAGCAAGTTTTTATTAAGGGTTTCAAAAGGGGAGGGGGTGTAAGAACAGAGAGTAGGTACAAAGATCACATGCTTCAAAGAGCAAAAAGCAGAACCACTAATAAGGGTCTAACAAAGATCACATGCTTCTGAGGGAACAGGACAAAGGGCAAAAGCAGAACCACTGATAAGGGTCTATATACAGCGGTGCATGTATTGTCTTGATAAACATCTTAGACAACAGAGAGCAGAGTTTGAGAGCAGAGAACCAGTCTTGACCACAAATTTACCAGGGTGGAGTTTTTCCCCACCCTAGTAAGCCTGAGGGTTCTGCAGGAGACCAGGGCATATCTCAGTCCTTATCTCAACTGCATAAGACATACATTCCCAGAGTGGCCGTTTATAGACCTCCCCCTAGGAAAGCATTCCTTTCCCAGGATATTAATCTTAATATTCCTTGCTAGGAAAAGAATTTAGTGATATCTTTCCTACTTGCACGTCCATTTATAAGCTCTCTGCAAGAAGAAAAATATGGCTCTTTTTGCCCAACCCTGCAAGCAAACAGATGTTATGGTTGTCTTCCCTTGTTCCATAAAAATCGCTCTTATTCTGTTCTTTTTCAAGGTGCACTGATTTCATATTGTTCAAACACACATGTTTTACAATCACTTTGTACAATTAACACAATTATCACAGTGGTCCTGAGGTGACATACATCAGTTTATGGAGATAACAGGATTAAGAGATTAAAGTAAAGTCAGGCATAAGTAATTATAAAAGTATTATTTGGGGATGATAAATATCCATATTAATATGAAATCTTCACAATTTATGTTCCTCTGCTGTGGCTCCAGCTGGTCCCTCCGTTTGGGTTCCCTGACTTCCCACAACAGGATATGAATAGACACTTCTCAAAAGAAGACATTTATGCAGCCAACAAACATATGAAAAAAGGCACATTATCACTGGTCATTAGAGAAATGCAAACCAAAACCACAGTGAGATTCCATCTCATGCCAGTTAGAATGGTGATCATTAAAAAGTTAGGAAACAATAGATGCTGGAGAGGTTGTGGAGAAATAGAAAACGTTTACACTGTTGGTGGGAGTATGAATTAGTTCAACCATTGTGGAAGACAGTGTGGCAATTCCTCAAGGATCTAGAACCAGAAATACCATTTGACCCAGCAATCCAACTACTGGGTATATATCCAAAGGATTATAAATCATTCTACTATAAAGACACATGCACACACATGTTTATTGCAGCACTATTCACAATAGCAAAGATTTGGAACCAACCGAAATGCCCATCAATGATAGACTGGATAAAGAAAATGTGGCCATATACACTATGGAATAATATGCAGCCATAAAAAAGGATGAATTCCTGTCCTTTGCAGGGACATGAATGAAGCTGGAAACCATCATTCTCAGCAAACTAACACAGGAACAGAAAACCAAACATCCCATGTTCTCACTCATAAATAGGAGTTGAACAATTAGAATGCATGGACCCAGGGAGGGGAACATCACACACTGGGGCCTGTTGGGGGGTATGGGGCTAGGGGAGGGATAGCATTAGGAGAAATACCTAATGTAGATGATGGGTTGATGGGTGCAGAAAACCACCATGGCACTTGTATACCTATGTAACAAACCTGCATGTTCTGCATATATATCCCAGAACTTAAGTATTTTTAAAAAAGAAAGATTTTAGATGGTATTTTCTTTTTATAATATAATATCATATATTTATTATTTTTCCATAATTTATTGGGGTACAGGTGGTATTTAGTTACATGAATAAGTTATTTAATGGTTATTTGTGAGATTTTGGTGCACTCATTACCAGAGCAGTATACAATGAACCATATTTGTAGTGTCTTATCCCTGAATTGTGCCCCTGTAAACATCCATGTCCAAGTATTCTTTTTGAATAATGACTTATTTTCCTCTGAGTAGATATGCAGTAGTGGGATTGCTGGATCAAATGGTAGTTCTACTTTTAGTTCTTTAAGGAATCTCCACTGTTTTACACAGTGGCTGTACTAGTTTACATTCCCATCAGCAGTGTAGAAGTGTTCCCTGTTCACCGCATCCATGCCAACATCTACTGTTTTTTGATTTTTTGATTATGGCCATTCTTGCAGGGGTAAGGTGGTATCTCATTATGATTTTGATTTGAATTTCCTTGATCATTAGTGATATTGAGCATTTTTTCATATGTTTGTCATTTGTATATCTTCTTTTGAGAATTGTCTGTTCACATCTTTAGACCACTTTTTGATGGGATTGTTTGTTTTTTTCTTACTGATTTGTTTGAGTTCACTGTAGATTCTGGACATTAGTCCTTTGTCAGATGTATAGATTGTGAAGATTTTCTCCCTCTCTGTGGGTTTTCTGTTTACTCTGCTGACTGTTCATTTTGCCGTGCAAAAGCTCTTTAGTTTAATTAGGTCCCAGCTATTTATCTTTGTTTTTATTGCATTTCCTTTTGGGTTCTTGGTCATGAATTCCTTGCCTAAGTCAATGTCTAAAAGATTTTTCCCAATGTTATCTTTCAGAATTTTTATAGTTTCAGGTCTTAGGTGTAACACCTTAATCCATCTTGAGTTGATTTTTGTATAAGGTGAGAGATGAGGATCCAGTTTAATTCTCCTACATGTGGCTAGCCTACCATCCCAGCACCATTTGCTGAAAAGGGTGTCCTTTCCCCACTCTACGCTTTTGTTTGCTTTGTCAAAGATCAGTTGGCTGTAAGTATGGGGGTTTACTTCTGGGTTCTCTATTCTGTTCCATTGGTCTATATGCCTATTTTTATACCAGTACCATGCTGATTTGATTACTATGGCCTTACAGTATATTTTGAAATCAAGTAGTGTGATGCCTCCAGATTTGTTCTGTTTGCTTACTCTTACTTTGGCTATATAGGCTCTTTTTTGGTTCCATATGAATTTTAGAATTGTTTTTTTCTAGTTCTATGAAGAATAATGGTGATATTTTGATGGGGATTGCAGTGAATTTGTAGATTGCTTTTGGCAGTATGGTCATTTTCACAGTATTGATTCTATCCATCTATGAGCATGGGATGTGTTTACATTTGTTTGTGTTGTCTATGATTTCTTTCAGCAGTGTTTTGTAGTTTTCCTTGTAGAGGTCTTTCAACTCCTTCATTAGGCATATTCCTAAATATTTTATTTTTTCTGCAGCTATTGTAAAAGGGGTTGAGTTCTTGATTTGATTCTCTTTTTGGTCACTGTTGGTGTATAGAAGAGCTACTAGTTTGTGTACATTAATCTTGTATCCAGAAACTTTGCTGAATTCTTTTTTCAGTTCTAGGAGCTTTCTGGAGGAGTCCTTAGGGTTTTCAAGGTAAATGATCATATCATCAGCAAACAGTGATAGTTTGACTTCCTCGTTGCTGATTTGGATGCCTTTTATTTCTTTCTCTTGTCTGATTGCTCTGGCTAGGACTTCCAGTAGTATGTTGAAGAGGAGTAGTGAGAGTGGGCACCCTTGTCTTGTTCCAGTTCTCAGAGAGAATGCTTTCAAGTTTTCCCCATTCAGTATTGTGTTGACTATGGGTTTGTCACAGATGGTTTTTATTATATTAAGGTATGTCCCTTGTTTGTCGATTTTGCTAAGAGTTTTAATCATAAAGGGATGCTGTGCTTTTAGAATGCTTTTTCTGCATCTATTGAGATGATTATGTGATTTTTGTTTTTAATTCTCTTTATGTGGTATATCACATTTATTGACTTGCATATGTTAAACCATCCCTGCATCCCTGGTATGAAACTCATTGGATTATGGTGGATTATATTTTTGACATATTGTTGGATTTGGTTAGCTAGTATTTTGTTAAGGATTTTAGCATCAATGTTCATCAAGGATATCGGTCTGTAGTTTTATTTTTTGGTTATGTCCTTTCCTGGTTTTAGTATTAGGGTGATGCTGGCTTCACACAATGAATTAAGGCAGGTTTCTTCTTTCTCTATCCTGTGGAATACTGTCAAAAGGATTGCTACAAATTTTTCTTTGAATGTCTACTAGAATTCTGCTGTGAATCCATCTGGTTCTGGACTTTATTTTGTTGGTAATTTTAAAAATTACCATTTCAATCTCGCTGCTTATTATTGACCTGTTGAGGGTATCTAATTCTTTCTGATTTAAGCTAGGAGGTTATATTTTTCCAGGAATCTATTCATCCCTTCTAGATTTTCTAGTTTATGTGCATAAAGGTGTTTATAGTAACATTGAGTGATCTTTTCTATTTCAGTGGTGTCAGTTGCAATATCTCCTGTTTTGTTTCTTAGTGAGGTTATTTGGATTTTCTCTCCTCTTTTCTCGGTTAATCTTACAATGGTCTATCAATTTTATTTATCTTTTCATTTATCTTTTTGTATTTTCATTGCTGTTGCTGTTTCAATTTCATTGAGTTCTGCTCTGATCTTGGTAATTTCCTTTCTTCTGCTGGGTTGGAGATTGGTTTGTTCTTGTTTTTCTAATTCCTTGAGGTGTGACCTTAGAATGTCAGTTTATGCCCTTTAAGTCTTTTTGATGTAGGCACTTAGGGCTATGAAACTTTCCTCTTAGCACTGACTTTGCTGTATCCCAGAGGTTTTGATAGGTTGTGTCATTGCTGTCATTCAGTTTGAAGAATTTTTTGTTATCTTTATTTCGTTTTTGACCTAATGCTCATTTGGGAACAAGTTATTTAATTTCCATGTATTTGCATTGTTTCTGAAGGTTCCTTTTTGAGTTGATTTCCAGCCTTATTCCACTGTGGTCTGAGAGAGTGCTGATATAATTTCAATTTTCTTAAATTTATTGAGGCTCATTTTATGGCCTATCATATTGTCTATCTTGGAGAAAGTTCCATGTGCTGTTGAACAGAGCGTGTACTCTGCAGTTGTTGGATGAAATGTTCTGTATGTATCCGTTAAGTCCATTTGTTCCAAGGTATAGTTTAAATCCATTGTTTCTTTGTTGACTTTCTGTCTTGATGACCTGTCTAGTGTTGTCATTGGAGTACTGAAGTCCCCCACTATTGTTGTGTTGCTGCCTATCTCATTTCTTAGATTTACCACTAATTGTTTTATAAATTTGGGAACTCCAGTGTTAGGTGTGCATATGTTTAGGGTTGTGATATTTTTCTATTGGACAAGGGCTTTTACCATTATATAATGCCCCTCTGTCTCTTTTAATTGCTGTTGCTTTAAAATTTGTTTTGTCTGATATAAAAACAGCTACCCCTGCTAATTTTTGGCACCCATTTGCATGAAATGCCTTTTTCCTCCCCTTTACTTTATGTGAGTCCTTATGTGTTAGGTGAGTCTCCTGAAGGCAACAGATAGTTGGTGGGTGAGTTCTTATCCATTCTGCAGTTCTGTATCTTTTAACTGAAGCATTTAGATCATTTACATTCAATATTAGTATTGAAATACGAGGTACCATTGCATTCATTGTGCTTTTTGTTGCCTGTGTACTTTGGGATTTTTGTTTTATGTTTTTGCTTTTTAATATTTATTTTTGTTTTATATGTCCTGTGTGATTTATGCTTCAAAGAGGTTCTGTTTTGATGTGTTTCCAGGATTTGTTTCAAGATTTAGAGTTCCTTTTGGCAGTTCTCATAGTGGTGGCTTGGTAATGGCGAATTCTCTCAGCATTTGTTTGTCTGAAAGCAACTGCATGTTTCTTTCTTATATGATGCTTAGTTTTGCAGGTTACAAAATTCTTGGCTAATTGTTTGGAGGCTGAAGATAGGGCCCCGAATCTCTTCTAGCTTGTAGAGTTTCTCCTGAGAAATCTGCTGTTAATCTGATAGGTTTTTCTTTATAGGTTACCTGGTGCTTCCGTCTGACAGCTCTTAAGCTGATAACATCAGATTAAGCTCTTAAGCTGATAACATCAGATTAAGCTCTTAAGCTGATGACAATGTGCCTAGGCAAAGATCTTTCTGCAATGAATTTTTCAGGTCTTCTTTGTGCTTCTTGTATTTGGATGTCTAGGCCTCTAGCAAGGTCATGGAAGTTTTCCTCGATTATTCCCCTGAATATGTTTCCCAAGCTTTTAGAATTATCTTCTTCCTCAGGAACACTGATTATTCTTAAGTTTGGTTGTTTAACATAATCCAAGACTTATTGGAGACTTTGTTCATATTTTCTCATTATTTTTTCTTTGTCTTTGTTGGATTGGGTTAATTTGAATACTTCGTCTTCGAGCTCTGAATTTCTTTCCTCTACTTGTTCAATTCTATTGCTGAGACTTTCCAGAGCATTTCACATTTCTAAGAGTGTGTCCAAAGTTTCCTGTATTTTTAATTGTTTTTTCTTTAAGCTATCTATTTCCTTGAATATCTCTCCCTTCACTTCTTATATCATTTTTTTTTTTTATTTCCTTGCTTTGGGCTTTATCTTTCTCTCATCCTTCCCTGATGAGCTTAATAACTAACCTCCTGAATTCTTTTTCAGGTAAATCAGGGATTTCTTCTTGGTTTGGATCCATTGCTGGTGAACTAGTGTGATTTTTGGGGGGTGTCAAGAAGCTTTGTTTTGTCATATTACCAGGCTTGGTTTTCTGGTTCCTTTTCATTTGGGTAGGCTCTGTTGGAGGGAAGGTCTAGGGCTGAAGGCTGTTGTTCAGATTCTTTTGTCCCATGGGGTGTTCCCTTGATGTAGTACTCTCCCCTTTATCCTGTGGATGTGACCTCCTGTGAGCCAAACTACAGTGATTGTTGTGTCTTTTCTGGGTCTAGCCACCCAGAGATCCTGGCTCTGGGCTGGTACTGGGGGCTGTCTGCAGAGTTCTGTGATGTGAACCATCTATGGGTCTCTCAGCTGTGGATACCAGTGCCTGCTCCAGTGGAGGTGGTGGTGGGGTGCAATGAACTCTGAGTGTTCTTAGGTTTGGTGGTTGAATTCTCTTTTTTTGTGTTGCTTGGCCTCCTGCCAGGGGGTGGCGCTTTCCAGAAAGCATCAGCTGTAGTAATGTGGAGAGGTACCAGCAGTGGGCGGGGCCCTATAACTCCTGAGATTATATGCTCTTTTTCTTCTGCTACTAAGGTGGATAGGGAAGGACCATCAGGTAGGGGCAGGGCTAGGTGTGTCTGAGCTCAGACTTTCCTTGGGTGGCTCTTGCTGCAGCTGCTGTTGGGGAAGGGGGTGAGATTCCCAGGTCACTGAAGTTGTGTACCTAGAAGGATTATGGCAGCCTCTGCTGAGTCATGCAGGTTTTCCAGGAAGTGGGGAAAAGCCAGCAGTTGCAGGCCTTACCCAGCTCCCACACAAACCAAAGGGCCTCTCTCACTCCCACCGTGCCCCCGCACAATGGACCCAAGTCTGTTTCCAGGCGGAGAGCAAGTTGGGCTTGAAAACTTGCCTGAGGCTACCTGCCTCCCAGCTGTGAAAGAAAAGGGCTTGGTTCTTCCCATGCCTGTGGAGTCTGCACACCAGATATGTGCCCTCCCCCAAGTTCTGGCCAGAAGGCTTCTCACCCTGTTCAAATTGTTACAAATTTCAGCTAGAGAATTCTTTCTCTCTGTGGAGTTTTACCCCCTGCTCCTCTGGTCACCCTCCCTATGGATCCCTGCAGTGCCAGGCAGGAATGGCCTGCTAGGGGATGCAGCAAGCTCCCAGGGCCTTTCTGCTGCTTCTTCTACCCCTGTATTTCACTCAGCTCTCTAAATTGACTCAGCTGCAGGTAAAGTCAGAAACTTGTCCTGCAAATGGACCTTCAGCTTCTCCAGTGGGGGTGTGTGTTTGGGAGAGAAGGGTCTCCCTTTCGCAGTTCTGCAGTTGGGGCCTTCACAATATTCGGGGTGTTTCACAGGTCCTGCAGGAGCAGTCTGCTTCATTCAGAGGGTCTGTGGGTCCTCTCGGGATTGCTGGTTTGTTCTCACAGTTGATCTGGAGCTAAAATTCATAAAGTGAGTTTCCACAAGCTGCTCTGTCCTGAGCTATAATCTAGTCCTTCCTCCTGTCTGCCATGATCACTTCTAGATCACTTTTAAATTCTTAGATGGTATTTTCACATACTAAAGTTTGAGAGTCACAAATCCTAACTTCAAAAGTAACACAAACAAGTCATTGAAATTTGTTAATGCACAATTACCTTATATGTAAATTGGGGATAACTGCATTCACCTCATAAGATCACTGTGAAGATTAAATCAGATAAAACCAAGATAAAACACATGAAACATGCAATGTTTGGTACTATTTTTTGTCATTATTATTGACTTCGAGTTTATGGTTTCCTGGGCCAGTTCAATGGAAAGAGAAGAGATAAGATATTTTGAAAGACAAGAGATAATATATTTTTAAGAAAGCAATTCGAGTAAGATTGTGAAATGTATACATTACTGATTACAGTGAAGCCAGAAAAATTTGGCAGAGTGAAATAAAAATGAGTTCTGGAGGGTCTGAGACTCTTAACAATTTCAATTTCAAAGAAAATTTGTAATTAACTTATCTGGAGAGTTAGCAGGATGGAGAGTGGAAAGAAAGCCTGTGCTCCTTCACCTTAAATTTCCAGAATCAAAGTGTGTGTGCATGTGTGTGTGTCAGTAGTATGCATATAAAATTGTTGGAAATGTGATAATACTATCAAACATACATGAAATCTACTACAAAGATACAAAACATATGACATTGGGCATTTGATATGTGATGATTTAAAATCCTTGAGAGAAAATAAAATCCTATCTCTATTGCATCCAAATAATCTTTTTCTCTCCCCTAAAATGTTGTGTCAGTCTTTAGGACAGTAAAGGGTTAGAGAACACAACAGGGGAAAATTGTCAAAGAACAGGAGGTTAAAATGTAAGATTTCCTAGTTCTAGTGCCTCTTGGCTATGTCAAGGTGCAAGATATAACTTCAAAATTAAGTTATTAAAGTGGAGTTGAAGAGCAATGGGGCTGCGGTCAAAGGCCCATGACAGAGATTGTTGCATGGATTTTCAACATAGCTGGAGGATGGCAAGGTTTGAGGGTGAGAAGAAGATTGTACTCTAGAGGCAAAGAAATAATCAGTGAAAGGGGGAATAGAATACAGGAGGCTGACTGATGAAAAGTCGTAGAGTGTAGTGGAACCACAAGTCAGGATATGCACCTCGTTGACATTAGGTCGAAAGAGTAATGCTTTATAAGTGAGTCAGCATTGTGAAGTTGAAAATTCTTCCTGCTTCCCTTTCCTCCAGTTCCCATGAGCATGAGAGAAGAAGCAATGCACGCTCCGGCAGATTCCTAGGAACCAAATACCTCTGAGGAGCACCAGATTTCAGTAAGACAGAGATCTGATCTGTAAAATGGTTGAGAATGTGGGGAAAGCCATTTATTGTGGAGGCGGCAGGCACAATTTCTTGACTGCTCTCAGTGCCCTGAAATAGAGCCTCACTCTAAAAAAGGGACCCTGCTTTTGGGGCTTAATGCTCTGTGGACATATCTTGAAATTCTTAACAAGATTATCTTGGAATTTGTGTTCTGTAAATGGAATCTGATGGAATATTAGTGGATGTGCCAGAGCTTGGAATCTTGGCTCACCTGTGGTACTGCCTTTCCACTGCTTTCCCACCTCCTCACCTTCTCAGGACAGAATCACAGCTATCTGCTCCCCCTCACCTGCCCAGTGACCACTGCTACCCATGGTGGAGGCCTAAGCATGGGTCTGGGAAGGGACAAGATCAGGTGTATGAGCCCCACAGTTTGAGTTGTGGGCAGGACCCAGGTACCTGTGAGGGTTTGCACTTGCCTCGCATGTATTTCCATGCCCCAAAGAGCATGAGATTAAATAACAAAACAAAAGAACAAAAATGCCACATAACTGGTTTAGAGATAAATCACAGGAGGAAAGTGAATTTTTTTTTTTTTTTTTTGGCCTACTTTTTGTACAAAGAGGCTTGCATTGACATTTTGCGCTGGGCTCCACAAATTTTGCAGCTGGTTCTGATTGGAGGTTTCCAAAGGTCACAGTGGAAAGAGTAGAGAAGGCAGGCAATGGTGAAGAGTTGGGAAAAAGGAACATCAACAAGACTTTATGGGAGGATGGATTCATACATTGAGATAATGGAGCTGATGAACTTAACATTTTGAAAAGTGGCCAAGGGTAAGTTTGCAAGATACAGGAAGTTAGTCTGTCAAAGATCCAAATGGAACTCTGGCCAAAATTTTAGTAAGTACACTGAACTCCAGTGCTTAATTCTATTGCCCATGGCCTCTGCTCAGGGTACCAAACATAGAGTTGAGAGGTTCTTATAAGTTGCTTCAATAAATCCTTTCCCAGGGGCTATTTAGACACTTCACTTCAAATTTGAAACCACTCCTCATAGTGAATACAGGAGTAAACTCATGTTATTTGTGAGCAGGACGAAGCCAAGGGAAGGCAGTGGAGACATAGTATGAGTCTAATTGTGAAGAGCTGGTTACAGCCAAAACATTAGTGAACTTACAAAGGAATCAGAAAATTCTTTGAGTCTTGGGTTTCCAGTGGCCAACTTTTTAACTCTAATGAAAGACCTTAATTCTTCTCAGGTTTATCTGTAAAATGGGGATGATGATGATTCCTGCTTTTTGACTGCTCAGGGCTGTTGCAAATGTCAAAGTACATAATTAATATAAAGTTTCTTTGCAAATAGCAAATATCGTTATTTTAATTCTATACCCTTTTTTTTTTTTGAAGGCTTATGGGATGCTTTGATTGCTCTGTGGCTGCATTTAGGAGAAGGAAGCTGCAGTCATGCGTCATCACTGCCAGCCTCACATCTCTTGACAGTTAAAGCCTTAGGGTGGAGCAAGGGAAAATTTAAAATAACAAATGAAGCAAAAGCAAGAGGTGATGTTCCAAAGCAGAGGAAGGCTAAGTTTATATATACAAATGTCAAGTGTGTATAGGTGAGTGTCTCAGAAGGTTTATATGTTCTATATAAATATAGAAGTAAGTAGACTCCTTGAATAGGAAGAAAGGTCTTTTTCTTCTGAATTTTAGAATATTTTCTGCTCCATATCATTTATCTACATCTAAGTAGTCTGTTTTTCTATTTTAATGTCTCCTCCTGTCTTTCAATATATTACGGAATGGGCTAAGATGTAAGCGGGCTTAACCTTGCCTAGTCACCTGTTTCATTCACCAGTGGGGTACCCCACCTAAAGGAGCTGTCACAAAAGAGCAGCTATGAACAGCATGAAAAACAGCAACAACAATTATAACTCTAAAGAGGTGGATGAAACCCATTGTTATTTCATTAAACAACAATGTTGGAGTTTTAGGAAAAAAAGCTGTAAGCAATGAGTCCAGAAACTAAAATTTTAGTATGATTTATCATGCTACATCCATAATTAACCAATATCCCAGAACTAACATTTTTGAAATATCTTTTCTCCAACAGACATTTAAGTTCTTAAAGTAGATAATATCTATATATCCAGTTTTGTAAGGTTTTTGAGAAGAGGCTTTAAATTTATATTGTGTCCCCACCAAAAAATTGTATTTCCCTTCTGTGTAGATGAAGGTAGTATTATTAATAGCTAGAGTGGGGTATATATACATTTATATTAACTCAATTTTCTTACATGGAAGAGCCTGTACAGCTTCTTTGAAAAGATCGCCACCTAGGGGAAATTAACAAGAGTTAATGCAACATCTGCAATGCACCACATATGCTGCGTAATATCTAATGGCGTATGTATTTAAGGAAAAAAATATGCAAAACTGTGTCATATTTCAGCAAATGTGGTGGGCCACCTAGGAAAAATAGACTACCCTGTAGACCTAGAAAGTGTGCTTGTGCACAATTTTATTGTTATTTCTAACACAGAACTGCATGTAGCTTTTGTTTATTCATTAGGGCTTGATTTTAATGACTTTCTCCATATCCAGAGAGATTTTTGAATATAGAATTTTTTACAAAATAGATATCCATCTGATTATGAGTATAAAACTTATATTTTTGACAATTTTTACAATTAAAAATAATAGTTTTAATTAGTACAATTGTTAAGATTCTTACATGTAAAAGAATTTCTATCTCAATTAAGCCTCAGAAATTAACAAAGATGTTTCTCCTTAAACTCATTTATTTGTTTCTGAGAATTTATAACAAGATCTCCAAATGAGGGCAAGTAAAGTGGGAAATAATTTAGTTGGTTCATTCAAGTAAAAATGGGTTATTTTACTGTACTTGAATTTCTGATGTTTTTGATAAATGTCTTAGAGAATCACTGCATTTTCTGTAAGCACATTTAACATAAAATATGATCCACGTTATAATCTTTACATGCTATGTTGCAGATATGGGAACTTGAAAGAATGCAACATATCTTTAAGTTGAAATGGATACTTTAGCAGCCATGAAAAATTTATGTTTTGTTTTATAAAAACAAGCTACTAATTTCAAAATCAACTTTCTAAAAAGTCAAAGTATAATTTTAAATTAAATCACATGCTCTGAAGATAATTTTTGGTTAATTAGATACTTTTGGATCATAAATTTTAATGCATCAAGATTATAAAGTAGGCAAGAGTCTAATAGGGAAAAACTTAAGGGATTATTTGAAAAAGTTTTATGTATGCTGTGTTTACAATTATTAGAACAGTTGTCAAACTGTCTAGTGACTGCCTGTTAACTCAGTCTTCCCCATTAAGTGGAAAACCTCTTGGTAACAGTGAGTATTTTTATATACAATTATTCCTGAGGTGCTATTTGAGCAGTGTCTGTTCTGATTACTTGGTGCCCGTAGAACCAGTGGTTAAACAATTTGAATATAACTCCTAGATGTATCAATAGCATTTAGAAGAATGCCTGGCATTTAGAAGGAACATGCGACACAATGGGTAAATGAATGAATAAATAGCCCCTCAAATTAGGCCTGTCCCCTGCGTTAAGTATATGCTTATAGAATCTATAACCCTCTCACAAAAAAAATGAGTCTACTGTAGAAGGCATAGTTAATCTTTGTAAGGTAAAGGTAAATATGAATTATTCTATCCCTTTTGAGATTATCCCTGCCATAATCATCTTGATAGATAATCAAGAGCTAGAGGTACACCAAAGGAAACTGTTATGTCATATGAAATTATATGTATGTAATTATTTATTTTGTGTATATATATACATATTGTGTGTATATCTCTCTATATATAGATATAAAATTTTAGAAATCAGTAGTATATTTGATCATGGAATAGAAAAGATTCTTTGATGAACTAAGATGAATTTATATACCTGGATAAGTAAACTTGATATTTTATCCCTGCTTATTAAAATCATTTAAATTATTTGGCAATCCATCTGTAACATTCCTTAGCTACGCTAAATTCAAGAAGCACTAATTATCTTCACTTTGCAAGGTGAATATGTTTTAAGGTACACCAACATTTAAACTCTCTGTCTTTTCCTTTACTTCTAGCTGAATCTGATGGTACTTTTAGTGAAATAGGAGTTATAATATCTTACCTATAATAGTGTTCTTAGACGAGTTCTTATTTCTCACTAAATCTAATCCATATTGTTTATTTAGATTTTTGCCTGCCCTGAAATGTGATACTTTCATGGCAAATCTTTTCAACCTTTAACTTTCATTCTTCATTATATCCATTTTCTTTCAACAGACCTCCAGATAGTGCTATTACTTTGCTTTTATACTGTATTTTATTTTTTTCCTAATTGTGACTGCCACATAGCAGCTCTTGGGCTCTTCTCCTGCCAGTAGCTAGCAGTTTTCCATTTCTACCTACTTCCATTAGTAAAGGCTGATTCCTAATTTAGAGAATTAAGAATTCTGCAATCAGAGTGAACTTTATACTTTCACCTTAGAAGAAAGGGAAAAGGGGCCAGGGAACAGTTTTAATGATGTGAATATTCTAGCACAGTTTTGCACTCTGCTTCTTTACTCTCTTTAAAATGTCTCATCACATAAATAATTTATCACAGAACTTTTGGACATCAATTACTGAGACTCAGCACTTTTTCCAGGACAGCATTACAATATGCGGTATGACTGCAAAAGTTTGGCTTTGGCTATTGACTCAAAGTTATGTCCTTGAATAATCTGAACTGAATCTAAGATTTCATCACACTCCCATCCATTTCAGAGTGGACTTAATGATATAAGGAAACAGACTATGTGGTTTCCAACCTCTGTCACCTATTAGCTGTGGGATCCTGGGTAACTTGGTCAAGAGCTCTTAGCATTGGCTTTCTCACTGCTAAACTAAGCATATGTTCTTAGCACAGGTCCTACACAAGGTAAACACTCAGCAAAGTGAAACAGAATAAAATAAGTGTTGGCTACGTTAAGCTTCACCAGGTACTCCAAATTGTAAAATTATAATAATCTAAAAATGTATTTTCATGTGCCTTTTAGAAACAGGAACATTGCCATGAGCATTTTTAAGATGGTTTATACTCATGGTGATTCTGTGGCCCAGCAAGTTGGAACCAAGAGCTTCTTGTTACATTAAAAAATTTTGTGTTCAGTTCCTGTGCAAATCTATGCATGAGGACAGGGCTATTATACCACACAGTTTAGAGCACAAGAGATGTGGCTGAGTCTCTACTTACTCTTTCTTCTGCTTTCCTAATGAAGTAGGTTTTAGTACACACATGGATAAGTAATTATGCTTCTCTGTTGGAACTACCTAAGAATCATAGATCATTTCATAGATTTATTTTTATTTTATTCTTTTTTTAAATATTGAAATTATGTATTAAGGGCTTCTTATGTGCAAGATTGTGCACTGGAAGTAGAAAGATGATCAATTCCTTGACCTATAACCTTTTTTAGACAGAAGAGAACCACAGGTAATTAACGATAATTTAGAAAGGATAATGGAAGTATCAATAAAGTGAAGTGTTAAGGAAGTACAAAGCAAGAAGTACAGAGCACCTCTTTCTAGAAGCGCTGTGGAAGAACTGATGAATGCATCACTAAGGCAGTTGTAAAGGCAGAAACTATCTCTCAGGCTAAGGCAGAGCCTGCTCGTAGCATTGATTTGTGCTCCCACTAGACCTAGATAGCAGCTGGAAAGAGCTGGGAATCAGGCAGCAATAAAAATATTAATTATCTTCTGGGTGCCAGACCAACAAACAAGCAAGTTTGTTTCTTTCCCTAACAAGATGTACTCTAATTAGTGGCCATGATCATTACACCATGTTTGAGTCCCAGGAGGTGATTGACTATCACAAGTCCTGCTTTCACTACCAGGCCAATGGATACATACTCTCATTTTTATTGCTTGAGATTAAAGTGTTAAGCATTATTTAGTTTAGCAATTTCAAATTTGATAATTGTCTTGTTTATTGTCACTATTTAAAGGAAAACAAATACACTGTCAGTGCAGATTGTGAATGTTAATTAGTGGTGTTACTGTCAAAAGGAATTTGAATAGACAGAAGTATTGTAGAAACACCTTCAGATAAAATATGATTCATGGAATAAAATTATTATAACTTTATCAAAATAATAATCCACAGACATACAAGGATTCTTCTGGGCCAATGTTTTCCCCCTTTCCTTCACACACTTTGGTAATTTATGTTTATGGCTTAGTCTTATAGTTCAAAAAGATACTAACTTTTAAACACCAAGCCGTATAGCAGCATATTCAAATAAATAATTTAAATATCTATCTTAATACGGTGCTTTGTCACAATACCATTACAGTACTCTTTTTGCATTTGTATTAATGTATTATGTGTTCTAAAAAATGCATCTGTGAATATAGTACAACAGCTCATCTATCATTAGCTTACATTTAAATGTTTTGCCTTTGCCACTAGGTGGCACCTATATATTAATAGTTGTGGAGCATAAGTTCTACATAAGAAGGCAATATAGACAGTGAAGGAGAGAAAAGTAAGCCATTTTATTAAATTTGTTTTGTATTTAAATATTTGTTCAGGAAATAATGTAGAATTCACAAAATTTTTTTAAGACTAGGGGAAAACATTAAATACTCATTATTCTTTTTAAAAAAATGATGAACATTGATTTTGGAAAAATCCACTGGGGGTTGCCAGGGGAACATATACAGCCACTTAGTCTTGACCTCAGCTTGCCATCCTATATTATAATCTCCCAGTTCAAGGAAATTCTGCAATCAATAAAAATTAATAAAAAATAAGAACTGTAATTATATATGGCAGCATTAAAATTCTGCTTTTGGTGGTACTATTTAATGATAAATGTCATATGAAATGTGTAGTCTAATAGAAATTTTTGTGATAAATGGTAAATTAACACCAGTTAAGAGTCTTAAATTACTAGGCCTAAAACTGACATGCTAAAAATCTAAATATATTTAGGAGAGGATACACAAATAATGCATGATAACAGAACTATCAATCATTATAAAAATTTCAAATGCCCTCTGAAACCATCAGGAGATGCCAATATTAATAGCTTAAATAACAGCTAAAAATGCCAGTTAATGTCAAATCTAAATTTTTAAAGAGAAATGTGGATTTCTAGTCTTAGGTGTTAAAAGTTTACACAAAATAACCTTCCTGGGATAATAAAATATCACCAATAGAATTTGAAAGAAATCAAAAAGTAAGAGAACATGCAGTAATCATTAAAATTTTATTACAACTCTTGGTACTGTCTATGCTTCACTAAATATTGCATTGTATTTATTTATTGAAATCACAGTATTGAATTTAGGCAGCACAAGGTTAATAGCTAGATAGAAACACAGTGTCCAGCTCATGAGAAGAGTGCATGGATAGTATGTGATTAGTGTCTTAAGTTGAGAATAACCATTCTAAAAGCAACATCCAAAAAAGAAAAAGAAATAGATTTAGAATGAAACAAGCAGCCTAGAAAGAAGGTAAGTCAAAACCTATGTAACATGAACAATGGTGTAAATAAGTAGGGGAGCTTCTCCAAAAGATAGTCCAAATACAGCCAAGTCCTTTTTGTGTTTGAAATATAATACCTTTGTTTATTTTCCTATAGTGCAAAACTAGGACCAGTTGGTGGAATCTGTGGTCAAAAACAAAAGCCTTCCTTTTTTTTTTTTCAAGGTAAGCATCTTGCTCTGTCACCCAGGCTGGAGTGCAGTGGCTTCATCTCTGCTCACTGCAACCTCCACCATCTCCTGGGCTCAAGCCATCCTTCCACCTCAGCCTTCCGAGTAGCTGAGACCACAGCCATGGGTTACAATGCCTCAGATAACAAACATTACTTTTTTTGATAGGATGGGGTTTCTCCATGTTGCCCCTGCTGGTCTCAAACTCCTGGGCTCATACAATCCCAAAGTGCTGAGATTATAGGCATAAGCCATTGCACTGGGCAGGACAATTTTTTTTTTTAAATTAAAACTAGAACTTCTTATTGAGGGAAATACGACCATGTATTTTAAATTGTAAAAAACAGTTCTGCATGTGATCTTCATATAGAAAACATTAATATATTTTCTGTATAAAAAGAAGGGAGGAATAAAAGATTTGAGCTGATGACCTTTCAACATACAAAGTCTACAAGCTTTTTATTTAAAGCCATTGTTTGTATGTTAAATTTTACAATAATTGAGATAATTATAGATACTTTAGTAGTTGGAAATGAGTCAGAAATACATGCATGGTCTACATGTTGGAAATAATTTTGTTATACTAAGGTAGACCCACTAGGGTACTATAGCATGTGCAGTGGAGAAATGACCCTAGCAAGTTGTCAAAAGTCACTAGGGGCTCAAAGTTGTAGGGCATTAGGACCTAGTGTTCATAGTTACAGAGAACATTTTAGCTCTATTATGTAGTATCCTATAGCTGCCCATTATTCAAGGAGGGCAATTGTCAGTCACTCCCCTTGGGAATCCTTCTGAATATAGGATTTTTCTGTTAGAGAAACTCTGCTATGTACCTCTATTTATACAAGTATTTATATGTAAGCGGATTTCTAAAATGGTTGACATCTAAAAGTTAAATTCTGCACTTGTTATACCCATCTTGACTGGATTTATCTTGAAATGAAAGTATACTTGATTTAAGGCAATGCCAGAGAAGTATTTAAATGTAGTTTGTTCCAGGAATACATTTGTCTCCAACACTCCCTCCCTGCCTCTCCCCCTGCCCCTTGTAGTAGAACTACTAGATCATATTACCATGCAGCAATATATAGGTAGAGCAGTAAAAGATTCTCGCAGGGCCTGAAAGCTTAAGGGAATGAATAACTCCTCTCTTCTGAGGCCCAGTCCCAAGACGCAAGACCACTTGCGCCAGCAGCGTGCATCAGCAAGATAGCAAAAGCAGGACGAGAGCTGCCCGGAAGACATCTACCTGGCCAGAAGACACCTACCCTGGCCGGAAGACATGTACCCCTGAAGATAGAGAAAGAGGCCATCGTGTACTACGTAGCAGTCATGTCAGACTGGGACACTTCCTGTTTACAGAGGACTATAAAACCCCTGTCCTGTCCTCACTTGGGGCTGACGCCATCTTAGGCCTCAGCCCGCCTGCAGCCAGGCGTTCGTTAAAACAGCATGTTGCTCCACACCGCCTTGTATTGTTTGTTGGTCCCACTCTCTGGGCTCGAACCAATACAAGCACCTTTCAAGCAGTATATTCTTCAGTGTCTTGATCCTCCAAATAACTCTCTTCTAATTCCTCCTGACCACAAAAAGCACTTATACTCTAGGATGACTGATTCCAGCCCAGTGGCCTGGCAAGGGTGAATTACACCTTGCATATCACACTCTTGACATTTGTGTGCGCTAGCATAAGAATTATAATTGAAACAGGGATTTAAGTATCTCCTCTCTAGGTGCCTACCCTCCTTGGACTCAGGTCAAATTTATTAAAGGAAGTTTTGTTTCTAGATAGGTTGTTTGAAATAAAATAACAGAATGTTCAAGTAACACAGTGTACCTACAGCTTTTAACAAAATTGAGGACTTGGGTCTCGAAACAATTTCCTTTGATTTTCAGGTATTTTATCTATAAAAAGGGAGATAAAGCATTAGTTCATAGGACAGTTATATGTTTAAATGTGATAATGTATATTAACCACCTTGCATGTATTCAAATGTGTTTTGAAATCTAACGTCTACATTTTGATAGTTTAACTGTTCTACATAAGTGACTTACAACAGGCATTAAATATTGTTTGGCATTTTCATATATCTGTAACTGTATCTTAATCTACAATGAGCTTAATTTTAAGTGTAGCATAAAACAGAACCTTCAATAAAGTGGTAATATTAGGAATGATATCCAGTTATCTTATACACTTATAAAGTTACCTATAAATTCTTACGAATATTTTTCTAAAGTAAAATTTTGATTTTACTTTAATTATAGATGAGAAGCAACAAAGCAACATTTATAACAATTTATCCCACTCAGGCATTTGTTCCCACCAAATGTGTATATTGATATACGTACACATAAAATATTCCTGTGTTAGATTGTCGTCACATCACTTATATAAACTATTAACCCACTACAAACAAATTTGTTTTTCAAGTATTACAGTTGCATTGATTTTGATTTTGAAAATATGCATTCAACTATCCATTGCTTCTATGGAAAAGGACGGGTAATTCTTAGCACCAACCATTAGAGCATTAATGTCAACCGTAAAAGGAAACATCATTGACCTGGGGCAAGGGCAGGGGCAGAGGGGAGATAAAGGACAGAGAATATTATCTTGGGAAAGAGTTCAACTCTAGAGATTTAACTGGTTCTCATATAGTCTGCATAATGGTATCTGCAGCTCAAAGGTAATGTATCTGATTAGAGTTACACTAGGGGAAATAGGGCAGAGTTAATTAATCATTTTGTTATTTTGGGAGATTTTACACTTATAGTTGCTCGCATCACTAACAAGTAACTTTTAGACACCACATAACATGTCTATGACCTCATTTGTGTATTTACTGAATACTTATTGTAACTAGGAAGTATTGAATGCCACTGTTCTGAGTGCTTGGTAACTATTATCTCACTTAGTCTTTACAATCTCATTTCATCCATGAGGTAGGTACTATAGATGAGGAAAATGAGATGTCAAAATTTCAGTAACAACCCTGAGGTCACACAAGCAATAAATGATAGTTTTGAATGCATAAACCATAGTCTTAATCATTAAATTCCCATGAGGCTTCTGCAATGGATCTAACACCTGGGTGTCAGTGCTGCTGGTTCATAGACCACACTTTAAAAATCATGGCAGTAGACAATGTGAAGTGTCCATTTACACACTATTTTACCAGAAGCCAAAACTACATTTCAAGGACAAGCTTGTTCATACTTAGTTCTGTGGTATTAATAACAACTGAAATATCTGATATGTCAGCCCAATAGAATTGCTATAAGATTTTCTGGGTCTTGCTAATAAATTTAGACTGAACTAATGTTCAGAAATTATGTGAGATAACTTTATAAAATGTAGTTTAACATATAATGGTCAACAGTGTTTTGCAGTTATAATACAATTCTTCTTAAATATTGAGTATTTTGTCTTCACAATATACCTAAGTGATAAAGTATAATCACTAACACTGAGGAAAGAGAAACCCAAGGCAAGTGGCCACCATCACAGGTCACTTAGGCAGCAGGACAACACACATCCAGGCCTTCCCATGCCACATCCAAATCTTCTCTTCCATTAGCCGACCTTGACATTGGACTGTATTCCACTAATTAACTAAAACTAAATAAAGAAAAATGCTACTTAGCTACTGAAACAGCTAAGATAGCCACATTCTGATTTTGATTTTAATATATAGATAATCAAGGCCAAGGTGATATGACAACATTGAGTAATTTTCGGTTGTCTTACATTAACATAAACCTTATTGAATACAAAACATGGCTGCATGTATCATTTTATTACGCTGCTAAAAAAACCTGTAATTTAAGGACTTTTTTTAGTCTTATCGACTCCCTTAACCCAAGGTCACCTATAGGAGATGTATCATTTATTTCCCAGATCTGTAGGTTTGTGTTAACTGGAGGAGATTAGTCATTTCACCTCTACATTTATTTTAATAGAACTAAATATGTTACAAATACTGTCTTCCTCATATACGGATGTTCTACAATTTTATAAAATCATACTCAGAGTTCAGAGTTGATCTCTAGATGTCAAGTGTATTTACCATCTTTAGAGGGCTAATATTTTCACATCAAATAAAATTCCTCGAGGTTACTGTGGAGACAAAGTAATGAAGACAAATCAAGAAATGCTGTCAGTCTCTAGAGGATGAAAATGCCAGAATCTCCACATGAGAAAAAAAACCTCAGAATAGACAGCAACAACGCTTATCAAGTCCAGGCCCTATAATCATGTTTTATGATTTATAACGTTATTTTTCTGACAACTGGCAGAATAGCTCCATTCTTGAAAGAAATGCCTAACTGGCACCTCATCCTCACTGTGCTCACCCAATAAAGTTTGAAATAATTTTAATAATAATGAATTTATTTTGGAAAATTGTATTTTCTCTTCATGTGTACACATACCTCTAAAACTAAAACTGTGCAAGAGGCTCTCCATGGGAGTTGAGAACTATGGTGCTCCAATCATGCTGAGCAAGAAACCCTAAGATCCCCCTCATTACATGATAGTGGTTGGTTAGAATGGTGGGTGTCCCGGGATGACCAATCCCTTCAACCCCTAACATGGGTTAATTATTTCATATTAGCCATCAGGATTAGTAAAGCAAGCATCACAGTATCTGGCTAGTTAAAAAAAAAAAAAAGAAGAAGGTCAGGTAGAGAATCATCAATGACTAATAGTTTTCTCCTCTCATTAATTTTTGCTGGTGTCTATTCTAGAAGATATGGATGGCATAAAAGTCAATAGAATAGATAATATGGATTCTGCATACTTCTCTCACTTGTCATTGGCCGTTGCTTCCAGACATGCTGGTCTTTCTATCCTCAGTTCCTCAAAGGCATCAAGCTCCTCTCAGCTCTTGGCCTTTAGACTTAGGGGTCCCTCTGCCCACGATAAACATCCTCAGCCTTACTCCTGGGTTCTCTAGTGATCTATGTTTTTATAGTGGTACATTTCCTTCAGACCACTTGCAATGAGCAATCCATCTAACTCATTTAATGTCTGACTTTTCTACTAAACAATAACAATGTCAGAATGGGGTTTTGCTTATTCACCATTGTATTCTTATCACTGTTCACAGTGCTTGGCCCCCAGTAGTTCAATATTTGCTGAATAATGGTTCATGCACAAGAATGTAGACTCCTGAGGCATTGCACATGTTTACATCCCTTAAAATAACTAGTGAATAACATCTTTGCATATGAAGGCAATTAATATGTGGTGAATTCTTAAATTTAAAATATTTTGCAGGAAGAAATAGAGAAATGTCCAGATGGGATTGTAAATAAATTCAATCCTAAATGAAAAAAGGCTTCTCCAGTGAGAACATACTTAACTTTGACCTTTTGATTAAGTGTCATCAGTAAAGTATTTATGGGCTATGACTTGCATGGATTTATTACCTAGCTTCAGGAGCTGGATTCTTGATTTCCCTCTACTTATATATATTAGAACAGTAAAACACATAGGGATGGCTACTTTTAATTTTATAGGTCATTCAGAAATTGCATCTTGTAGAAAGTAATGATATCTTAGAGTTTTGGTTATTCACCACTGCAATTTGGAATGTTTGGTGTAATTTTAAAATTCCTAAGTTTTTTCCCCCTTTCTTCTATTCATCCTTTTGGCCACTGAAGCATTGCTGCATGGATTTGTGATATTTCAATAATGAGAAATGAGAGGCAAGGTACTTTAATACTTTTTATTATTTAATAGCTCAAGCTTATCACCTTGAAAATTGTAATATATCAGTAACAACCAACATTCAGGTAAGACATCACCACACATTCTTCTCTTCAACAAATAAATGCTAACTTGTGGTTCAAAGTCAAAAGATTTAATTTCTGAGAAGGCATGTTTAAATTCATCATCTAGGGATATTCTGGAAATATGCTATGGATGGAACTTTTATCAACTGTCCAGGAAGAAATGTATTATTACTTCCTAAAAATGTTTGAACAAAAGCTATTACTTTGAATGATGTATTCTCCATAGGTAATTGCTGTTTAGACATCAGAAACTAGCTCACACAGACTCACACTTACACATCTTTGTTTTACTCTTCTTTATAACAAAGACAAATTCAAAAACAAAATAAGATATTCCACCCCCAAAAGGTAGATAATCTTTTTATCTAAAAAAAAAAATCCATTCTGGAAAACTATTTTTATGGCTCCTCAGAACTTAGGATAAAGACTATATCCAATAACGAGGCTTCAAAACCTAAGCCATGTTCCACTGTTTGCAGTTACCTTGGACTTTAACTAGATGTGCAAGTTGACTTCTGACCATGGGGAATCCTCTCCATGACTGGATTATGGATTGTTGAGGCCATGGCAGATAACCAGTTCCACAGAAGCAACTTCATGTTCTTCTGAGGAAGATCCATAGCACTGTGGAACAAGGAATATCAATAAGCGATGACACAAGAGCCTGCAAATGAGGTTAACAAAATATAACCCTCAAAAATGAACTCTGATGGTGGAAAAATCTATGAGGAAAAATATTGTTGAAAAAATACAGGGATTGAAAATGGCTTCAGTTATGTTAAGAGCACTGGTGAACATTTAGTAGCGTTAGAATGTGCTTCTTACGCATGTAATAAACTATCTCTTGATTCCAAGCTCATTAAGTGGCCAAGTTGTATAAATTTGTTTCAAAAACAAACGCTTTTTCAGCATTGCCAGATTTAAAAAAACAACAGCAACTCTGTTTTCTAGAGGGGAAAACACCAAATGAAAATATTCAAATGGTAGTAATAAAATACTTGGCCTTTAATCAGTTCCAGTAAAATTATATTTGAAAGCTTCCCCACCACCCACCCATAGTCATACACATACGCATCAAATTTTAAACATTTTATAATGGCCAAAGAAGGTGTTTACATAGATCTGTTTATTAATGGAACTCACTTTTTAATCAGTTTTTAATAAATTGCTAATCCAGTTTAGCCTCAAATCAGTTCCATCCCTTTTCTCAATCCCTTTTCTGATGTCTAACAGTTAAAGTCCTGTGCCATGAACAGGGATTCCTGTGGCACTTTGGGAATTATCTGCTCTGGGTTTAAAAAAGTGCAGCTTATAAAGTTCTCTCTCTTTTCTTCAGCCTCTACGAAGATTGATAAAGGCATTTCCAGAGGCAAGTGAAATTCTTCCCCTCTCTGCTCGTTCTCCTCCAGGACCTCCTCTTCCTCTTCCAGCTCCTCCTCTTCCAGCTCCTCCTCTCCCTCCTCCACATATTCAGCCTCTTCGACCTCTTCTTCCTCCTCATCTTCGACCTCTTCCTCCTCATCTTCGACCTCTTCTTCCTCCTCGCTCGCCTCCTTTGCATCACACACCTCCTGGTCATACTCCTCCTCATCATCATTTTTCTTCTCCTCCTCTTCTTCCACCAGCAGCGGGGCAAGAGACTGGTTTTCCTCTGGGTTGGGACTGAATGCTAGAGAGGGATTCTGCACAAAGCCATACAGAGTTTCCTGCAGTCCCCAGGTTTCCTTGCTGCCGCCAGGGGGCGCGTCGTTTCCGGAGGATCTGGCTGGGGAGGCCTCGCCGCTCACCGTGGCCTTCTGCGCCCGCAGCGCCTCCTGCTGACGCTCCACCTTCTCCTGCTGCCTCATGTCCTCGTAGATCTGGTTCATGATGAATTGGGTGGTGTTGGGCGGCGCTCGCATGCCAGGCTCTCTCCACTCATACAGCTTGACCGGCCGCGGCAGCGTGCTCACATCCGCTGGCGGGCTCCGCGGGTAGGAGTGGCGAGGGTGGTGGCGCAGGCCGCGGCCTCTGCGGCCCCAGCGCTTCTTCCTGCCTGGGGGCTTCACCCAGCCAGGGTTCCAGGACCCGCTCCAGCAGGAGCAGCAGCAAAAGCAGAGAGGGTGCAGGCCATACACCCGAAACACTTGCACCGGGCAGGGGAATTTCCAGAATCCTGGAGGGGGTGGGCGCCAGGGCCCTCCCCAGCACCCCCAGTTAGAGCACACGGGTGGTTGGAACCAAAAGCCCGGGCCGTGCTGTTGCTTCGGCTGCTTCCTTGGGGGCCCATACTCGGTCTTGGGGCTATATCGGTGCGGTCTATTGTACGCTGGAGCACCCGGGCGCCTTCGATGGCAGGACGACCAGGAGCTCAAGGAGGCCGAGTGTGCCCAGCCACAGCCACAGCCGCCGCCGCCACCGCCGCCCAGGTTCAGAGGGTCTTCCCTTGTGTCGAGGGTCTGAGTCATGGTTCAGGGAGCTCCGAGAGGTCCAGATGGTAGCGACCTGAAGCTGTCGTCAAGTTTTGCCAGGTAGGACGGTCAGAAGAGCCTCGTCTCGTCAACCTGTCTCTCCACGCAGCGCCACGTGTCTACCCCTGGGATCACGTTTTCCTCTCCAGGAGGCTGCTCTCTTCCTGGTTTGCACGCTCTTCGGTAGTAATCGCTTGTCCTTCGCACCTGGGTTGTCTCGCCCAGGTGTGCTGGGTGGGACTGGGGCTGGGTAAGGATGGTGGGGGAGGAAGGTGTTGGCAGGCGACACGCAGTGAGACCCACTCCCGGGTCCCCACCACACCCGGCTCTGCTGAGGCACGGGCTGGGGCCGGGGGAGGCAGGGGTTGCGCAGTTACCTGCTGCTCCCTCTCAACCCAGGTGCTTCACTGTCGCCGTCCTGGCAGGACTGTGGTGGCGAGGGCAGCGGCAGCCTTTAAATACTGGCTGTGGTCTCCCGCGTGCCCACTGCGTTCTTGGTCACCCAGGGCAACAGCCAATTGGGGTCGAAATCGTCCTCCCTGTGTGCAAGGCCGGGTTCTGTCCGGAACCAGGCTCCAGGTGAACATTCGCAGGGGGCTTGTGACGCAGCGTTTGGGGGAGGTGAAGAGGGGTCCAGGCTGGGTTTCTGCTGCTCAATTCAAGCAAGTCTGGAGGCAGTTTATCCGAAAGCTTTGTATCACCTTGAGGCGGGGGTTTAGAAGATGGGCCTTCATCTGAACCCGGTGGGGGCGGGAGAACTTGAGTTTTGAAAACCCCACATTCTACACCTTTGGAGGGCCTAAGGGATCATGGAAAATTACTGGAGAAAGGAAACTTTGCCCAACCTCTTACCTTCTGGCCGGTGCCAACTCTTCTTACTCCTGAGAATTGGGATTCATAATACATAAAACAAGACCACGAACATTTATTATTGCATGTGCTCACTGACAAATAATCCTGTCATCTACCCTGAGAGGTAGGCGTATCTTATCACCTGTCACAGATGAGGGAACTGAGAGCTTAATTTCCCCATGGTTGTGGGGCTAATAAATTTCCAGGCTACGATTTAAGCCTAAACCTGTTTGACCCAAAAGTTAGGTTCCTAATGACATTGCTATGTGTTCTACCAAACCCCCAGTAGGACCCTTGTGATAACTAAATGACATAACATTTGGGAAGGTACTTTGCTATTGGTAATATACCGTACATGTGTACCTCAATTAAACAAATATTATTATTACCATAATGAATACCACAGGTTTGTCCTTGGGAAGAGGAATATTCTGATTGTCTTTCCTTTTGTCCCTTCACTGACCATACAGCATATACACGGGAAGCCTTTAAAGCATTGTGGTTAAGCATATGGGTTTTAATTTAAATAAATGGGATTCAACTTCAACTCACCAATTATTAATCTCTGTAAGCCTCAGTTTCCTTACCCATACCATGATTATACTACCTTTTCCATACGGTTGTGTAAAGAATTAAATGCATATAACAGGTCCTCTAATATTAATGTTTTGCTCAATGTCATTTCCTTATAACGTTGCTGAGGCAAAACAACAACAATAACAAAACCACGTTTCATTATATGTCTTCTCATTTAAAAGTAGCAGTTTCCAAGAACCTATGATGCTAAGTGAGGACTTACTGTAATTCCTTCAAGTACTTAGTGCAGGTACCCTGTAAGTACTCAGTAACTGTTAACTATCATCCTTATTTGTAAATACTTCATGACTTCTAAAAGAGATGATATAGTATATGTAAAGGCACTTGTTCTTGATGCAAAAATAGGCATCCCCACCCTGGCTTGTGTCCTTTTCTTGTCCTTCTTTGTAAAACGTCAAGGAAAGTGCTACCATACTTGGTCCTAGAGAAAACCGTCTCAGTTTATATCCCTTTCTTACTTTTCTGTGCTGAGTGGAATTGCACAAAATGGAAAACTGCCTGCTGGGAACTTCAGTCTATATAAGGCTCCATTAAATGCCAGAAAAGCAAAATGTGTGAAAGCCCTGAAGCTGGCAAAGGTCATTTATGCATTCCTGGCTGAAAATTGAGAACATTATAGGGGGTCTTGGATCAGGACTCCAACATTTGCCCTGAGACCTGTAGAATCCACAGGCTTCATTTAATTTCATTTGCTCTGTGGTTTGCTGAGGACACCCCTGCTTGACTCAAAGTACAGAATGCTGACATGTTTAGCCTGCAGTATCCCTTTCTAGATATGGACTCACCTTTGGCAGTTATTCTGACCCTGCTCTGTGTACTCAAAATGGAATGGTGAGAGCCCAGTTTTATTTTTTTCTAAGGACGTGTGTTATGCAAAAATGGGTTTTAATTGAGAGCATTACAGATGGACCATGTTGCTGTGTTGAAATTCCAATCAGTTTCTTTTTGTTTTAAAAGAGATGGTTAACTCATTTTACAGGTAATTAAGGACATCATTTTTTGATCAGTTGATGTGACCTTTATACAGTTAATCTTGGCATTATATACTTTTTGCATGGTGAGAATATTTATTCTCCCTACTGAACAACATTGACACGTTATTGGCTTGCCCGAATTTTCTTAAGAGAAGCAGCAATTTATTATTTTGATTATGATTTTAATTTTACAGAGATTGGAATTATAATACAAGTTTTGAATGTACTGGTAAATCATCCAAGAAAATTTACCACTAAAGCATGTTAAACAAAAAGTCAGACATTTAATTAATTTTTAAAGACACTTTTATAGTTCTTTTTTTAGTGACAAATTATTGTATATATATATGGCACCATGTGATATTTCCATACATATATACTTTATGAAATGATCAAATTAGGCTAATTAGTATATTCAAGTATTTGTCGTTTAATTGTGGTGAGAATTTAAAATCCTCTCTTATAGCTATTTTGAAATACACAATACATTGGTGTTCATTGTAGTCACCTTGATGTGCATTAGAACACCAAAACTTACTCCTTCTCCCTACCTGTAACTTTGTACCTGTTGACCAATGTAAGGACACATTTTTAATTGACCCATATTCTTTCAATACCATGAAATGAAATATTCTGATTCAATATTGAAATATAACACATTCATCCTGTTGTTGAATATTGTATTAGCTTTCTGTTGCTGCATAACAAATGATCACAACCTTGGTTACTTAAAACAATATACATTTATTATCTCAAGGTTTTCAGGAATCAGGGGTCCAGGAATATCTTAGTGGGCCCTTTGTCCATGGGTGCAACAGGCTGTGATATGGTTTGGCTGTGTCCCTACCCAAATCTCATCTTGAATTGTAGCTCCCATAATTCCCACATGTTGTGGGAAGGAGCCAGTGGGAGATAATTGAATCATGGGGGTGGTTTCCCCATACTGTTCTCGTGGTAGTGAATAAGTCTCACGAGATCTGATGGTTTTCTAAGGGGAAACACCTTTCTCTTGCTTCACATTCTGTCTTGCCTGCCACCACGTAAGACGTGATTTTGCTCCTCCTTTACCTTCTGCCATGAGTGTGAGGCCTCCCCAGCCAAGTAGAACTGTGAGTCCATTAAACCTCTTTTTCTTTATAAATTGTGCCGTTTCGGGTATGTCTTCATTAGCAGCATGAGAACAGACTGCTACAGGCTGTAATTAAGATTTTGAATGGTTTGAGTTCTCACTGATGTGCTCAATTCAGAAAAATTCACTCCTAAGATCATTTATGGCATTGGCAGAATTTATTCCCCATGGCTGTAAGACTGATGGCCCTGCCTTTTAGCTCTCTGTTGGCTGGAGCCCAGCTTTAGGACTTGAGGCCACCCACTAGTCCTAGGGGCTAAGGGCGGTTCTTAGACACTGCCCAAAGCAAGAACTGTGGGCTTCCTCAACGGGGCTGCTCACATCATCTAACTGGCAAAGAAAATCTCCATAGTTTCTCCTAGCAAGATGGAAAGTTACAGATGTAAATACAGACATATACACGTGTGTGTGTGTGTGAAAGTGTGTGGCTGTTTATGATAATCCTGGCCTTGACATTCTTGCCTTAACATAATCCTGGGTTTTCCATCACCTTTGCCATAGTCTGTGGGTTAGAAGCAAGGCCCAGGTCCCCGTGGACACGCCGTGTGGAGGGGTTGGGGGAGTGGGTATTACACAAAGGTGTGAACACCAGGAGACCAGGAGGCAGACAATCTTACCATCAGTTTCCCACATATGTAAAGTAAATTGAGTCAAATATGTTGTTCATACTCACTTGTTGCTACTTTATTTGGAAGATTTTAATGACACTGTTGGCCTTTTTCAAATTGTAATAAGTGCCGTATGATGGCGTAGGCTCTGCTATGTTTTATGTTGTGCAGAGCATTATGTTTTTAAGTTGAAAACATACTGCAATTTTGGTGTTGGTTTTTGTGCATTTTTGTGACTTGAAGAATTCTAACACTTGATGGCAGTAGTAGCTCATTCAAAATACAGTCAGCAACAATTCCTATACAAAACAAACTGACAAGTAAACAACTCATTTTTGTGTTTTATCATGAATTCCATTTTTAAACAATTCCAGGTTGCAGTATTAATTACCTTTTATTCTTGTCGTAGAATTGGGTGTTTTTATTATACTTCAGCATTTTTCAATTGGCTTTGAAAAAGCAAACCTCTGCCAATTAAACTTGTAAATAAAATTCTTCAGAGAAAAGTTAGATATGCCCGATCCAGTCAGATAAATGAAATTCAACAAATATTTTTTAGATCCATCTATGTCACTAATACAGTGCTATGTGATACAAAAATAAATAGAATGCATGCTTGCCTATAAGTAGTTTTAAAGTATAATGTATTCTGGGGCAGTAGGATGCAGTGCTCATTTTTTCTTGGCAAATAACCTGTAATATTTAAAGAAAAATAAACATATATGGCAATTGAATAGTAAAAAATAGCAATTTGATGCTTAAAAATACATGTTCTGTCAGGCTTGCCTTTTCCTACTGCAGACATCCACGCAGCAGGATTTTAAAACCAAAGGGTCAACGCCATCTTGTGGTCACAAAGGCTAAGTACAAAGTATTAAGCCTTTCTAGCTTTTCAAAGCTGAGATAGAGATTCAAAGGGCATATTGCTTTCTCTTAATAATTTGGGAAGTTTTGGGGTTAGTTTGCAGATTTTTGAGGTGTGTTGTGCATCAGGGAACACCATTGTGGTTTTTTCCATTTATGAATCCTCGAGTCATTTTAAGCAAATTTTGAAGAGGGAGTTAACTTTGTGATGACAATGTTTCTATAGATTCAGAGAAATAAGAAATGCCAGTTTTACAAATCGTAGTACTATGTGTAGATATTATTTGCTACCACCTCTTGAAATTATTATTGATCCTATAACAATTCAAGATTTTCAGAGGATTAGCACAACATATTGTAGTTATCACATCTGAAAAACCTGGGCACTCAGAAATACTTAGATAGGAATTGTTAGCCTGGTCATGTTTGCTTATAAGTAGTTTTAAAGTATAAAGTATTATGGGGCAGTAGGATGCAGTATTCATTTTTTTCTTGGCAAATAACCTGTAATATTTAGAGAAAAATAAACATATATAACAACTGAATAGGAAAAAAAACAATTTGATGCTTAAAAATATACGTTGTGTTTTAATCAGAAGTCAGTTTTAAATTTAGAGTTTTCAGATAAGAATATGAGGTATTTGAAATGGCCACTTAAATATGATACATTTAGCAGGATCACTAAAATATTATCATCACAATTTAAGAGTTATAGTGAACACTTTGTCCTTCTAGAGTTCATGTCAAACTACATCTGCAAAGCCACCTTGTCAGTAGGCAGTCATAATGCCTGTGAGAATGTCGGTTAGCACCATAACATTTGTATAATATTGCCCTTTTTATCCCAGTATTTTATTTATTTCATTTTATTTCTTGCTAAAATCTCTTCTTCCCCCATATTCTGTAATAATTGTATGCTGAGTAGGCTGTGAGGACAGAAAGTTATTCTATGACATTTGTGGGGGGAGATCTGTTATCATCAATAATGTTCTTGTAGGCAGGACCTCATTAAGACTTCCATGGACCCCTTTCTTCATAAAAAATTAATTAAACTCTATTTTATGGCTTGTTGCTACAGAAAAGAATGTAATCCAGGTTTGACTGATTATTGCACATATATTATTATTACCACATTCTCTTTATTTTAAAAGAAACTAAATATTTTCATATGTTCTGAAGGCTCTTGCAAGCTGTGGGCACTGTGCCGACTGTACCTAATGAATAAGTCAGTACTGTCTGCTGGGAGTCTCCACTTACCCTGATGGCACTAAGTATCTCAGTCCATCTTTTTGCTGATTTTCCAGAGGCCAGGTATCTGGAGGACTACTCTGGCCTCGGTAAATGGTCCCTCCACGGTGCTTGAAATAAGGCACTAGACCAGTGGGAAGTCACTGTTGCATACGAAAAGCCGGTGCTGATCTTTGCATCTTTGTCCAGCCTGTACACCATTTTCTTTATTTTATAAAACTGGAAAAAGTCATATCTGTGGTACTTTAGGTGCAACAATGGAGTCAAATGGCACAGGATTTAGGAGTCGGCTGTGGATCCAGGCCAAGTTATTTAAGCTCTCTTCTCTGATTTGTGACTTGGAATAGTGATTATCTCCAGCTCCTAGGATATTGTGAATTAATACATGCTGAAAACCTTAGTAGATGCCTGGCACATAGTTTGTATCCAATAGCTGGTTGCTATTATAACAATGTGTGTATACATGAATTAACTTTAAAACAACATTTAGTATGCTTCAAAGTTAAACGCCAGGCCTAAAAATGATTTTCTGACACTATCCTCTAAAGTATACTGTTATATGGCTCCTTCTATTTTATAGCAGTGATGTTGTATAGCTCTTATTTCTATTTTAGTAAGAGTTGTGCAAAGTTGTCCTGTGATTGTATGGACACTCTGGGAGCTACAAGTTTGTCCACTGACAGTGTTAATCATTTAACCTCATTAAAATGCGTACACAATAAGATATAGCAAATGATTTTTCTTTCGCCCTTATTACTTTCATTTATATTTCCCACAAAGGCAAGCAAAAGTAACATTAGAAGATAGTTTTGGCTAAAAATATGTCTACATGTTTAAAATAACTAAATTTTTCAAAGAATCATTGCAATTCTTTTTCTTAAACTATAACAAGAGAATCAAAACCAAATCATCCACTTGTCTACCTCATTGGCACAGCAGAAATTGAAAAGTCAGTGACATTGTATATTTCTTTGTCCACATAGAGACATCATCAAAGGATGACTATTCCATCCCAGAGAAACAATAATAAAAGGCTTTCATTAAATGTTACTGTTTCCTTATTATTCCCACTACTATCATCACTATTTTTTTATGTGTTTCTAGGAGGATTTAAGAGTAGAGAAAGAAGGTCATTATCTATGGTGCATCACCACTTGCTTATACTACTAGGATTTGGAGATTGTGTTAGGTAGAATTTTAAAGATAGGTCTCTGAGATTCCTGCCTTCTGGTTATTCAAACATTCTTCTAGGTACTGTTAAAATACAATTACAGGTCACGGCGCAGTGGCTCATGCCTTTAATCCCAACACTTTGGGAGGCCAAGGCATGCAGATCACGACTTCAGGAGATTGAGACCATCCTGGCCAACGTAGTGAAACCCCGTCTCTACTAAAAATACAAAAAAATAGCTGGGTGTGGTGGCACGCACTTGTAGTCCCAGTTACTTGAGAGGCCGAGGCAGGAGAATCGCCTGAACCCGGGAGGCATAAGTTGCAGTGAGCCGAAATCACGCCACTGCACTCCAGCCTGGCCACAGAGCGAGAGTCCGTCTCAAAAAAAAAAAAAAAAAAAAAAAAGCAGATTAAAGCACCAAACCAGTTGGCCTTTTTTAAGATCATATGGAGGTTACCTGGATTAAAATTAGACAGATGGTTGCAAAGCTCTGTTAATATACTACAAAACAATTAATTGTCTCTTTTTTAATATGTTAATTCAGAAATAGGCTATGAAGTGATGAAAAGATTTGATACTAAACCATCTTAGTAAAGTTCTAGAGAATTATGTACTTTCCCACACTGTTGGTGAAAGTTTAAGTGGTTACACTGTCTTTGAAGGGCAATTTAGTAATGTTTATTAAAATTCAAAATAATAATCTTTGACCCAGAATTCTACTTGCATGATTTTATCAATACATGTACTCTCACATGTATACAAACTTATTCATGTTCAAGCAAGGGTATTCTTTGCAGTTTGGTGTAAATGAAAAAAATGTACATCCATGTGATGGACTGATATGTGGTTTTCAGAATCAGTACAGCTATATGTGCTGATATGGAATGATCATCCAGCAATAATTTTAAATTAAACAAGCAAAGTTCAGAATAGTGTTTATCTTCTGTACTTAAAAATGCATATTTTATGTATAAATACACACATTCTGGTGAAATGCACATGTAGCATGTACACATATGTATTTGTGTAAAAAAGAAAAAGTTACTTATATGCAAGTTTTTGTTTCTTGTGGAAATCTTTATAAAATTATGCAAGAAAACATTATTTCTGAGGAGTAGACCTGGAGGTGTTGCAGCTGGAAGGAAACTTACCTTTCATTGAATACTCTTTTATTGTCTTTCAGTTTTGAACCATGTATGTGCCTGTATTATGATTATACATTTTAGAAAGACGAACTCTCCTTAGAAAGTATTACTTCTTCCCTAATATGATTATCATATCATCTTCTTTCCATTTTCTATATTTTATTTTTCTTACAGGCACACAGAAATACACTACATAACTAATCAGTTTATCGAAGATCTAAAATGAGTTGTCAGCTCTTTAAAATAATAAAAAGTTATAATTCAAAAACTGCAGGTTATGTGTATTATTGTTGGATATGATTATTTGCATGGTGTCATTATAATGACTATTTCACAAGGCCATTATAATTTTCAAATACATTTATTCTTTTTTTCATGCTCTTTAATGGATTAGGGGAATAAACATGCTTTAGTGAAAAAAAAAGGAAGAGAAAAGTTTAATTAAAAACATCTAAATCTTGGCAAAAATACCTAAAGTGTTCATTTCAAAATTTTACTTTATTATGTACTTAATTTGAAATGATATAGGATATGAACTCCTAAAACTTGCAAGTGATACATGATCTATAAGAACATGTGTGAAATATTTTCTATCACTTAGTTTTGCTCTTTTTGTAAATGTTATAGGTTTATTCCTAACTCATCTGGTGTTTTCTTAAATTACTACATTTTCATTATAACATTTTTAATTGTATTTTATGTAGTCATATCATCTCTCAGAACACAATCTCAAAGTATCATGCTGAGTTTTGTTTTGGAAGAGAGCAGTAAGAATGGTTTATTTATAGTAGCCATCGTAATGCTAACCATTATCTGAAATTAGACAAGGCTCCCAACAGGCAGACGAGGTAGACACATGTATGCTTGAGGAGTTTTGCTGAGATTAATAGGGTTTCCATCCAATCGAATGTCCTCTAGTGCCTTACGAATATAAGTCAAATTTTTAACATTGCAGAACGTATCTTCGTGCATTTCCAGAATGTTGTTATTCTAAAAAAGATGAAAATAAATTATGACAAGATATAACACATTCTTAGTATTGATTGATAGCGCAGTCCACTGTGCTTCACCCTTGTTTTTATTCTTTTGTTATTTTCCTCAATCAAAATTACTTAATGTATATGCCAAGCACTTTCTAAGCAATGGGGGTAAATTAGGAAATAGACATGCTCCTGTTTTTAAGGAGCTTATACTTCAGTAAGAGAAATACAATTTGAGGTGAGAAAACTACTGAAAGAAAAACAAGTTATTTCCAAAAATGATGAGTATTGTGAAGAAAATAGGATGACTATGAAAAGTTATCTTTAGAGGTAACAATTGAACTGAGAATGGATTGACAAGAAGAAAAAGGCATGGAAAAAAAACAAGGGAAGAACATTCTAGGCACAGAGAACATCAGGTTTAGAGTCCTGAGGAATCAACATGGAATGCTCCTCCCTCAACATTCGACATTCAAGTCAATGTGGCTGAAGTGAGGGGAAGGAAGGAGGGAGCAAATATCCGGAAGATAAGCAGGGCCCAGGACTGGATTTTTAAACCTAGGTTTATTTACTGTATCTCACATACCATAAAATTCACCCACTTAAATGGTACAGTTCAGTGTTTTATAGTGTATTAACAGAGCTTTGCAACCATCTGTCTAATTTTAAAGCATTTTCAACACCCCCAAAAGAAAACCACACATTCCCCTCCTCCCACCCCAGCAACTGCTAATCTATTTTCTTTTTATATAGATTTTCCTATCTGGACATTTCACGTAAGTAGAATTATATATAAATTTTTTGGTACTGAGTTCTTTCGCTTAGTATTGTGTTTTCAAAGTTCATACATGTTGTAGGATGTATTGGTACTTCATTCTTTTTTGTTGTCCAATACTATTTCACTGTATTGATATACCACATTTTTGTTTATTCATCAATTAATGGAAATTTGAATTATTTCCAAATCCAAATTATGCCTCTTATGAATATACTTCTGTTAACATTTGTGTAAAAGTTTTGTATGTACATACGCTTTCAGTTCTTTTGGGTATATACTTAGATGTTGAATTGCTGAGTCATATAGTAACTTCATGTTTTATTTTGAGGAACTGTCAGACCGTTTTCCAAAGTAGGTGCACCATTTTACACTTCTACCAACAATGTATGAGGGTTACAATTTTGTCTGCATCTTAACCAATGCTTCTAATTGTCTCTTTTATTTTAGCCAAATAAGTGAGTATGAGTTGGTATCTCACTGTGTTTTTGTTCATTGTTAGTGTATTGAAACATAATTGATAGTTTATATTGATTTTATAACCTATAACATTGCTGAACTTATTTATTAGTTCAAATACTTTAGTGGATTCCTTAGAATTTTCTATACCTAAGATTTATAGATTAATTTGGGGACCATTTCCACCTTAGTCGTAAGTCTTCTGATTCATGAATATGGAATTATGTTTTCTTTATTTAGATCTTAATTTCAACAATGTGTTGTAGCTTTAAGTATACAGAGCTTGTACTGCCTTTGTTAAATTTCTTTTAGATACCTTTAAAATTTTGTGACTATTATAAACAGGATTGTTTTCTTAATTTTTTTTCAGATTGTTCATTGCTAGTGTATAGATATCCTGCATACAATTGATATTTGTATATTGATTTTGTAACCTGCCACATTGCTGAACTCATTTATTAGTTCAACTAGTTTTTAGTGGATTCCTTAATATTTTTTATATGCAAGATTATGTCATCTGAAAATAGAAGAATGACCTTATTTCCAATTTGGAAACTATTTATTTACTATATTTTATGTATTTATTTTTCCTAATAGTCCTAGCTATAACTGCCAGGCTCAATACTGAATAGAAGTGGTGAGACAAACAATTTTAGTCTTGTTTCTGTTCTTAGAAAGAAAGTGTTCAGTCTTTCTCCATTGAAGATGATGTTAGCCTGAGTTATTTATAGATGTTCTTTATTGGATTGAAGAAGTTCCTTCTATTCCTAGTTTTACTTTTTTAGTAATATTATAATAAAATGGTGTTGGATTTTGTCAAATGCTTTTCTTGACATCTATTGAAATAATCATATGGTTTTAAGCCCTTTATTCTATTAATATATTACATTGGTTGATTTTTAAATGTTAAACTATTCTTATATTTCTGCAATCCCATTTGGTCGTGATGTGTAATCTTTTCTATATGTTGGTGAATTCCGTTTGTTGTGTTTTGTTGAGGCGATTTGCATCAATATTTATAAAGGATATTGGCCTGTAGTTTCATTTTCTGGTGATATATTTGTCGAGTACTGTTATTGGGTAATATTGGCTTCACAGAATGGGTTAGGAAGGAAATGTTCTCTTTTTTGTTGTTATTTGAAATAGTTTGTGAAAGATTGTTATGAATTCTTCTTTAAATGTTTGATAAAGTTAACGAGTAAATCCATGTGGGAGTGGGTTGTCTTTTTTGGAAGATATTAAATTGCTAAGTTAATATATTTGCTTATTATAGCTCTATTCAGATTATCCATTCTTTAGTCAATTTCAATAGCTTGCATTTTTCTAGAAATCTGTTCATTTAATCTAATTTGTTGGTTTACAGTTGTTATAGTAATCCTTATGATCCTTCTTATTCCTGTAAGTTTGGTAGTAATGTCCCCTTTCTTATTCCTGATTTTAGTAATTTGTGACTTTTTTCCTAGGTCACATCAGCTAAAAATATGTCAATTTGTTGATCTTTTAAAGAAACAAATGTTAGTTTTGTTTCTCCATTATTTTTCTATTATATATTTTACTTATTCTGCTTTAATTTTTATTATTTCTATTCTGCTTGCTTTGGGTTAGTTTCCTCTACTTTTTCAATTATCTTAAGGTAGAAGGCTAGGTTATAGATTTGAGATCTTCTTTTTTAATATACGTATTTACAGCTGAAAATTTCCCTTTAAGTGCTGCTTTAGCTCCATCCCATACATTTCAATGTGTTTTATTTTTGTTTTTATTTATCTCTGATTTTTTTTAACTTTCTTGAGATTTCTATTTTGGCCCATTAGTGATTAAGAAAAATTTTGTTTCATATCCACGTATTTGTGAATTTCTTAAATTTTATTTTTTGTTGATTTCTAATGCAATTTCATTGGAATCAGAAAACATACTTTGTATAATTTTAATTATTTTCAATTTACTAATACTTGTTTTGTGGCCTAGTATGTGGTCTACCTGGGAAATGTTCCTTGTGCACTTGAGAAAAATGTGTATTTTGAAATTGTTGGGTGGAATGTTCTGTCGATGACTGTTATGCCAAATTGGTTTTCAGTGTTGTCCAAGTTTTCTATTTACTTAGTGATCTTATAGATAGTTGTTCTATCCATTATTGAAGCAAGGCCAGGTGCGGTGGCTCATGCCAGTAATCCCAGCACTTTGGGAGGCCAATTCAGGAGGATCACTTGAGGCCAGGAGTTCAAGACCAGCCTGGGCAACATGGTGAGACCTGGTCTCTAAAAAATTTAAAAAGTAGCCAGGCATGATGGTTCACACCTAAAGTTCTAGCTACTTGGGAGACTAGGGTGGAAAATTGCTTGAGCCCAGGTGTTTGAGGCTGTGGTAAGCTATGATCATACTACTGCATTCTAGCCTGGGTGACAGAGCAAGACCCTTTCTATAAAAAAAAATTAAAATTAAAAAATAAAAATAAGAAGATGGAATACTTCATTACTATTGAACTGCCTATTTCTCCTTTCATTTCTGATAGTTTTTGCCTCATGTATTTTGGGCCTCTGTTGTTAGATGCATATATGTTTATAATCATGTATGTATTGACCCTGATGTATTAACCCTCTTATCATTATAAAGTGTCAATGAGGAATAATACATGTTTTGTGCCTATTAACTCTGCTATTCCCTTTGATATGTGATAGATATGTGTTGTTAATAACTGTGACTTACATTTAAGTATTTATCATATATCAGTAGCTATATTAAATGCTTTATAAACATTGTTTCATTCATCCTCCCAGCCATCCTGTATAGAAGATCACCTTTTAATCCACATGAGAAATCAGAAATGCAGGGAGTTTCAGATAGTTTTGGGTCTAGAATTTCAGCCCAAGGCATATGCTTTTGCCAGAGCCTTCAGTTTTAACTGCTATACTACATGTTGGCAAACATTTTCCAAATGAATAAAAAAGGGGATTTATTTATGTATTAAAAATACAGAAGTTGAAGACAATGTAAGCTAAAAACAGACATATATATATTGGATGTTGTGAGCTGACAGTGACGGAGAAAAAAATTTTAAGTTGCACTTATTGACTTTCAAAGCTTAGAATGGGAATGTAAAAGCTGTTACTTTAAAAAATTCCCTCATATTATATATACAAACTAATTATGTTTAAATATAACATCAAAGACTTGTTTTATTGGTAGAATCAATATCACCCCAGATAATAGTAATAAAATTTAATTCATAATTGGAAAACACATTCTAAAATCTCTAAGTACTCCCTTGGAAATCTTTCCTTCAGTCATAAACAAGGAAAGACATCTTTATATGCATAGAAATTCACCCCCAGAAAAAAAGAGAGAGCCATCCAGAAATCAAACCAAATGGCTAGAAAATACATATACAATAGGCAAGTAAACAAATCAGACAAACCTACAAAAGAGACAGATATCCAAGACACAGACATATATACATATATATATATATAGTGTGTGTATATACATATATGTATAGAGATATATATTTATATATATGTAGACACCAAAAATATGAAAATATTTATATTAATAGGAAAAAAAGAAAAGGCACAAAGGTAAATATTCACAAAATCCACAAGGGGAAACACAGGAATTCATGTCCAGCTCTTAAATAGCAAAATCACTTTTTGTACATTTTCTGCCATAAAAGATAATGTTAAACTATAATGTTGTTTCTTTGAGCATGAAATGGGTGTTTTCTCTATATATTTATTCCATAGAACAGATCAATTGATTAGAGAATGTTGATTATAGCTACAAACTAAAATTTACAACTGAAATAAGAAATAATTTATATTTAACAACCAAAAATATTCATTATGATTGAACAATTTTTTAATCACATAGGTGAAAATAAAATATTATTCATTCATTAAACTAATCAAACTGAATACTTCAAAGATAACATGTAGCTTAATGGGCTTTAAAATAACCAAAACTTTCAAATATGGTGTTTAAAAAAAAAAAAACCTGCACTTTGTTTATCCAGAGAGATGGAGCTTGCCATCTCTCAGCACATAGGAATGCCTTAGGACTGAATTTAATTCAATACATAAAACCTAAAATCACAGGCTGAAACTGATGTTTTTTTTTTCCCCTGACAGCTAAATGTCAAGTTAGATTTTTATTTCTCCCTTTTCTTTTCCACTTCTAATCTTTTCATTTTCTTCAACACGTGAAACTTTCAGTGGTTTTTTTTCTAAAGAAGATTTGTGTACCAAAAGGATGCATTTTGCCTTGGAAAATAAGAAAAAGAGTAAAGTTATCAGAATTCAATTAGAATAGATAGAGCTATGAATGTATAAAGATAGCTTTGTACTCAGATAAAGAGAGAGAATAAATGAGAAAAGAGAAAAAGAAGAAAAGTTATCACAGTGTGTCAACATGCCATTACAGACAAATTCTTGTGTCCTGATGTCCTTTTTGGCTTTGCTTTCTCTGAAGCCCTTGGGCGCACCTTACTGGTAGACTCCTACCTGGAGGTGAAGGGCTCGTAGATTTTCTGGGAGTGGCAGAGGGATGTGGTCCAAGTTGTTATCAGTGAGGTACAGATGATGGAGATCATACATGTCCTGTAAACATTCCAAATGTGGGAACTCAATAAAAACTCAATAAAAACTCAATAAGAAATAAAAAACACAGCTGTATTTCCCATTCCCTCTACATGCAGATATTTGTAAAATAGCATGTTCCAGTTCAGGTCTTGTTTTGTAAAGTTGAGGCAGCTTAGTTTTCTGAGTTACTAGACAATTCAGATGAGTTTTGGAAAAATTGGCTACAAGCAAATATTTCTTCATAAAAATACAATGTGTTTCTCAGTCTCTAGGAAGAACCATGTTTTGTTCAGTCTGACTTTCTCAATTTAAGCAAGGCTGCTTCTTCCTATGAAAGGCATTCTGCAGTGGGATTTTGAGGATTTTGATGAGGCATAGCAAGCATTTCCTTTATTTTATAGGCATGGAAACAAAGAGTTCCTCCCCAGCAATGGCCTGGTAGCCCAACTACCAGAAAAGGGCAGCCTAGCAAGACAAAAAACATTTAGACAATAGCTGTTCTACTCTAGCCAAACACCCTAGAATAAACTGTGACTCATCACCACCTGTGCCAACACAGGCAGAGTGGGCAGACTAGACTATGACCCTTGCCTGGCTATAGTGAGATGCCCTAACTCCCATAGCTACCATTGATGGTATCACTGGAGGCCTAGCAGAGAGACAGGGCATTTGCCACCACCCAGTGGTTATGAGGCCACACTATCCCCTGTGCCATCCCTGAGAATACTGTGGTGTCTCTCTAAAGAGTATTTTACAATTACATGTTCAGTGTACACTGAGAGGGGCTGCTTGAATGCCATAAGAGGAGGCAAGAAAGCCAGTTGGTTACTGTTCTCAGACCCTATGCTGTTTTTCAAAGCAAGTCCTCTAGCCCCAAACCTGCTTGCTTCACATAGAAAACAAAATCTCTAAGGCTAACTGAATCCATCCTCTTTATAAGGTCATTTAGTAGCCTTCTGTCTTCAAGACACTGCCCATTCCCTGCCAAGTAGCTATCCTTTTAGCCAGATAGTCTTTCTGAGTGTAGGGTCTGATCAATACAGATTCTCTGGCTTGTACCACTTCCAGGTGCTCCTGTAGATGGTGCTTCTGTAGATGGTGCTTCAGGTAGCCACCAACTTCTTATTCTGGCCCTGCTTTCTGTTTTTGGTACTTGATCACCCTCACAATGTACCAGAATATGGTGTTTCTCAGAAGCATGACAGATGCAGTTGGGAAGTTTATCTTGAAAGTTAAAAGTCTCACTAAATTAAATCCCCTTATAGAAGTTGAGCATAGTGACTCACACCTATAATCCCAGTACTTTGGGAGGCCGAAGCGGGAGGATCACTGGAGCCCAGGAGTTCGACACCAGCCTAGGAAATATGGCGAAACCATGTCTCTACAAAAATATACAAAATTTAGCCAGGCATGGTGACACGCATCTTGTAGTCCCAGCTACTTGGGAGGCTGAGGCAGGAGGATCATCTGAGCCCAGGGAGGTCGAAGCTGCAGTGGGCTGTGATCGCACCACTGCACTCAAGCCTGGGTGACAGAGTGAGACCCTATCTCAATAAATAAATAAATAAATAAATAAATAAATAAATAAATTTATTTTCCCTACACGAATAAAAAAGGTAGTCAATGACAGCAAATAAAATTGGAAGATAAAAGTCTGCATATCAAACTTAAAACTTACTTTAAATGCTTCTTGCTTTATCCCTTTCCTTCCAAGTCTATTGTTGCTAATATCAATAAATGTCAAAGTGGTTGGCAATTCTGGGAGCTGCCTTATTTTGTTGTCACGCAGGACAAGCTCTCGAAGTTGAGGCAGTTTTCGGAATGCATCTTCATCAATCTCAGATATTAAATTTGATGTCAGATCAATCCTTTTTAAATCACCTAGCAGAAAAAAATAAAGGAAGTAATTAAATATTCTTGTTTTGCTCACATAAAAATATAAATGTAATTTTCCTTTATTTTGCAAATATAAATTTAGCAATGCACAGTTAATGAGATGATTATCTTTCTTTTTATAAAAAATTATTTCCTCCAAATACTATTCATATTTATGTACTTAGGAGTATAACTTTAGCAAAGAAATTGGTACACCACGTTTAAAATAACTGGTCTTCTCTCCATAATCTTCATAAAGTTTGTCTGGATTTTGTCATTTAAAATGTTTCCCTCAATGATAAAGACTGTTGTGTTTTCTAATAGTCAAAGATACAGGCATTAGAAAGAAATCTTCAAATGATTAAAACACTTTATGACAACACATACCAAAATTCTTCTAAGTTGGCAACAACTTTAAAGTCAGAATTTAGGCTTACATTCATCCATCATAAAGCAACTATGCTTTAGTGGAAGTTTATTTTTAAAAAGCCAACTCCTCATAAATATGACCACAATATTTTACTCATAATGTCATAATATGATAAAACATTCCAGCATGTACAATATAATTATTTATTATGCATATTTAGTTTAAATTGCTCATTTGAAAACATCACCTATATGGTTTTGAAATGACCATTGCTTATTTGTTGTTTTTCTTATAATTGTTAAAGCAAACTCTCAAATTTTTAAATAACAAAAAACTATTGATTCATGAACCAGGCTTTGGCATTCAAGTTTCATTCTCAGTGCTAACATTTAACAATGTAAAAATTTAAAGGAAGTGTGTAAAGCGGTGAAGGCCGTTAATGCTGTCATCCATACTTAGGCTTGCAAAGTCATTTTTGTTGATCTTTTTAATTCTGTTAAAGCGGGAATAGAAATAAGCGGTGTTCTTTGGCAGCGGAGGAATAGCATCAAGTTCATGGTCATCACAGTACACGGTGGTACTTATACAAGTACACAAAAGACAGGTTGGAAAGTCTAAAAGATAAAGGAAAATAAAATTAAATGTAAGTACCAAATCAATTTCTAAGAAATAATGTGGAATGTTTGATACACAAGATTAGAGTCTCCCACTAACCAAGTAGATTTTATATTTTCTCGTAATGCTTTCTGTAAATAGAATATTCAAGTCAAGCATACCAATTAAAATTGTCTCAACAATTAGTATATTCAATGTAACATTTTAAAAATAATTTAAAATTAGTACTTTTCTATTAGAAATTCTATATTCAAAATTTAAACATTATTATTGTGCTTTTCATAAAGTTAAAATATCACATGTAATATTTTCATTAAGTCTTTGGTTTAATAATGAAACATTTCACTAAAACAACACTTGCTTCAAGAAAAATAAAAGATAATAATTATTAATATTCAGTTGCTCAATACATATTATTGAATCCTTTCTATGTAAATGGCACCATGGTAGCTGGTGAAACAGTGGTGAGCACAAAGAACACAGTTGTGTTTTATGATCTGCTTTGTGAAATGAATGTTAATCACACAAATGAAATTATGAATGTGATAAATGTCATGAAGTGTCATCTGAACATAACATAGGGGGATTTGACCTAGTCTGGAAGTCATGGAAGGCATCTCTGAAGTGAAAGCTGAGCTGAGATCAGCAGAAGAGGAATAATTGACTATGCAGGTAGGACAGGAATGGTATGCCAGGCAGAGGAAGCAGCATATGCCTTCACTTTGGAGGGACTGAAGGATAGTCCATATGGTTAAAACTCAGAGAGCATTGGAATGTATGGGACATAACATGCAGGGGCCTTGTAGGCTGTGCTACAGCTTTTATTCCTTCCCATAAGGATGGGCAGAGGTATCATACGATGCGGTTTGCATGGTAAGAGTTAAGTCTGCTGGAAGATGTAATGGAAGACTGAAGCAGGGCAACTGGAAAAAGTGGAAGTGAATCATAGTGTAGACAAAAGATGGTAACAATTAGAGGAGGCAATGGAACCAAAAATGTTTCTGAGGCTGGGTTTTATCTTGACATACTGATTTTTCTTTTCTGTCTTACACACACTCACACACACACACACACACACACACACACACACACCCCTACCTCTCCACCCCTTCTTCATTTTCTGTTTAGTGATCATGGAGAGGACAGTAAACTTCTAAAGGAGATGGAGAATTAATGATCAGAGGAAAGGAGGAGAATCAGGATAGGGCAATGTCATGGAGGCCATGTGGGGAGAGAGTTTTAAGGGAAAGGAAATAATCAACAACCTAAGCCTCCTGAGATGTCAGGTAAGTTAAGGACTGAAAAATGTTCTTGGATTAGTTATTGCAGTGGTTATCAGAGCATTTACAAGATTTGCAAAGTGAGGGAGCTGAAAGCCAGATTACAGTCCATTAAGGGAGAAGTTGGAAGTAAGGGAAAAGTTGCCACAAATGTTGAAAATGCTGAGAGGTTTGTGAAGAGCAAGGGATGAGACATAGTGATATCTATAATAAAATATGCTTGGGGTTTGTTTGATGAAGGGAGTGATTAACATGGAAGGAATTTGGAGAAAAAGATCCAGAGGAGGTGAATTTGAATATAAAAAGGATCATGAGAGGACAGTAGGAAATAGAACTCAAAGAACATGGAAAGATTTTCATCCCACTTGTGGAAGGACAGAGTGTCTTTGTTGTGCTAGAAGGAGAGGGAGATAGAAGAGCACATTGATATAGATGTAGGTAGATTATTTGTCTGGAAACAGGAAGACCAAGGAGCTGCTGACTGAGAAATTGCATTTTCTTTGTGAAGTAGGAAGTTAAGTTATCTGACAGCCTTGAGGGGTCTAGGGATGAGGTAAATAAGGATTGTAAGCTGTGGAATGAATGGAGAAAGTGAAATCTCTATGACATAAACTAGAAGAGAAAAGTGGTGGAAGAAATGTCCTGAAATTTCTCAGTGATCAATTTGTCTTAGTTTACCTGAGACTTTCATGTTTATAACATTGAAAGACACTTGTGTTGGGAACTCATCACACCCAGACAAACCAGGATATTTGATCAACCTAGTTGAAAGGTCTGTTTGTGGTTTGTAATCAAGAACTAATAATGTACCCATTAAGGTCTTATTACTATCATTAAATACAAAAGTCATTTCCATTTTAAGAATGGAAAGCCAGGAAAAAATGTTTAAGCAGGAGCTGTAAAATATTTAATACGTGCTAATTTCTCCAATCATTATAAATTAATATTTTCTACTCATAAAAATTTTAAGAGTTAAGGCATTTGATTCTTCTATATATTTATCACCTTGATAATTAAGCAATGATTGCTTAGGGTAATTTATATATATTCGCAGTAGTTATATTTTAATTCTAAGTTTTTCTACACCTAACTCAAGGCTATATTACACGGTTTTAGAATGTTATCTTTAGAAATTTGTTTTAGTAGTAAAAATATGGTATTTTTATTTTTAATATTCTAAATATTTCTAAACTAATTTTGATGAATGTGTGCCTCTTCTTTGGAAATTAAAAAGTGAGTTTGAGTTTTTAACTTTTTTATCCTCAGAGTACTTTAGAAACAAAAATTTTCTTTAAAAGTCTTAGTTTTTGTTATGTTTCTAAATTGACATTAGTGAAGCATTACTTGACTCAAGCTTTTGAAAGGATTGGGCATTCTGCTTTTCTGTTGTTTCTGGCTAAGCTGAGAGATCCAACATACAGGTACTGATACAAGATTGGTCAACTTTTGAAGGATCTGAAATCATTTAAATATAAGTAATGTTCTAGGGATATTTAATTTTCCTATTTTGGGTGCTTTATGCTGGATATTTACATTTTCTTCTCATTGTGTCTCTTCCTTTTTCTACTTGTAGAGTGTTCTGCTACACAGAAATTTAACTACACAGAAAGAATATAATATATTCATTAATGACACTGACAGGATTTATTGGTCTATGTTGCATTCCACATATCACCTCTGTGTTACTGGACACATTTTATAGTATGTCAGAGTTTTAGTTTTCTTATTTTTAAAAATGGGTAATCAGTGCCTAGTACATAGTGTTTTGACTCTTCAAAAAGTTAATGTAGATAAAACAATTCAAGTGTCTGGCATATAGAAGGCATGGGATGAAAGGGCAACTTTTCATATTACTTATTGAAGAACAGTTAAAAACTCAAAGAGGCAAAGAGTAAAATGGTGGTTATCAGAGCCTCAGGAAATGGGGAGTTGTTCAAGGGGTATAAAATTTCAGTTATACAGGATGAACAAGTTCTAGAGGTCTGCTATATCATACTATTCATAGTTAACAATACTGTATTGTACACTAAAAATTTTGAGAGAAAAAAATGCATGAACTCCTTTATCAATAGAATTTTCATAACTAACACTATGTTTACTATGGGCCAGTAACTACATGTATTCATTTAATCCTGACAACACCTCTATAAGGTAAGTTCTATTATTTATTATCCCATTTTTTTAGATGAGAAAACTAAGGCACAGTAATATTGAATGCCTTACTCAAGACTATAAAAACCCCACAAGTCACAGTGCTGGGATTTGAATACATATGTTTTGGTTCCTCTGTCTGTCCAAGAAACTCTCAGTTTTGATTCCTGTACTTTGCTCTTAGTCATGCCTTAGGTAATATTGCTCCTCCCTCTCTTTTTGTCTCCCAATGTGTTCTGGACAGACTTTTCTCATAAGACCTGTAATACAGTGATATTGTTTGGCTGTGTCCCCACTCAAATCTCATCTTGAATTGTAGCTCCCATAATTCCCACATGTTGTGGGAGAGACCTAGTGGGAGATAACTGAATCATGGGGGCGGCTTCCCTCATACTGTTCTCATGGTAGTGAATAAGTCTCATGAGATCTGATGGTTTTATAAGGCGTTTCCCCTTTCACTTGGCTCTCTTTCTCTCTTTCCTGCTGCCATGTAAGATACGCCTTTTGCCTTTCACCATGATTTTGAGGCCTCCTCAGCCATGTGGAACTGTGAATCCATTAAACCTCTTTTTTCTCTATAAATTACCCAATCTTGGGTATGTCTTTATCAGCAGTATGAAAATGGATTAATACATACAGTATTGCCTCTAAATTTGTTTCTATGTCTATCTTCCTGTGCTAGGCAGAAATATTCATGAGAACGGTAGTTATTTGAAACTAAGTTTTGTGTCTACAGAACTTGGAATACAGAGACACTCTACATTCACTCAACCTTTGCAGGGGGAACTCTCTATTTTTTTCTATACTCCCTAACTATGCCATTCTCTGTGTATATAAAAGTATTCCAGTGTGAGTCCTCTTGAGTACCCCCAAGGTTGACAGTGACACATTTGAACAAGAAATACGGACATATTATAGAATTACATGTAGCACTAAGAATTCCTTCTCATTAACTAAAAGGCTCTGGTTTCATCTGCAGGCCATGCAACATGGTGTCTGATGTTGTGCAATATTTTCCTCTCTCTGTTGCTTCTTAGGATTGAGTGAGAAGAAGCCTGTTTTTAAATAAATAAACAGCCAAGAATCTGAACAGGCTGGCTTCAAACCTGCTATGTAACAGCTTTGTGATGTCTGGCAAGTTACTATCCCCTTTGAATTATGGTTTTCTCCATGATAATGAGAAGAGTAATATTAACACTCTGACAGGGAGGTTTTAATAATCCAATGAGATAATGTGAAGTGCTGAGCATATAGGCCACAGATAGTATATGCTCAATTAGTGCAAAATATTATTACTATTACCATCATCTTCATCCTCATCATCTCTTATCCCCTTGAACTGCTGTGGCCTAATCTCAGAGGCAAAGATTTTATCCTGCTCATCAATTACTCTCTGTTCTACAAATACATTCCACCACCAGGTTTCGAGTAATGATACACAATATTTTCATCCCAAATCTTTGGTTATTTGATCATTTTTATGAGACCGAAGCTGAATTATTAAAACTGCTTTATATTTGAATATAAAATCTATGTATAAATATGCTTCAAACCTAGCCTATTCCAAAACTTTTTTCTTGGGTCATGTCATGTGGTTTCCCTGTAGAGTTGAAGCTGTGCAGTTTTGAGGATGACAAAGTGGACTCAATTGTAATTCTGCTTTGAGGTACCTGACCTTCATTTGTGTGTGGCCCCAGAACCCCTGTGAATTCAGGCTCCTGGGGAGAAGAGCCATCAATCAGCCTGGGAGTAGATTCCTCCTCCTCTTCCTCTTCCTGGGCCTTCTCAGGCTGTGGGGGTGGAGTGAGGAGCTCTCTGTTCCCTGAAGGCATCACTGTGGCTATTTCAATCTGAAAAAAAAAAAAAAAAGAGAATTTCTTCAGGCCAACTTCTCAGTCACTCTGTGTGGCAGTGACACAAATTTAAAATGTACCCATATTTGCCACAAGAGGACACTCATGTTCTAAAGTTCAATAGTTTGACCATCCTGCTTGCTTGGAGGAACACACATGGTTCTAGTAACTGTTGTTTTTAATTAGTTTTGTTTCTCAAATCTTAGAAGTTGTTTCCAATGCCTTTTTTTTTTTGGTCTTCTTGTTCTTTAATATCGTATATGTTTGTTCATTTCATAGGTTTAAAAAAAAGCTCATTTATTGTTTTCTAATAATAAGTAGCATTATAAGAATGCATCAATGTTGTGAAAGCTTCACATTAATTCAGAAGTGTACAGAGTAAATTCAAAACTCCCCTTTACCATCCAGCTCTCATTCTACTCCCCTTGAAGGTAATAACTGAGCAGAAATTGATACATATTATCTTGTCCTTTCAATCCTTGATTTCCTAGGTTCAAATATTCTGTTCCTTACCAATGACTTATACTGTCTCTAATGGCATTTTACTGAAAAGTATCCTTTATACTAAAATAAAATATATAGTGACATAAAAACTATGATTTGATTGTGATATGCCATTTCTCATGTGTTTTCAATATTATTAAAATAACAAATATTGTAATGATATCTAGGTATGTTAAAATGGACTTCTTTGAGAACGTTGACACTAGGAGGCAGTTATAAAATTACAAAATTATTCAAAGGTTTTTTTTTATATTATATTTTAGATTACAACTGCTTTGCTCTTATCTAACTTGTACATTTTAAGTAATAGAATCATTGCTTTTAAGAATACTGTTTGGATTTAGGAGAAATCTTCTCTTTCAGATTTCTTCCCTTGTCTGAATGTCTATTTCTTTGTGGTACTTAGTAAATGTCTACTTCTCTGACGGTCTCGTAAGCTTGGGCTGAAAATTTGCTCCAGGCAATTGGGATGGCGACATCCAGGACCCACTTTTTGTGGCCCAGTGTCCTTGTGGTATCCCCAGAAATCCCAGACTTTCCCTTAACCACACCAATATGGCCTTTTGCTTTTTTCCACCCTTCTTTATTTGCTTTCATTAAGAAAGTAAAGAAACACATAAATTATTTCTGGATTACTTAATACCAAGTGATCTGCAAACTATTCCTTTCATCTATAACACAGGTATATTTTCAGACCAGGTATTTTCTAGGTGTTTGAGTAACCAAAAAATTTTAGGAATACACTTATGATTTAATATCACTTATAATAGATTTAAAAGCATTGCAAATCACAAATGAAAATTATTCTTTTTAAGGAACACTAAACTTTCTTTTATCAGTTTATATTTCTGAATTGTGCATCCTTCTGTGCTTCCATAGAGTCTCTCTATTTCAGCCTTTTCTGTGCTGTATTACATTGGTTCCATTTGTTTTCTGCATTTCCAAGCCTGCTGGATGGTAAAGTATGTCATGTCTTTTATCTGTGTACCTCTAGGCTGTAAGCATAATAGGCAATCAGCAAGTACTTATTGAAGTATAATTTTTTCCAACTTTGCTTGTCCAAAATATATCTAAGTCACAGCTCTATGTTTAGAGATTTTCTGAGACAAATCAGTGAATGTGCTAATACTTACTTTAAATTATTTAAAGCATGAAATCAAAACAAAAACAGATTATACTGTCTTTGATACTTTAGGAGCAATACATGAAGATACAATAAAGCTTGACCAGAAAGCTCCAGCTGAGAAGTTTGGGCACATTTTCTTAAACAGAAAGACATACGGTTTCCATCTGTAGGTCAGAATGAGGCAGATTCAGAAGGAATGGATTTGTAGAGAGACCAAAGGAGGCTCCAGGAAGAGCGGAAATTGAGACAGATGTTTCATGGAATGGAGGCAGCCTAAAGGGAGAAACAAATTCCAGACACGTTGCCTTGAATCTTAGCTTTATAAGAAAAATGTTTGCACATACTTTTTACAGATAATTGTTTTTCCACTGATTTGATGTGAAGCTGTAAGATCTCACTTGTCATCCAATATAATGAGGCAAAACAGCTTTTTGTGTTTATCAAAAATTGTTTTGTTCATGCTTCCTTGCAAATAAAACATAAATGCAATACAACTTTGAAAACCAAGAAAAAGGAATGCCTTTTCACATCAGCAAAATTGAAGAACCTCAAAATACTATGCCTGGAGAGACTTTTGTTTTGTAGACACATTTATTTTCACCATTAAATAGAAGAGATTTAGGCATTTTTTCCCCTCTTCAACCATCTTCGTACTGTGATATGAAGTTATGAGGCAATGCACACATGCACAAAAAATAGTCCAGGGAAACAAGACCACCTGGCCTTCTGTGTGGCAGACTTGTATGCTTATGTTGCAGAAAACTAAATTTGAACGTAAACACAAATGACCAGAAAAAAATCCCTGTCTTTTTTCTCAAGCTACAATTGGTAATACTTGAATGTAAACATAATTGAGCCTCTTCTACAAATATTCATAAATTCTTTCAGCTTTATGCTCTATTCTTTTTTATTTGACTGCTTGTTTTACTCTGACTTGCTTCTTCCTGAATTAACTTTTAAATCTGTTCATTATATTTCCCTAAAGTTTAAAAATATAATACAAATGGTCATTACTACGTATGACTTTGATTTCAGTCAAAGTCACTGCACTTGTGTGTCTTCTTAACATCGTACCAGCAGAGTACATCTTTGAGTTGACTGGTTTGCAGTAAGTTATCTATTTTTATTCTCTTCTGTACCTGGTCTTAGAACTGTAGATAACTTATATCATGGTAGCCTTTGCTTAGGGAGTACATTCTGTGTCCATGAAACAGTATATCTATTCCAGAGATGACAAATGGATAGCTCACAGTGGCCTAGGCTGAGTGAGATATCAGCAGATGTCAGTATGAAGAGATAACTACCAAGAGAAGAAGTACTTAGGCCTGTGCCAGTCTCTGCACCCTGCACAGCCCTGACTCCATGTAAGCAACATATCACCTCAACCCAATCTCAGGGTAAAAGCGGTTGAAGTGACCCTGAAGTGTCTCAGACTAAGTTTCTGCTCCCTGGAGAAATAAAGACTCTCTGCAGAAAATCATCCAATTACATTTATTGTATCAGATTGAACTGGGACTTTTACTAGCAATATTTGTGTTATTATTAAAAATATGACAAAAGATTTAAAACTTTTATTTTCTGATAATCACCATTGTTGTCCACAGAAAATTATCTCTGTAAAAACACTCAGAACCATTTTAAGTGACAATAAGATTTGGTTTACAATAATTTTGATGAAATTCATTTGCCCCTTAGCAGAAAGTGCATTTAAATGATCTATATAATTATATTGCTGCCACTAAGCCTACTTTTTTGTCTTAATTTCAGGGTAAAAATATGAAAAACTGGTGTGTTCAGAAACAGCAATCACACATCTTCCTGATTGCTTCATTATCCACTGAGTCCTTTTAGTACATATTTCTTGTTGAACATGTTAATTATACCTGTTTATGAGGATCATAAACCATTTTCTGCCATTCAACATTGTGTTTGAATTAATAAAACTCTTTTTTTAATATTTTAATTTTAGTTAATCTACAGCTAAGTTTCTAATAAGGAAATCAATGATAATGTAATATATATGTTATGGAAAAAAATGCTGTTAAGAAATTCAAATAAACCAGATTCGATTCCTACCTTTATGAATGAATAAAAGGATCACCAGGTGAATGTGTGAATTTGTAAATGATGGAAGGTTTGCCAGTCTTTATAATTATCTAAAATGTCTATGTCAAACATTATGCTTAAGTTATGATCAAGTCTTCATTTTATTTGTCAATGTTGTTTTCTAAACATCTATCAATATCATTACTTTCGCTCCCTATCTGCCATCATCACCATTATCTAAATTACTATCCTCTCTTAGCTGGAATACAGCAATAGACTACTGATATAAAGTTAGGATGTCCTCTAGTGTAGATGTAGTAAGAATGGAATCTTTTAAAAACAGCTTTATGGAGATGTAATTCATATATTATACAGTTCATCTTTTAAAGTATACAGTCCAATGTTTTTTAGTATGTTGACAGTTACGCAACTATCACCCAATTTTATAGCATTTTCATCACCCAAGAAAAAAACTCTACAACCATTAACAGCCATTTCCAACTTCTCTCTTCTCATCCTCTCTCCTTCCCCTCTCCAACCTCCTGGCCCCAGGCAATCACTTACCAACTTTTTGTGGTTGTACTTTTGCCTAATATTTGTATTAGGCAAATAATTTCTGTATTTGCCTATTCTGGACTATTCTTTTCTCTCCTCTTTAACTGTAATTATGTATCTTTCAACCTACATTTCCCCATTTCCCTCTTCTGCCTAACTACCTAAGCCTCTGGTAACCATCATTCCACTCTGTCCTATGCAGTTAACTATTTTAGATTCCACATACACTGAGATCATATGGTATTTATCTTTCTATGCCTGGCTTATTTCACCTAACATAATACTCTCCAAGTTCATCCATGCTATCTCAAATGACAGGAGTTCATTCTTTTTTGTGTCTGAATAGTATTCCATTGTGTGTATATACCACATTGTATTTATCCATCCATCCATTGATGGACACCTAGGTTGATTCTTTGTCTTGGCCTTTGTGAATAGTGCTGCAATAAACATGAGAGTACAGATATATCTTTAACATACTGATACATTTCTTTTGAATATATACCCAGTAGTGGGCTTGCTGGATCTTATGGTAGTTCTATTTGTAATTTTTTAAGGAAACTTCACATTGTTTTTCATAGTGATTGTACTGATTTACATTCCCAACAAAGTATGCAAGGGTTCCCTTTTCTCCACAAACTCACCAACACTTACATTTTATCTTTTAGTAGCCATGTAGTCAATGTGAGGTATGCATTTGTCATCTCCAGAATAGAGATACTGTTTCATGGACACAAAATATACTCCCTAAGCAAAGGCTACCATGAGATAAGTTATCTACAGTTGTAACTACTAACAGTTCTAATATCACCAAGCGGTGAGTACCATTGGACCCCTTTAGCTTGCTATTCTGTCCTATTTTTCCTTAGAATTCAGAGGCTAAACACCGGGCACCTGTTGGCCAGTTAAAAGCAACTAGTGCGGCTGCCAGACTAAAGACATGGGTGTCAGGCTTTCTGGGAAAGGGCTCTTTAACAACCCTGACTCTTCGGAGTTGAGAGCGTTGGTTTGCTTGAAACCAGCTTCTGCTTTTCTTATACTTCCGGGCTGAGCTGAGGGTTGACAGAGAGGAAAGCCATTCAGCTCCGGGGTCCCAACAAAAAGTTGGTTGACCCTGCAGCCATGCGAGGAACTCTCAAAGTCACATCGCCCAAGTGAGACTCGCCCATCTATTCTATCTATCCTGACCCTTGACTCCTGGGTACTAATGCCTGTCAGACAAACTTCCTCCCACATCTCTTCTCTGAGGCTAGTCCTGCTTCTAAAAACCACTCCATCTCTGGTGCTTTTCTATTTTTTCCTATAAGAATGATTTCTAGCATAAATTTTGGGACTCTGTTCCTTTCTTTAGGCACCCAGGCTCACCAATCAGAAAAACATAATTTTTGCCCAAAGCCCCATTGGAGGGGGTTACTATCTGGAATTTTAGGATCCCTCCTCAGACAAGCAGGCCTAACAAAAGCTATTCCTAAAGCTAGGATATGGGGAGCCTCAGAAATGATATCCTTCCTATTCATATGATGAGAAGTGAGGACAAAAGGCATCACTCTTCCAACCCTGGAGATCCCATCCCTCCCTCAGGGTATGGCCCTCCACTTCATTTTTGGGGCATAACATCTTTATAGGACAGGGGTAAGGTCCCAATACTAACAGGAAAACGCTTAGGACTCTAACAGATTTTTGAGAATGCATTGGTAAGGACCACTAAATCTGACCTTCCTTGGTCCTCTTTGTGGTCTAAGAGGAAAACTGGTGTTTCTGCTGCTGCATTGGTGAGTGCAACTATTCCGATCAGCAGGGTCCAGGGACCATTGTGTGTTCTTGGGTTGGTGGTGGGGGGAACAAACAAACCAAAACCACAGGCGGTCTTTTCTTTCAAATGGGAAACATTCAGGCATCAACAGGCTCACCCTTAAAATGCATCCTAAGCCATTGAGACCAATTTGACCCACAAACTCTGAAAAAGATGTGGCTCATTTTTTTTCTGCACTATGGCCTGGCCCCAATATTCTCTCTGTGATGGGGAAAAATGGCCACCTGAGGGAAGTATAAATTATAATACTATCCTGCAGCTTGATCTTTTCTGTAAGAGGGAAGGCAAATGGAGTGAAATATCTTATGTTCAAGCTTTCTTTTCACTGAAGGAGAATCCACAACTATGCAAAGCTTGCAATTTACATCTCACAGGAGGACCTCTCAGCTTACCTCCGTATCCTAACCTTCCTACAGCTCCCCTTCATATTAATAAGCCTCCTCTAATCTCCTCCACCCAGAAGGAAACAAGCAAAGAAATCTCCAGGGGACCACAAAAACCCCCGGGCTATCGGTTATGTTCCCTTCAAGCTGTAGGGGGAGGGGAATTTGGCCCAACCCAGGTACATGTTCCCCTCTCCCTCTCTGATTTAAAGCAGATCAAAGTAGACCTAGGGAAGTGTTCAGATGATCCTGATAGGTATATAGATGTCCTACGGGGTCTAGGGCAAACCTTCAACCTCACTTGGAGAGAAGTCATGCTATTGTTAGATCAAACCCTGGCTTTTAATGAAAAGAATGTGGCTTTAGCTGCAGCCTGAGAGTTTGGAGATACCTGGAAAGGGACAAATTCCTTACTGGTCAGCAAGCTGTCCCCAGTATGGATCCCCACTGGGACCTCGACCCAGATCATGGGGACTGGAGTCATAAACATCTGCTGACCTGTGTTCTAAAAAGACTAAGGAGAATTAGGAAAAAGCACATGAATTATTCAATGATGTCCACCATAACTCAGGGAAAGGAAGAAAATCCTTCTGCCTTCCTCAAGTGACTATGGGAGGCCTTAAGAAAATATACTCCCCTGTCATCCAACTCCCTCAAAAGTCAACTGATCCTGAAAGATAAGTTTATTACCCAATCAGCCACAGATATGAGGAGAAAGCTCCAAAAGCGAGCCCTGGGCCCAGAACAAAATCTGGAGGCATTATTAAACCTGGCAACCTTGGTGTTCTATAATAGGGACCAAGAGGAACAGGCTGAAAAGGAAAAGCGATATCAGAGAAAAGCCACAGCCTTAGTCATGGCTCTCAGACAAACAAACCTTGGTGGTTCAGAGGACAGAAAATGGAGCAGGCCAATCACCCAGTAGGGCTTGTTATCTGTGTGATTTGCAAGGACACTTTACAAAAGATTGTCCAACGAGAAACAAGCTGCCCCCTTGCCCATGTCCATTATGCCAAGGCAATCACTGGAAGGTGCACTGCCCTAGAGGACAAAGGTTCTCTGGGCCAGAAGTCCCTAACTAGATGATCCAATGACAGGACTGAGGGTGTCTGGGGCAAGCACCAGCTCATGTCATCACCCTCACTGAGCCCTGGGTAAGTTTAACCATTGAAGGCCAGGAAATTAACTTCCTCCTGGACACTGGTGTGGCTTTCTCAGTGTTAATCTCCTGTCCCACACAGCTGTCCTCAATGTCCATTACCATCTGAGGAATCCTGGGACAGCCTGTAACCAGGTATTTCTCCCACCTCCTTATTTGTGATTGGCAGAATTTGCTCTTTTCACTTGCCTTTCTTGTTATGCCTGAAAGTCTCACACCCTTATTAGGGAGGGACATATTAGCCAAAGTTGGAGCTATTATCTATATGAATATGGGGAACAAGTTACCCATTTGTTGTCCCCTGCTTGAGGAAGGAATCAACCCTGAAGTCTGGGTATTGGAAGGACAATTCAGAGGGGCAAAAAATGCCTGCCCAGTCCAAATCAGGCTAAAAGACCCCACCACTCTTCTTATCAAAGGCAATATCCCTTAAGGCCTGAAGCTCACAAAGGATTACAGGATATTGTTAGACATTTAAAAGCTCAAGGCTTAGTAAGAAAATGCAGCAGTCCCTGCAACACCCCAATTCTAGGAGTACAAAAACCAAATGGTCAGTATAGACTAGTGCAAAATCTTAGACTCATCAATGAAACAGTAATTCCTCTATATCCAATTGTATCCAACCCCTATACTCTGCGCTCTCAAATACCAGAGGAAGCAGAATGGTAGGAAGCAGGATAGTTGTCCAGAAACATTGCAAACTTTCATTTGTCCTCTATGAACCCTATTTAATAACCATATAAACAAGCTGGGGCCAGCCTGTTGGAAGATGAGAGAGCACACGGTGGAGGGGAGGGGAAAGCCACTTCAGCTGAGGCCAAGCTAGTCCAGCCAGCACTGTACCAACCTAGCATATACCTGAGTCAACCCAGTGCAAACCAGCAGCACATCGGAACCCATATATCTGAACTACAGGACTATGAGCTGAATAAATGGTTATTTTAAGTAACCAAAATTTGGGATTGCTTGTTACACAGCAAAAGCTAACTGATACAGTTTTTTATATTGTATCTGTGAGTATTTGATTAATCTCTCCCCATGGGGATAAATACTACATATTTCTTTTTTTTCCCCATTATACTCCCAGCTGCTACTCCAGTATGCCTAGCAATTATTAGGCCTCCTGAAAAATACAGTTGAATCAGTATGGGTAAATCATGGCAATTTTTGATACATTAAATGATTGTTTTGTGTATAAGAGTAAGAAAATATTATAAAATGGTTAAAGTTGCATGAGAGTGACAGAGCAGGAATATCACCATCTTGGACAAGCACTGTCATTTTAAAATTTACCTTGATCAAAAATGCCTAAATTCAAAGGGTATCAACCTAATGGCTAAGGTCAGCATAACCATAAACCACAATAACATCTCTGACCAGAAACATTCCAAACCCCTCCCCAACCACAGACATGCTAGCCCTGAGATAACCTCCCCTCCGCCCAGAGACATTCCAACCACACCATAAAATTTCCCCCACACAGAAACATTCCAAGCTTGTGATGGGCCCTGTCACCCTAAAACCAATATATACTCTTAGTCTGTAAGGGAGAATACTCCTGACCAAAATTGGCCAGAAGCCCCTCTCAGGTTTATTTCTCTAAAATAAACCTGTCTTTGATTGTTAGACCACATTTCATGTGTCTTTCTTATTTATCTCATAGAGAAAGCAGGTATGAAAATACATTAGCTATGGCTCAGACATCTCCATGTCTGCCTATGGACCTTCATTATACATGCTAACATATTATGAAAGGAAACTAAAGAAGATGTGCTTCAACTTTTTTAGATGAAACAAGCTTTGAATCTATTGCTGAGCCAAGAATTTTAGCTAGATATGCTCTGTATTTGAGAGAAAGATGGAAAAATTATACACCTAGTGGTAGAACCACTCCATTGCACAACTCTGAGAAGCACTATCTATGTGGTATTCTATGTGAATGGTGCTTCCTAGATGTGTACAATGTAATAGCCTTACCTGAGTACATATTAACTCTAAGTGAACAGTCAACCAGTCTTCACACCTAGGTTTCTCTTTTCTTTCTCTATAGCCTCTTTATCTCGGTCACACTCCTTACAATTTTGACTGAAAACCCCAATTTAGTCAGGGAAGGATAATTTTTTATTAATCTTTCCTTTGCCTGTATGTGCAAATGGGAAATAAGGATAGTCCAGGAAATCCTTGAAGAAAGAGAAAGTAAAAACATGTATACACTGAGATCCTTATTGATTCATTGATATTTATGAGGATACCATTGTTCCTATTATAACAGGAAAAACAAGGCATATTTTAGTGTAGATATACCTAAGGCCAGAGATAGTCATATTAAGGTCCCCTTGCCAAGCAATTGAAGTTACTTTCACTTGTTCTCATCATGGAAAAGTGATATTTAAAATGCCCAATGAGAGGAAATGATTCTTCTGAAGCCATTAGGAGCAGCTTCTTTATTCTTGACTCTAGCTGATTAGTGATGACGATATAGCTAAAGAAAAGAAAGTAAGCTAAGGAGGTAACCTAGAAAGCTGTGTTCAGAGAGGAATGGTTTGTTATTATGGTCAGGACTGTTTGGAGGAGGGAAATATTAAATTTGTTGAAAATGAACCATTCAGTCCAGTAAAGAGATTATATCTGACATGGAGAAGAAAGGTTTCATTGGATCTCATCATGGGCTAGATGAAATGTTCTCCAATTATGAAAATAACTAGCATGAATTCTGTACTCAGCCAAGTATATTTCTGCTTAAATCATCTACAAAAATGTTAAAAATTGCTCACTTTATACAACTGGGAAATGGATAATAAGGCAAAAGTTGAAAATGTCTATATTATGGCAAGTCTTATTAGTAGCTGTAACAAACAAGTCCAAAATCCCAGTGGTTTAACACAATAAGAGATTCTATCTTGCTGACATGACTATCTAATGCAGGTAAACAAGTTTATGACTTTATGTAGTTACTCAGAGATCCAAGTTTCTTTCTTGCTAGGACTTCACCGTTTTCAGCTTGAGACTTCAAGGTCCACTGGTATTGTCTATCCATTGACAGATTAAGGGAAGAGAACTAGCCACATGAGCCAACTTAGAAAAAGTAAACAATGTGTTTTAGCTAAGTGCCCAGAAGGAAAATGAAACAGCTGAATGCATGGAATTGTCTCACCCATCATGTAGATATAGGTTAAAGTTTCATTCTGACACAATACTTATTTCTCATAAAAGTAAGAAAAATTATAATGAACATGATTGTAGTTTGCAAACCTCCTATATCAATGTTAAATAAAAGTTTTCATACTTGTCAATTTTAAGGGATGACTAATTATAGGTTGATTTATCTAGTACATATCATTGACATTAGAAAAAATAAAAGCATATTTTTGTTGCTTTATCCTCTGATTTCTTTTTTATAAACAACTGTTCTTAGATCTTATTTGTTGTAGTACTTACTGAAATATAATATCACCAAATTTGTGTAAATTCACTTATTTCCATTTATTTACTGTTAAATCTCAGTTTTTACTAACTGAAGTCAAAATTAACAAAGTTATGTAATGAATGAATATTTGCAAGTCAAATATCAAAATAGTTAATGGCCTTTTGATTACACCAAATATCATAAAATCGTATTTTGTATTGACTTGCTAGGATATCAAGTTTAGAACATGTACATGCTTTTTTTTAAATCTATCCCAATGTATAGTTATTTTTCATAGATTCATAACTCTAAAAGATAATGCTTACTCATACACAATGCAATGTTTAAGTGAAAAATTCCATGCCAAAGAAATAAGAGCTGATTTTACAGTTTCATTTAATCATACCGTCTAGTCTTTGTCTCTTTGGGGACTTTAGTATTTTTTCTTTGCTCACATACTTCTCTTCTTACTTCCTTTCTTATTGTCAGAAAATGGCAATATTCCATTTTTAGTCACCAGAAAGAGTTTCTACTTCAGCTTTATCCCAGTTTATTCAAGACTCCATTCACCATCATCTCCTTAGGCTCCAGAAACTTAATAAGTTTCTTAAAATGTGTCATCTAGTTCTAATTAAATGTCTCCAAATAATATTGGTAGGGAACTTTGGCAAACACTTTAGACACATTATCTAATAGCAAAGTCAGTTCATATTCCCTACCCCCTTATTGCCCTTGTTCCCCATGTAAGGATGCCAGAAAGACAATTTAGGCAATTTAATGTAGGCTGAAATCAGTAATCTCATGAGGATGGGAGGAGGGGAGCGAGTCAGTCACAGTAATTGAAAACAAAGAAGTTGGACTGAAAACGAAGATATTTGGAACCTTCAAAACTCTAGCTCTTTATTTCTGATGGAGTAATTTAGTATTTTTTATTCAGTTTCTATCTTTCTCAGTGTAACACAAAGCAAATTGTTTCTTGTAACACAGCCTTTATTGAGGCATAAATCCATGCCTTTTAATTTGTAGAACTTCTTTGGATAAAACTAGTATTTATACATAATGACAATGATAATGATGATGCACATATTATCACAGGGTAACTACACACATTTTGTATAAGAAAAAAATGTGTGTTTACAAAGGATATCCCAGAGAGGACCAGGTAATCGCCAATTGCCTTTGAAAAGGATAATCATTACATGTTAATTTTTTATTACTGTCCAGTATCACTGGCAAATTCTTGCAAATTTTACTAACTTAGAAACCTGATTTTATCTCCTGGGGCAAAATTATCTTAAACAAGTTCAAAGACCACATTAAACCTAAAGGTTAACCTTCATCCTCTTAGTGCCACCACATTCTCTGTAGGTAGTCCCACTTGGGAAGCTAATTATAGTCAAAAGATTGTTGATGACCATAGAACAAGTACAAACGATAAATCAGCTCCATAATAGCATAAGGCAAAAGAAGGACTCTTTTCCAAGGGATCGAACTCTTTAAATATATTAGCTCTCATGAGTTTTTGCAGTCATTAGCATGATAAAAAAACACCCTGCCAAAAGATGACTGCTGAATAGTGATTTATTAGACTTGACAACATTACCCTCTGGGATATTCTTTTTTTCTCTCTACTTCCAAAATTTACTGATCCTCTTCAATGTCCATTCTATCCTTTTATACATTACAGATTCAGTGTAGTTATCGTAGAATAAACTATTTTATCTTAAATGGCCTAGATTTAATTTCTTTCAATTTTATGTCTTTAATCAGAGTTTTGATATTATAACTCTAGAGAGAACACGCTGAAAAAAAGATTTTATCCAGTCTCAATATTTTTTAGATATATTTCTTTGTTCTTCTCAAACGTGCCAAGGAATGGAGTATATAATATATATTTGCATACATGCTATTTAACTCTTTAAAGCCCACATTGAATATTAGCAAGGAGATATTCATGCCTATATGTGTACACATTAACCAACAAAGGGTAAGTTTCTCTGTCCCTGGAAAACTCAAGACAGGGTTTACTAGAATTTGCCCTAGGAGTGAGAATGAGAAACGTGGAATTAGGGAAGATCCAATGAAAATTATGCATATTAATGGAGGGCTAGGCAGGACAATAACAAGTGAAGTCCCAATTCTGGCTTAGAAATTAGTCTGATGGGACAACATATCCAATTAAGAATATCCAACTCAGAAATGTGAAGATTTCCAAAATGTTTTGGACAGTGTTACTTTTAGCAGATTCATAAGTTACTGATTTATGAAATGTAGTGAACTATGCCTGAAAATGAAGGTGTGGAACAGAAAGAAAATAAAAAATAACTTAAAAAGAAAGTTCTTTTTCTAGATGACACAGTACTAGAGAAGTAAAGAGATAAAATTAAGAAGCATATTAATTTTTTAAAAACAACTGCATGTGACACTGAAAATATAGATGAGGAAAGCCAAACACCAAACCTGGGTCTCATCCACAAATCATTCCAATTTCAGTAGTCCAGGGTATGGCTTAGGCACTGGGATTTTAAAAAGCTCTAGAGCTGATTCAAATATGTGACCAAGGTTGAGAATCACTGCACCAGAGAAGTGACTTGTGATGCAGACTCGGATGTAGGAGACAGAAACACTAATTAAGTCTGGAACATTGAACTATTGAACAAAGTCTTGAGGAGAATGTGGTAAGTTTTTTACTAGGCTCCTGGGGGCACAGACTTCAAAAATATCAACAGCAACTTCAGTTTGAAAATATGCTGAGGTTGATTCTTCAGATCAGTAGCCTCCAACCTTTCTGGCACGAGGGACTGGTTTTGTGGAAGACAGTTTATCCACTAGGGATGGTTTCAGGATGAAGCTGTTCTGCCTCAGATCATCAGGCATTAGATTCTCATAAGAAGCAGGCAACTCAGATCCCCTGAATGCACAGTTCACAATAGTGTTTGCATTCCTATGAGAGTCTAATGCTGCTGCTGATCTGACAGGAGGTGGAGCTCAGGCAGTAATGCTGGCTGGCCTGCCGCTCACCTCCTGCTGTGTGGCCTGGTTCCTGACAGGCCTCACAGCTTGTTAAGAACTGCACAGGCAGGGGATTAGAAATTCCTGCTTCAGGTGAAAAAAGCATGGGGAATAGAGAAAACTTTCCGAGGGGTAGACTTCTTGAAATCCATAGCAGGAGGAAAGGGAGAAGCCACTGGGCATATAACATCCAGGCTGGAGAACCCTCTGGCTGAAAATACATGCTCACTAGAGAGTCTGTCATATGATAGAACACATATGCAATGCAGCATCAATTGCCAGAAAGATAGGTCTTAGCACAAAAAGGGGAATTCAAAGCCTTCAAATATTCAGAAAGAAAGAGAAACTTCAGGTAAGACTGGATGACTGATTCTGCCACCATTGCATATTTACAAACTGTGCCAGAAAACGGAAAGATCTCAAATGTTACTCTGAGAGAAGGAACATTATATTAGGGAGAATTTTCCTAGTTCAATTCTTCTTAAATCATAGGCTCATCAGAATGATCTGGCTTGTTCACTGAGCTCCTTCCGTAGAGTTTCTGATTCCCTAGGTCTGGAGTGGGATCTGAGTATTTGCATTCGTGACTAGCTCCCAGGTGATGCTGATGCTGCCAGTTCAGGGACCACACTTAGAGAAGAACAGCTCTAATATTAGTCAAATGTGGCATCATAATTTAACTTTTGGTGGGGCATTTCTCCAAATTGTGTTTGAGTACACAGGTTACAGACCAGAGTCAAGGGACATAAAAACTGACTAACATCTGGATGAGGCTAAACCAAGTTGGTTTCCATCTTATGACTTTCTTCTGGAACAATCAAATCTCTTCTTAGATCCTCTGTTGATCCCTTTTCTCACTCCTAAGCTAATTGATGATTGAGAGAAGGAACTGGCCCCAGATGGTTCCCCTTCCCTTTTGGGGATAATTGACTATCAATTGCATACATTTCATTTTGCCCCTGCATGAACAAAGATTTATGGGGGTAGACTTTGTCCGAGGCTTGTGGCTGGCCAGCATTGCCTGTGACTGATGGCATAGTTTATTTCTGGAGTTTTGTATTAGGAAGCTCTTACTTGCTTCACACTGAAGTCATGCATTAAATTTAGGGGGTACACCTCGCCTTTATCAACATAAAATAGAACATTTTGAGCTCTATTTCTGTGTGAATCCCATTTCTTCTTCTCACCTGATCCTGAATTTAGATAGGAATAGTGGGAGCAAGTATAGGGGTTCCCTAAAATTTAGCATTACTGCCCAGAAAACCTTTACTATTTTCATGAATCTCTATGAGTTATAATACAAAATGGTTTCAATTTTGATGTATCTATCTGACTCCTGGCTTTGTATTATGTTCCCAACTGTTATTTTTTCTTTGTCTCACTTTCTAAGTTTGTATTTGTCACCTCATAACACATGATCAGTAATATATATAAGATATGATATAGCAGATAATATAATAGAAAATTATATGTAATACATTTATTATGTATAATATTTTGAGATAAAATTATTGAACTAAGATTTATATTTTCATCTTTTTATGTTAATTTGTGTGCATATTATAGCATTTATTCATGTAAGTAACCTTAAATACTGTTAAGAAAAGGTGATGGATAAATGAGTAAATACTTTATATCTCAGATTAGCTGCCAGATTTAAAACTAATAACAGATTCAAGAACATCATTTCTCAGCATATGTATTTTGTGAGTGAACTCATAAAAACTTACATTCCAATAGATAGCTACAGATCTCGTATACATATATCTTATATGTGTCTTTTTAAACTTCCTCTATTGTGCTGAAAATACTTATAAGACTACTAGACTGAGAATGCCAAGGCACAGGAAGAGATTTGGTCTAATTTGCCTTCCCAAATTCTTGGCTCTCAGCAAAAGATTGGTAAGTGGATCTAATGTGAACCCAAGCACAATGGGGTTAGCCTTCATCATAGCCCAAATCGAATCCCTTCCTTTAAGGCATCTGTGATCATCAGCACATAAGCTTCAGTGGCTTTTAATTGAGTGAGTGATTCAATGGTAAAGTTACTTGCATTTATTAAACATTTGCTATGTACCAGGTTCTGTATTAAACAGCTAACATGTTTATCTTACTTAATCCTCAAAAGGTATCTTCTAAATAGAAAACTGAGGCCCAGAGAGGTTGTATGACTTGCCCAAGGTTATACAGTTTGTGTGACAGACCTGGCACTTACATCTAGAAGTCTGACTTTAGGCCCTGGGTTATTCAGCATTATGACAAGACTGTCTCCCAATGAGGAGGAAATGGGTGTAGAAATGAGCAACACCCAAAGCCAATAGTTTCTCCCATTATTCTTTAGTGTGTGTGTTAATGGTTATGTGCTCAAGCAGAGCCAAATTGGAAAGGAAATATCTGTACCTATTTATTCACTTAATTTAGGATACCCATTGTACCAGTCAATTCCTATTGAGAAAGCCCAGACCTAGAGCAGATAATATTCAGCTGATAATATTTAAATTACTGTTCTTCCTTGTTTTGTTTTAAAAATAAAACGCATTTGAAATCCAGAATATTTGGACTTTTACTCAAGCACAGAATTAAGGTTTTCATTAAACAAAATGAAATTTTGAATTTATCTGTCTCTCAATTTGTTCTACACAGTTGAATAAATTAATCTTGAAGCTACTCCTCTGTATTACCACTACGGCAACAATTGACTTCTAAAGGCGTTAAAAGGCTCTGCACTGTTTGGCCTGAGTTACTAAAGATGTATTTTTATGGGTTTAACATACTGACATATAGATATGTTAAGCACAGTGAAATTCTGCTTTAAACATGAGCCTGGTGCTCACATTTGTTTCCGTGATCTACATTAATTATCTAAAAGACCGTAACCATGAATACCTGGCAATGAAGCTGTATCTTAAGTTCTATTTTATCTTGAAAATAGATGAGGAAGAAATGTATTTGGCAAAGCTTGCTCAATCCTCATATTCCTGACAAAGCAGCTTTCAGTTCAGAAGGATCATATTACCTCTTGCCCCTTTAAACACTTTGACAGCTAACAGAGATGTTTGAATATTGTGTTAATTGTAATCACTTGGAAATGTTTGTTTTTCTGATTCTTAATAATCAAATCACTTAATTTCAGAGAAAAGAAACCTCAATATTGGACACAGCTCAAAGAAGTAAAGATAAAACAGAAGAAGCAGAAAAAGAATGGGGGCTTTTAGGGGCAAAGTCTCTCTCCTTTAGCATTAAAAGACTGGATTAAATTTTACTCAGAAACTTACTAGATGAAAACTCGGGGCAAAATTCTGTTCTGCAGTTATCCTTATCAAATGGTTACAATATTACCTTATTTCCAGGGTTAGTTATTTGAGTTATCTTATGTTTGTGGTCTCATAAATAATATATAATATAAATATAAAGAAGTCACCAGCAAAGATTATCAGTATTTGTTTTCCCAATGAGCCTACATGATTGTATATTTTTTTTTGCTTAAGTTTTTAAGGTTCTTAAATACTGTAGCTTAGGATGAGAATTAAATAGTTCAACACTGTTTTTAAAAGAATCTTATGGAAAGTCAATGAGACAACCATATTAAAATCTCATCAGCAAAATTCTTTCCTCCCTTCCTGTAGATCATCTTTAGTAAAGAGAGAGATTAGCTTTTATTTTTCACGTACTCTGGAAAAAGATATTTAATTCAGGCTGATCGTGTTAAAGTTTCTTCTTCCAACATAAAGTGTTGAGTATGCAAACCATATGTATGAAACTTTAAAATATACTGTATAAATTGGCCAAAGTAGGATATATTTTTAAATATAAAGATAAGTATTGCATATCTTTTGCCACCAGAATAGTATAAATATTACTAATATAAGTACTTTGTGTTCACAAAATACAGAGACAATTTCCTAGACTAATTACCCTTTAATATCAATGCAGTCCTATACCGATTTATTATATTTAGAAAAACTAATGTTAAGATACTTTTTATATATCATTATCTAAAATGTGCTTTGATTTCTGGAAGTTGTCCGGAATTAGCTTGATTCTCCTTAAGCAATTTCTGGTGTTACAGAGCATCAACATATATTCTAAAGTTATTATCTATTTATTTTTTAAAAATTTTATTTTTATCTTAAGTTCAGGGGATACATGCACAGGTTTATTATAGGAGTATATTGCTTGGTGCTGAGGCTTGGTTAGTTTGCATTGCACCATATTATAATAAAGACAAATAAAAAGAAACCATTCCTCAAAATTTAATTGATACAACTGCCCTTATTGAGTTCTCTACCATTCCTACAATTTTGTTAAATATAATTTTCATTCCTTTCAAAAATCTTCTAGAGTTTTAAAAAATTCATCATCTGTAACTGCTGTATTTTATGGCACTTCTCTTTACAAGGATGATTTTAAACAATCTAGCCACTTTATCTGTCCATGGAAGAGAATTTGCCTCAATTTTAAGATCACTGGAGGGTAATATCAAGGAAAGCATCTCTCATGCAAGAAATTTTCTATGACCAGTTTTTACTAATATTCCTTTATTCATTGCTACAGTTATTTACTGATGAATGCATATACCATATCATTCCAGAAAGGATACGGACAGTTTTAAAACAACATATGGTAATACTTTTTAAAAATCTACATAAGTAGTTGAGGTGACAAGAAAATAAAGGTAGGCAAAGTTATATGAAACCAGGGAAGACTGAGACAAAAATTGGGCTCCAGGTTGCTGAGCAGGCAAGCCATAATGACAAGCACACTCAGTTACCAATATAGAACCCAGAAAGTAAGCAACTGTTTTTAGAAGTTGTAACCCATTCTGACACTGAGACCTGAGAGAAATTTTTCTTACACATCCCCACAAAGACCATAACTTAATGTCATTGTAAATGCCCTCCATGTCATCATACAGCAAATACAATTAACAGCTCTATAGCACTTTGTAGTATAACATTTCTTGGTGTTTATTGAATACACAGGGGTAGTACAGGAAAAGTAAAAGTAATTATATAAGGCTACGTTAATTAATGTAGTAGAGGTGAGGAGGAGTTTATTAATCTGGATGAAGCCAAGAAAATTTTACTGGATGAGTGGATGTTGACATCCTTCTATAGAGCCTCTATACATCTTAATATTGCTACCAAGCACTTTGCTGGAAAAATGCATTACACATAGTTAGGGCTAATGTTGTTCTTAGAAAACAAGTTGAAGCCCCCTCCAACCTAAGCAAAATGAAATATAAATAACTTAAAACTATAACATGACAATGGAGACTTCAAATAACCACCTTCATCAAAAAGACTATCTCAGTTTAAAACACTCAAAGAATATCAACTTTTGAACAATGCAGTTTTCTGATGAACCCTTTAAGGCACATGGAAAAATGTTTTCCTAGACTAGTAAATATGTGATAAACATAAAATTATAGCCCAGAACTTAGATATATGTTGAAGAATGCATACTTACAATTAGAAGTAGTCTTATGCCATTCTTTCTTATAATAATTAGATAACAGAGTCCATTATCTATAAAGGTTACCTCTAGTTCACATTATCTACCCATAGAAAAAGGCTTTTCTTTTCCTTTTGGGAGTCGTAGAGTACTTGGCATTCAGTTCAACTAAAACAAATATCAAGTTAAAAGAACAATTTAGAGCTTGACAGAAAATGGGGGCAGAATAATAGTCTTTTATCACCCTTTTGGAAATTATTTTGTGATATGAGAAGACAGCATCACTATTATGATATATAATTACTAACTGTTTAATCTTAGTCAAGTTACTTACCTAACTACTCTTTGTCCAAAAATCCTCATCTATTCAATAGGAATAACAATAGCAATTCATAATTTTGTTGTGAGAAATAAATGAGATAATATATGTAATATGACTAGAACAGTACCTAGCACATAATAAATGCTCACTTAAGGTTAGCTGTAGTTTATCAGAAAGCAAAAAGTCTACATTTTGATCATATAGCCTACAACCCATTCCTATTCACAGCACTAGAGTAAAATGAAAGTGCAGTAAAAGCTGCAACCATTTTATGTCACACCAATAAATGTACTTACTGGGTAATATATAGCACTCTGATGGCATTGTTGGGTCTAAAACTTGCTTCTAATATAGAAAACAATGGATCATAGATATTCTAGATCATGAGAAATCACACAAATAATCAGTTTGAAATTATATTACTGAATATAATTTTCAAACACAAATAATTTAATGACCCTTTCTCAACAACTCAGGAGGCAATAAATCTACCACCATCAGTAGAAATCAACAAAGCTCAATTGAGATTCTTCCCCTGGGTTTTGGGGATGGTTTGACTTATTGACCACCTAAATCCCTAGACTCACAAATGCAAATGCAACACTTACAGTGGAATAATTCAAATTTGATTTTCAGATAAAAAACTTTTAAGTTGTTCTATCTTGTTTTAATTTTTTCATGCTGCATAACAAATTGCCATAAACTTAGTAAAGCTATACCCATTTTTTTAGCCCACAGTTTCTGTAGGTCAGAAGTTCAGGCCTGATCTGACTGGCTTCTCTCCCAAGGGTCTCACAAGGTCAAAGTCAAGGTGATGACTAGGGCTGTGGTCTCATGCAGAGCTCAGAGTTCCTTGTGTCTGTAGGCCTGAGGACCACATATGCTTACTGGCCATCAGTTTCTCTCACCATTTACAGGCCTTCTACATTCCTTACCAAATTGGTCCTTCTATCTTTTAAGTCATCAACACACAGTTCACTTTGCTTTGAATCTCTGTCATGCTTCAAATTTTGACTCTGACATCAAGATGCTGATTTAAACATCTCATGAGTTTAGGTCAGGCCCTTTTAGGTGGTCTCCCTTTCTTAAATTCAACTGTGCCATATAGTATAGCCCAATTATAGAAGTGATATCCCCAAATACCCATGATATTAAGGATTATAGAGGGCATGGGTATACTAGGAATGGGACTTTTAGGGAACATCTTAGAATTCTGCCTGCAATATACATCAAAGGCCTTAAGAATTAATCTGCCAAAGCCTAAACCAAGGGTCTATTACACTAGTCCAAAATGCCAAGTCTTATAACTTATAAGAAACTGGTACATATGTTAAAGGCATTGTTCAGTTATCCTATAAATTTATAATTTTAGAACAAAGGTTTTCTATTCTACAGATGAGATAAATTCTAGGCTGAAACAGGCAGAAACACACACATAGGAGATTTAAAAAAATATGAAGAATCTCATCCTACCATTTTCCATGTGCTTTACTTACCATGGATTTTTTTCTTTAACTGTACCCTATATTGGTTACGTTAGTAGTATTTAGTCAGAATGTTTCATATGAAATCAAGAACATTTGAAACAACTCACCTTAATATATAAAAATGAGATAAATATGCTTACCACGAGTCACTGAAATCTGGACTTCCAGGACTGCATGAAGAAATTCATGTCATGAGTAACTCTATTAATCTATTCACATGACTGGATCTATCATCTTTACTTTACATCACCCCATAAGAAATTGTGTGCTGTTTTTTTTGCTTGTTTGAAAAGCAATTCATTTTAATTTGTTAATATCTGAGCTAAAGTTCTTCTAAATTTTGTTCCTCATGTCATCTTATTTACTTTATCATATATTTTTGTTTTTGTATTTCTTTTTTTCTTAGATAATGGATGAGTGAGTTGGTTGATTTCTTGTTACTAGGTCTACCCTATAAATATTTTAAAAAACTACAGGTTTTATTTTAAGTGCATTAGAGTTATTATAGCATATGTATATGCCTATTTATATCTGTATCTATACCGTCTACCTACAAACTGGTTTTTCTGATCATGAGTTCATCACCAAGGAATGTTAAGTAAGGGATAACTAATATATTTCAGTCAACCACAAGGGATTGTTAGTGGCTCTCTGGATCCCTCACTCACTGAGTATTCTAAGTTTGGTTTGAAGTAAAATTTCTCAGAAAGGACTCTGTGTAAAATTAGAATTGTTTGTATGTGGTAAAGGCTGAAGTATGTAAAGACGCAATGCTTTATATTTGGTATTTCACATTATATTTGGCATTCCACAGGAAGTTGTTGTTCCAGAAAACACAGATACTAAGATAATATTGTATATTAAGTAATGTTTATACAGATATGTTTGTTAGCTTAAATTTCTTGATGTCATGAAAAATGTCCGAACCTCATGAGAATGCCTACAGCTTTATGGGCAGTGAAAATGATCCTGATGGTAAGGAATGGGTTAAAAGAGCTCTGCAGATATAGTCATTTTTTTCATTTTTGCCTAGAGAAGCCATGATCCCAAACAGCATTTTTTTTTCTATTGTGTATTTGGACTTGTGAAAGGAATAAATAGCACCCTTGAAACCATTCCCAAAACCTACTCAAAATAGAAGATTCAGTTATAGTGATCATCAAATCTCTCTGATCCTCTGGAATAGTTTGGGGGGAAATGACAAATAAGTTTGAACTAAAATGTTTAATTTGATAGATAAATTCAGAAATGCACTAACTTTTTTTTAAAAAAATGTGTTTTTATGCAAGATGAAAAAAGAAGCAAGGCAGATGAATTAACCACTGAAAAACTTTCATCTTATATTCTACATTGATGCATCACATTGGAGATGTAGAAGTCACATAGGCCAAGATTGTTGTTATCAACCATAAATTCTCAACAGAAAATCCTGTTAACAGACAGAATCCATACAGTGAAATAAATCAAACAGTGAATATTAATAAAGACTTAGAGTCACAATCAAATGTGCAGAAGAAAAATAATCTGCTGTAGAGCCTAAACTTTACTAAAGAGAGGAAAAATGGGAGGGAAAGATGAAATGAGGGTCAAAAGAGGGTGAGGGTGAAAGTAAGAGAGAGAAGGGGGAGAGGGGAGTAGATTTTTAAAATCTATCACATTGTGAAAATCTGACTCTTGTATTCATAAGGCAACATAAACAATATTGAAAAATTTTAGTATCTTCTTAGTAAAGATATATCTAAGTTCAATACAAGTTAAATATACGATTTCATCTAAATATTTTCTATCCTTGGTTATCAAAAGTAGTTATTCTAAGAAGATTTACACTTTAAAGATTGCCCAAAATATGTTATGATCCTTTAAAGGTGATGTAATTTCTCTTTTTGTTTATTTATAGTTAATTAGTCTTTGTCAGTGTTGCACATTAGTTACACTCCTGCATTTCAAGGTCTGTTTGCTTTCTGATTCATAAAGATTAGCCTGTATCCTTTAGTTATATTAAAAGACTTGTATTTAATTAGGAACATGTCATATCAGATTTATGGAATGGGCTACAACCTTGCCAATTTCTACATTACTGCCGGAGAGACAATCAGTTATTTAGGGAAGCACATTCACTGTTGAGCTACAGTGGAGTTCCAAACTATTGTTCTTTCTCTCTATTATTATTTTCTTCTAGTTTATTTCAATCTCACATCTTTCTCCTTTACCCCAAATTTTCCACATCATTGCGTGCATACCATTTTAACTCTTTTCCTTGCTGATTGACTTTTTCTAATTTTCTCTGTTCTAACTTCACAGAAATACATTTTTATGTTCAATTTGGCAATAAAATTTGAAGGAAATAACATGAGCTTTAAAAAAACAAAAGACTAGCCAGGTGCAGTGGCTTACACCTGTAATCCCAGCATTTGGGAAGGCTGAGGGGGGTGCATCACGAGGTCAAGAGATCAAGACCATCCTGGCCAACATGGTGAAATCCCATCTCTACTAAAAATACAAAAATTAGCTGCGTGTGTCCTAGCTACGAGCCTGTAGTCCTAGCTACTCGGGAGGCTGAGGCAGGAGAATTGCTTGAACCCAGGAGGCGGAGGTTGCAGTGAGCCAAGACTGCGACACTGCATTACAGTCTGGGAGATGGAGCAAGACACTGTCTCAAAAAAAAAAAAAAAAAAAAAAGGGCAAAAGACTGTTCCGGTATTAACCTCCAAAAGATTGAACATGTTTTGGAGAAAAGGTTAATATGAAATTATTAACATAAAATCTTTCTACTTATAAAAAAACCCAAACATCTATTTGAGGAAAACAGACCCAAGTCATTCCTCATCCTATGCTTTTTAAAGTTTCAAGAGTAGGAGGATCGATTACCTCAACTTTATCAACAGGTATGTTTTCATAGTTGTACAAATTATCCAGGTCTTCTAAGGTGGCATCATAGGTTTCTGAGTCATAGTTGATGGACTCTAGAGTTGGGGCAGTCACAGCAGCATCAAAGATGACAAGTCCCAGAACAAGTCCTGCTAATGTCTTCATTTTTCAAGCTTTCCTAATTATAAAATATTAAAATGCATAAATATTTAATTGATAACTTATGAATAGTTTGCACTAAATAGAAATGATAAATTAGTGTCAATATCAAAGAACTCAAGCTGGTAGCTTTCCTTCCATGGATAATTTATAAACATAACACACAAAATCATCTGATTTCCTAGGACCATTGCTGCCAGATGTTCAAATTAATTCACAAACCTGTCTCTAATTTTACAGTGGATATTTTAATTACAGTAAAATTTTATTTTATTTTATAGAGAAAAACAGAGCTTATTCACAAAAGCTTTTCATCATCTAATAATTTTACCATTTAATAAACATTAAGATCCTTCATCAACTCTGGGATATGAAGTTGAAGATGATAAGGATAATGATGATGACGGTGATGATGACTGCAACTGTCATACCATTTTATAGGTGAAGAAACTGAGGCAGAGTTGACTGGTAATGCAACTAGGATATCCACAAATAATTCCAATTTCAGTGATCCACAGTGTGGCTTAGGCATTGGGGTTTTAAAAATAATTTTAAAAATAGGACTCATAACTGTTTCTTGTACATTTAAGTCTAAGGCCTTCTTCAGAACAAAGTAACAAAGTTTTGTTTGTTTTTTCTGTTACTTCTTTGTAGCCTCTGGACATATAAATACATACATTGTTTAATATGTACGTTAGTATTTCATGCAATATTGTTCAAAATGCTCCTAATGAAATAGAATAGAAAAAAAATTTCCTTTAGTCCTCAGTATTTTATTTAATTCTTAATAGCTATCTAAGATTTGAACTCAGAACCAACAGGAATACATGTTTAAAAGGCACTATTTGGTAAGATTCCCTTGTATGCCTGTGGGATTATAGCCATCTTTGTTTTTTAATTCCTTAATAAGCACAATTCTTATTTTCCATTATAACATTATGCTTTTTGAGGATTCAATCAAGATCCTATAATTTAATTATTTTTTTAGTTCTGTATGTACTCATTTGAATACATTTTGGTTTAGAAAAAAAATCTTCACATTTAATTTGAAACATTTAAGTTAGTCTTACCAAAATGTTACCTAGTGATCCCTTATTGAGCAGGCAAAGTATTGTAAAATTCTGTATCAAGCATGTCTAATTTTAGAGGCTTTTACATTTGGACACACTTCTTGGGTTTACTTTAAGAACAGTACCTGTGGTGTTACTACCTATGCATACATATAAAAGGGAATTCATGATAAATATTACTTTTAAACTTGAATGCACTGGCAGACAAAATGACCTTCAGTTACTTGAAAGAAAGCCTTTATGAAGCAGGTTTAGGCAGAAGGATATGAAATTCCTCTGAGAATAAGAAGCAGTACAAGGAGCTCCTTCTTAGCTCTCCTATGCTTTCTTCAAATAAATTTCTTATTCACACAGGATAAACTAAGCCTCTATTTCAGTTGCCTTTGCAGAAGTCTTTGCAGGATTGCAGATTTGGAACTGTTCTAGGCAATTACCAACAAAGTCCTACTTAATAAAACAGTGGGTTTGCAAATCTTCCAGGAACCATTCTCCCATAATCAAGTTGGAAACATTAACAGAAGCCACTACCAACTTAAAAAAAATTTTTCCTTATATGTTTCTGGCAACTTCCATTATTCAAAGAAATTATACACTTGCTGGCCTTTTTTCTCACATCATACTATATTTGATTACATATAGCTACATCTCAGAATTTGCTTGCATTTTGCATCACTCCTAGAGCTATCAACTATAAGGCAGGCTGTGTGAATCTTAAAAATATATACAGCATCTATCTATGTTTAGTTAAAAAATTTATATTCCTTTCTTCAAGTAATTGTATTAGCATTTAATGTAGTTTCTTAATTAACACTTTAATTTTGTGTTCACTTTATACCATTTATTAATATTTTAAAATTTGTGTATTTAAAACTTTCAATATATAGCTCAAAAAAATTTTAAATGCATAATGTCATGTAATCATTACAATACTTTTAATCTCAGGAAATTTCACTATTTCCTCCCTTTTCACAAAATTTCAATTAATATCAATCAATAGTGCCTGTCTATACTGGCAAAGAATGTGGTCTGTGTCAGGAAACTTTACTTAAGGCATATATTGGAAACTACTCTAATTTTATTGGCATCTGTCATGACTACTGAGATTAACTATTTGCTGTATGTTATTAATTCCTAAGCTAATTCAAAATTTTGGATTTTCCAAGAATAATATAAATACAAAGTCAATAACAAAAATAAACCAAATCCATTGAATCAAAATTCACCAGATGACATTAAGGCAAGTTAAATTATTTTTTAAAGGTTGTTATAGTAGGGAAAGAACTCTGACCCAAGAAGAAAGCAAGTATAAAAACTTACCTTTGGCTCTGACCTGATGAAATGGCACAAAGTGACTGAGGATGCAGAGCTAGTGGTATTTGCCCCTGACCAATGGCTGTGAATTCTGGTCTGTGGGAGGTGGAATTTATAACACTCAACTTTCTGTTTGCAAAACCTAATATTGAGAAATACTTCTCAGTCTTTAAAAAACCTCAAATTATTTTATAGTCACCCAAACTAAGCAGTAGGATCCAAATCACATAGTATACAAAGTTCTTGAAATTATGTTAATGGAGTTATAATTGCCAAAGTATCACCTTAAAATTTTTAAATGGAAAAAGTTGGATTTAACATACCTCATCTGTAACAAACTCACCAATTAAGAAATGAAGTTCATGTATACAGTGATACTATAGATGGATATTTTAGTTCTAATAAGAAATAATTTTCCCAAAACTTGAAGTCTTGAATTGCTTTCTTCACTTTTCATTAATGTTAAGTGAAATTTGGTAAATGTTGCAGAAACCTTACCTGTTTAATATTGGGTAAGTAAAAAAAGATATCCCAATTATTTTGATTGCATGGAATGCTTTGATAGCAAAACAGGGAAAAATGAACCTTTTGCATAACTTTAAAAAAATTACATCCAGAAGTGATGCATAAATATGATCTGCGTGTTTTGGGGAGAAAAGGGGCTTTTTTTAAAAAAAGTTATTGTATCTATCATAGACAAATAAATCAAATTACACATTTTTTCCTTAGAATAGGAGCTTTATTTTAAGCTCTTGTTAACTTCCATGGTTTGTAAAATTGAACTTTAATACAAATATGAAGAGAAAAAATATGCTTTAAATTTCCATACCTCAATTTTACATTGTATAAGTCCTAGAGAAAGGTGAAAGTTGCATCTTGTATTCTGGTATGCTTTAGATAAATCTAGGAATTTGGTTCTCACTTATGCTTCAGGAATCTTTTCCTTCATGTCTGCAAGTGAATAGATGTATTGAATTTTGAAAGCGGTATTACTCCTGGGCCAAGTGATGGGAGAGAAGAAGGTTTGTCTTTAAGGTTCTCTCACTCCCCTTCCTGCCTCTGCTCCCATCTTCCCTGCCCTCAAAATGTCTTTGCCCATCTATTCAGGGCATTCTTATTTGTCATCCCCATCATCCAACCCTGTTTCCAAATGATTTGTTCTTAGTATGCATTGTTTTTCTCAAAAACAATTTTATTTGGAGCAGAAACAGTGATAATGGGTAATGTATGAAGTCTACCAAGACCTCTCAAAAAATAGAGAGGCCATCTTGGAGACAGGAACTTATTTCTGGCATCTGTGAAGTCTCACCCCACCATATAAAGGCCACTTTTAGAAGCAGTGCTGGAAAGATGCCTGAATCCAAGTTTCTAGGCTTGTCCTCTTTAGAAGCAAGGTCCACGTGGGGTGTCAGGTGATTTCATATATGATTGTTAATCACCTCAACACATTCTTAAGCAGAGTGCTTACCACTATTCACAGATGGGACTACTGAGACTCAGATGATAAATGATACAGCACCATGTGTGACACAAAAAAAGAGGAAATCAACTTGGCTTTTCTCTGTGTCAGGTCCCTAGACATGATTGAGTCTGTCTGAGGGATACGTGTATACACAAAAAGGCAGTGTTAGCTCTCAGTTCCACGCATTTCTGATTCAAAGCCTATTTATCTGTCACTAGCTTCAGGCTCTGCTGAATGTTTTAGAAGAAACAACAGATTCCTTGAGTATCTATGAAAATACCAACTTTCTTCCTTTTCCCTCAATATTTGATCTAGTACTCTGTGCACCTTGTTAGGTGACAGAGAGGTGAGAGCTACCTAGCTTCTTGCTTTCTGGAGGGCTCTGGTTAAACTTACAAGACTATTTCCAGAAATATTGTTTCGACACTATCCTTTGTTGAACTGTTGGTGTTTAAATTGTGTCTTCCTTAGGCTTCAGAACACTGTGCAGTTGAAGTCCGATTTTCATGACAATTTAAAGGCCAAACTACTTGCCTTTGTGTAGCATTGCAAGCAGAAATGATCATTCTTGAACCTTTTCTTCCTCCAAATAAATACGATTTTTACATTTCCTTGTAACAGTTGATTTCTTAAATCATTTCTCTATCTTATTGGGACCCTCTCCAATATTTCAAAATCTATTTTGAAGTGTGAGCCCTCAAATTGGTTACAATCACTCGAGGACCTAATCAAGACTGAGCAGTGAGGAAGGATAAGTTACCAGCTCCAGCCTTTCTTATCCTTGGTGAATATCTTCTAGTCTCATGATAATTTTCTTAGTAGTGCCCATGCTTGGTTATTAGAAACCCTTGGGTGATCAGTTATTATGACTCCTGGCATTATTTAGAAACAGAGGCTTTGCAGCTTTATCTCTTTAAGCCCCAAAACACTTTACAAAACCTTTTGACTGTAACTCTTTACAAAATTAATTAAACACCGCTCTGCTTGCTTAAACAGAATTAATTTTAAACTAAACACAGTTTTCTCCCAGTGATTACTTTCTCTCTGTTCTACAGCAAAGGTGAGCAGACACTGTGAGGACAGCCCCGTGCTGCCTGCCCTTGCCCCTGACTTCAAAAGGTGACATTATTAAGAGCTATGGGAGGGTGTAGATATTCCACCTCACTGATTATAAGGGAAAACAAAAAAAAAACAACAACAAAAATTCACTGCAATGATTACCTATCTTCCAAAAAAGAACTATTAAGATAAGCCTCATGTTGTCTCAGAGGCCTCCTACTCAGCAGAAATCCAAAGCCCCAGGCCTTCATATCACCATAAACCCACATGTACCATGCTGATTTTATCCAATCTTCTCCTCCCAGTATCTTTCAAGCCTTCTCTGCAATATTTGTCTCAGCTTCTTTCAGAAAATCTTCCTTTATTTCCATTACCTTAAAAGAATCTGGCTGTCTCCTGACAAAGGTTTTCCTCTGCAGTCCTTTCAAAGTGGTGGTTGGTTGGCTGTTCGTCCTCCCCCACATAATTTAAGAATGGAGAGTTTTTTTGTGCTCTGCATTTTCTCTCCGAAATGATCTCTTTACTTTTTCAAAAACATTATTCATTCTGAAACTCAACATGTGGCTTAGTTACCCACAACATCCTCCCTGTCATCAGCTGCTAGACATCCTTGTCCAGCTCTTTTATGGTTGATGACTTTTGCAACTGGTTCATTCATTCCCTCCATACATGTCCATCATCATTCACAATTACATGAACCTCCATGTGTGATCCATCTATCATGGTGGCCTGGTGGTTGCTTTGTCTTCTCACATGTAGAAGTTACCACATTCCTACCCAGCCTCTCACCATCATTGTTGAACCCATCAGCTTGTTATCACCAGGCATTATATAACCTACCAGTAGGGTACTGTTATCATTTGTCTTTTTGCCTCATGAGACTTTCATTCCATAGACCTCATCACTTTTTTACCATCCATTAAAACTTCTATCTTCACTTTCTCCTTACCCTTGGATTCCATGGGCCATTATCATAATTACTCCCTTTCAAACACTTTTGCTCTTTCTCTTTTCCCTTCTATTATACTCACCAGGGAAAACCTCAACTTTGGTTTAGCACAACTCCCAAGTGTCTCCCATTCTGCATCTGAGAAACTGTATATTACTAGTGAAGATCACATACAATGACAATTGGTTTCACTTCAAGTTCTTTCAGATAAGCTTCAACCTTGGCTGGCAGATCTAGTGTGTTTCTAACGTTGATCCCCTTTCCAACATTAAGATGAATATTTTATAACATAATTTCTGTCTTCAAAGATCCTATATTCCATTTCTCTGCACTGAAAAGATAGAAGTCATCAGAGAAATAGTTAACTTTCCACTATCAAATTCACCTGCACTTCTGCGTATCTTCTTTGACTTCCCTGTTACAACAGTGCAAGAAGTAAAAAATAAATTCCCATTCCTAGGCTCCTATTCCCTTTTCTCTTCTCAAGGGTTGTGTTTATTCAGTTGTCTCCTCCTTCTACGTAAAGTATCCCATGCTTCTACTAGATCGATTCCATGTAAATGCACACATTCTCTGAGCATGGGGTCAGGCAGGTATTCTATATAAACCAAATGAACTGAATTAAAGTCAATCGAAAGTGGTAGATACAACAGCAAATTAGAGAGAACATGCTAAGTCTAAAGGAATTCAAAATCAAATGATTTAAAATTACTATAGAATCCAAAAATGTATCTGCAGATTTAATTCAGTCTATAAATCCTTCAAATTTGATTTCTGCAATTATGCTTTTTTTTTAACAATATAATGGCCCTTGAAGTCTACATTTTCATCTGCTACAGTCCTATTTTTAAGTGCCCTTTTTCAGAAAAATAAATTCCCAAATAAACAGTATGCATTGGCTGTTTCTGCTTGCTCTGTTCCCATTCACTCATCATTTCACTGCAGTCTGGGTTCTGTATGAATGGTTTTCTGGCTTTGTCTTAATTAATGTCCCAGCAGCCTACCTTGGTCTTGATGTGGTTTTTCTCTGACCACATGAGCTATGCTTTCTCAGTTTCTTTGTTTGCCTTCTTTTTCTTGACCCAACCTCTAACTTTTAGAGTGCCTCAGGTTTTAATCATATGATTCATCTTTTCTCTAGTTATCCTTTCTCTGTGGGTGACCTCACCTGCTTCCATGCTATAATTACAACAAAAACAATAATATGTTAACAATAACTAGTTTTGAATACATACTATGAGCCTGACATTGCTTATTATCCTCATCTATGGAAGAGGAAACTAAGGTCCAGGGAGGTTAAGTGACTTCAACAAATAAGAAGCAGAGCCAAAATCAAAGCTGAGCAGTCTGGCAGCAAAGCCCAAGTTCTTAACCACAACACTGAGCTAACATTTTATGTGTAAATTGTCCAGCTTTACATCCTCAGCCCTCATGTTTTATTCTGAGTCAAAGATTCATATATGCCGTTGACTACTTAGAACTTGACATCTTCACTTGGATGTCTAATTAGAAAATCACAATACACCTGATATGATGGCTTTTAGACCCACTCTAAGCTTTGACCGTCTCCTCTTCCCAGTGATTAGGTGGTATCACATTACCCTAGTTGGCTCCAGCCCAAAGCCATAAAATTGCTATTGATTTCTTCCATTTCCTAATGTTTCCCCCTCCATCCAATCTATCAAAAGAAATTAATTCTACTACAGATGTATCTCATTTCACAATCATCTCTCTCTGGTACTACCAGAAAAGCATATTACCAAGTCTTCCTGCTTCCTTTTTTTTCTGTTTCTATCATTCATTCATCAAACACGAGCCAGAGAGATAAAGAAAAAACTACATAAAACTCCACATTTTCTGTCTGTGTGTTTTATCTACTTTATTTTATTTTTAAATTATATTGCTTGATTTTTTTCATTATAAAGTTCTGGGATACATGTGCAGAATGTGCAGGTTTGTTACATAGGTATTCACGTGCCATGGTGGTTTGCTGCACCCGTCGATCTGTCATCTACATTAGGTATTTCTCCTAATGCTATCCCTCCCCTAGCCCACCACCCACTGACAGGCCCCAGTGTATGATGTTCCTCTCCCTGTGTCCATGTGTTCTTGTTGTTCAATTCCCACTTATGAGTGAGAACATGTGGTGTTTGGTCTTCTGTTCCTATGTTAGTTTGCTGAGAATGATGGTTTCCAGCTTCATCCATGTCCCTACAAAGGACATGAACTTTTTTATGGCTGCATGGTATTCCATGGTGTATATGTGCTACATTTGCTTTATCCAGTCTATCATTGATGGGCATTTGGATTGGTTCCAAGTCTTTGTTACTGCAAACACTGCTGCAATTAACATACATGTGCATGTGTCTTTATAGTAGTATGATTTATAATTCTTTGGGTTTATACCCAGTAATTGGATTGCTGGGTCAAATGGTATTTCTGGTTCTAGATCCTTGAGGAATTGCCACACTGCCTTCCACAATGGTTGAACTAATTTACACTCCCACCAACAGTGTAAAAGCATTCTTATTTCTTCACATCCTCTCCAGCATCTGTTGTTTCCTGACTTTGCAATCATCGCCATTCTAACTGGTGTGAGATGGTATCACATTGTGCTTTCGATTTGCATTTCTCTAATGACCAGTGATGGTGAGCTTTTTTTCACAGGTTTATTGGCCACATAGATGTCTTATTTTGAGAAGTGTCTGCTCATATCCTTTGCCCACATTTTTTTTTCTTTGCAAACATTGAATAGCTTCACATTTCTCTTTGAGTGAAATCAAAACTCAAGCCATGGCCTGCAAAGCTCCCCATCAGCTAGATCCTCCCTATTTTTCCAAGCTTAGGTCAAGCACCTCTTCCTCAGTCACTCTACTTCAGTCATGTGGGTGACCTTTCTGTTCTGGAATCAAGCCAAATCAGTGTATCCTCAAAATACTGCACTTAATATTTGTTTCCACACTTTAGAATGGCTGCCTCACTTTTTAAACTTCTGCATAAATATCCCCTCAAAAGAGGCTTCCCCTGACCCCCTCCACATCAAGGTAGACCCTCTTCCTTCCCATTATAGTCTACACAACCTCCACATTTGTTTCTTTATAGCTCTTGCCATATTCTGTTATGTTTTTCTATTCTTACATATGTCTGTCCAAGGTGAATAAATATACTTTACTGGTCAGATTTACAGTTGTATTCTCAGTGCCTAAGATAGTCCTTGACTCAAAGTTTATGCTCAGTATTTTTGAATGAATTAATCAATTAATGAAATCATGAATTAATAAATAATGAATAACCATTATGATTTGCTTGAGCTATTCTAATATATAGAAGGTTGTTTGTATTTATGATAATGATAACAGGTTCTTGACCAACACACTAAATTAATTCCTTTTCCTGTTTTTTTAATTACTTTTTTTCTGTTATTTCTAGCCAAACTACCAAGCTGTTCAGTGACACTTTTCAAGCTGCTATTCATGGGCTTCTGGAAGTGAGGTTTTACTTTTATTTGCTGCTAAGACTTTCTTATGTCACCTACAAAGATACATGGCATGGACTTTTGATGAGAATCTGAAAGAGTTTCTGTACCACTTAAGACTCTGTCTGGCTAAAAGTTAAGAAAACCAAAAATCAAACTGGCTTAGGAAAAGATAATTGATTTGCCCAAGTAACAGAAAAGTACAAGTTTCTTTTTCAAGAAAGCTTCCTTTTGTAAGCATCATTCTCAGATGGGTTTCCAAATGGAGGAGATGGCTACAGCTGCTCTGTATCTTACAATTTTTTTCAGGTTGAAATCCAGAATTGAGGAATTATTTATTCTAGAAAGCCCTCCAAAATATTTTCTTTGTGTAGTCGATTCTGATCAAACTACATACTCATCACAAAAAAGCAGGGGGGTGGGATTTGGGGGAATTAAGAGTCCTAATTCGCTGAATCTTCATGTCATTCAAAGCTCTACTCAAATGTCAAATGTTACTTCAGTTGCTTCTTCCGTGACCACTTCATTTAAAATATATACAACTTCATTATAACACTTAGAACTATATGACATGATTACATAAATTATTAGTTTATGTATATCCTCCACCAGAATGTTATCTCCATGAAAACACGGTTTATCATTTTTGTCTACTGCTGTATTCCTAGCCTATAATACATAGCAGGCATTCAGCAAGTATTTGTCAGTTAAATACATGAACTGACTTAGACCTTAGGACAAATGCTTTCATCCCTTAGTTTTAAGAGAACTAAAAAAAGGGTGGAGTGGTTCTCAGCAGGGACTAGTAAAAGAATAGCAAATGGATCATGAGTAGTAGTAGTCTTTGAACCTTAGCACGTGGCCTTTCTGACACCTGTTTTGGCTAAGCTGAAGCCTCTAGCATTTCTCAGTCTTATCTGTGTTCCAAATGAATTGGATGCAAGATACTCATAGTTCAATTGATAAACAATATGTTATAGTAATATTATTAAATCTCTGCTTCATGAATAGCATGTGGTACACTGTATTTATCATATCACTTTTCACAATACACATGCTATATCAATAATAAAATAATAGTTACAGTCAACCACTATGAATACTCATTTTATCATTATAATTTGGGCTTCAGATTCTTCTCTTTTACTTGCCTTTTTTATATTACTTTTTTTTAAAAAGCTTATTGTTTTGGTATGCATCATGTCTTTTATCATTATAAAAAGAATAAGAACTAGATATGTTATTCTCTTTGTGGCTATTTTGAATAGGATTGCATTTTTTGATTTAGCTCTCAGCTTGGATATTATTGATGTATAGAAGTGCTACCGATTTTTATGTGTTGATTTTGTATCCTGAAACTTTGCCGAAATCTTTTATCAGATCTAGGAGCCTTTGGGCAGAGCGCAGAGACCATGTGGTTTTCTAGGTATAGAATCATATCACCTGAAAAGAGAGAGAGTTTAATATCCTCTCTTTCTATTTGGATGCCTTTTCTTACATTTCTTTCTCTTGTCTCCTCTGGCTAGGACTTCCAGAACTATGTCGAATGGGATGGGGAAAGTGGGAATCCTTGTGTTGTTCCAGTCCTTAAGGGGAATGCATCCAGCTTTTGCCTGTTCAGTATGATGTTGGCTGTGGGTTTTTTCATAGCTAGCTCTTATTACTTTGAGATATGTTCCTTTAATGTCTAGTTTGTTAAGCGTTATTAACATGGAGGGATGTTGAATTTTATTAAAAGCCTTTTCTGCATCTATGGGAATGATCATGTGGTTTTTGTTTTTCAGTTTTATGTGATGATTTACATATGTTGAACCAACCTGGCATCCCACGGATAAGGCCTTCTTGATTGTGGTGGATTAGACTTTTGGTGTGCTGCTAGATTCGGTTTGCTAGTAGTTTGCTAAGGATTTTTGCGTCTATGTTGGTCAGCAATATTAGCCTGAAGTTTTCTTTTGTTGTTGTTGTGTTTCTGCCAGGTTTTGGTATCAGAATGATGCTCGCCTCATAGAATGAGTTAGGAAGTAGTTCCTCCTCCTTGATTTTTTGGAATAGTTTCAGTAGGATTGATACCAGCTCTTCTTTATAAATCTTGTGGAATTTGGCAGTGAATCCATCTTGTCCAGGACTTTTTCTGTTTTTTTTTTAATTAATGATTCAATTTAGGAATTTGTTATTGGTCTGTGCAGTTTTAATTTCTTCTTGATTCCATCCTGGGAAGTTATTTGTTTCCAGGAATTTATCCATTTATTCTGAATTTTCTAGTTTGTGTGCATAGTGGTGATTATAGTTGTCTCTGAGTGGTTTTTGTTTGTTTGTTTTGTATTTCTATGGGGTCAGTGATAATGTATCTTTTGCCATTTCTGATTGTGCTGTTTGAATCTTCTCTCTTTTTTATTAGTCTAAGTAGCAGTCTATCCATCATATTTATTCTTTCAAATATCCAGCTTTGAGTTTTGTTGATGTTTTGTATGGGTTCTCACATCTCCATTTCATTCAATTCAGCTCTTTTTTTTTTTTTCCTGCTAGCTTTGGTGTCAGTTTTCTCTTGATTTTCTAGTTCCTCTAGGTATGATGTTAGGTGGATCATTTGAATTATTTCTAATTTTTTTGATGTGTGATGTAGAATATCTCTACTATAAGAATTACAAAACGCTGCTGAAAGAAATCAGAGATGACATAAACAAATGGAAAAAACATTCCATGCTCATGGATAGGAAGAATCAATATTGTTAAATGACTATATTGTCCAGAGGAATTTACATGTTTAATTATATTCCCACAAACTACCAACAACATTTTTTTCACAAAATTAGAAAAAACTATTCTAAAATTCATATGTAACCAAGAAAGTGCCTGAATACTGAAAGCAATTCTAAGCAAAAATAACAAAGCTGGAAATAGCACACTACCCAACTTCAAACTATAATAAAAGGCTACAGTAATCAAAACAGCATGATACTGGTACGAAAACAGACACATAGACCAATGGAACAGGTTAGAGAACCGAGAAATAAAGGTGAACACCTACAACCATCTGATCTTCAAAAAATTGAAAGAACAAGTAATTAGGAAAGGACTTTGTATTTAATAAGTGGTGCTGAGATAACTGGCTAACCATATGCAGAAGATTGAAACTGAACCCCTTTCTTTCATCATATACAAAAATCAACTCAAGATGGATTAAAGACTTAAATATAAAACCAGAAACAAAAAAAAAACCTAGAAGAAAACCTAGGAAATACCATTCTTGACACAGACCCTGGCAACATTTCATGATGAAAACTCCAAAAGCAATTGCAACAACACCAAAAGTGATAAGTAGGACCTAATTAAATTGAAGAACTTCTGCACAGCAAAATAAACTATCAACAGAGTAAACCGACAACCTACAGAATGGGAGAAAATATTTGGAAACTATGCATCTGACAAAAAAGCTAACCTGGAATCTATAAGGGATTTAAACAAATTAAACAGCAAAAAGAAACAAACCCCATTAAATGGGCAAAGTACATGAACAGACACTTCTGAAAAGAAGACATACACATGATCAACAAGCTTATGATAAAATGCACCACGACTAATTATTAGAGAAATTCCAATTAAAACCACAATGAGATACCATCTTATATCAGTCAGAATGGGTATTATTAAAGTCAGAAAATAACAGATGTTAGCAAAGTTGTAGAGAAAAGAGAATTCTTATACAATGCTGGTGGGAATCTAAATATTTCAGCCTCTGTGAACAGCAGTTTGGAAACTCCCAAAGAACTTAGAACTATCAGTTGACTAACAATCCTGTTATATGGGTATACAACAAATTAAATATAAATTGTTCTACCAAAAAGACATTCTCTCATATGTTCATTGCAACAATATTTACAATAGCAAAAACATGGAATCCACCTAGAAGCCCATAAACAGTGGACCGGATAATGGATAATGAAAATGTGGTACATGTAAATGATGGAATACTATGCAGCCATAAAAAAGAATGAGATCATGTCCTTTACGGGAATGTGGCTAGCGCTAGAGGCCATTATCCTAAATGAATTAATGAAGGAATAGAAAAACAAATACCACATGTTATCACTCATAAATGGGAGCTAAACAATGAGTACACATGAACATAAAGAAGGAAATAATAGACACTGGGGCCTACTTGAGGGTGGAGCTTGGGAAGGGGGTAAGGATTGAAAAACTACCTATTGGGTACTCTGCTCATTAGGTGGGTGATGAAATTTGTATACCAAACCCCAGCAATATACAACTTACTCATGTAACAAACTTGCACACGTACCTCCTCTCAATCCTAAAATAAAAGTTGTAAGTAAAAGTAAAAATTCAAGAACTATAATTATTTTGAGAAAAAGGAAAAGTAATCCACCTTAAGTATTATTTGCCACCTTAAGTATTATTGTCTCTGCATATCTACAGATAAAAGAGGTGATATATATAGCTACATGTAAATAATATACAAAATGTAAGATATCTGATTTAAAATATGTAATTCTACTTATATTTCATATTAGAAAAATACTGTAATTGAAGGAATAGATACGAGTCATATAAATGTTTCATTACAAGAAATTTTATTTTGAAAATTATCCATTCAAAGATTAATATTAACAGTAAAATTATTTTTAAAATATTTCCAAGTTAAATGCACCTATTTACATTTACATTTTACTCTACTTTACAATGTTTGTTATGTTTTTACTTTACAGAGATTGGCTAAAATTTTCCTATATCTCAAAGCACAGTGTTTGCTTGCTTCACCTAGTATATTTTGAAGAGTTATATCTCCTGCACTTTTATTTATATATTATAGCACATTTAATCTTCACAGAAACCTATGAAATAGTTCTATTATTAACCTTCCCAAGATGATACAGCTAAAATGTTTTAGAGCTGAAATTATAATACAAAATTGTGGATCCAGGCTATTCTCTCTGTCCAACTATACAACACGGTATGTTTTACCTTTGATACACACATACTGATGTTTGACCTTAGATAAATAAAACAATGGTTTATTTAAATTGATTATTTAATATTAATAATTTTTTTTGTCTCTGCTTCATTTTTGAAATGCACAATTTTGATACAATTTTCCTTTTCAGCTATATTCATTTCCAGATCATTTTTTTCCAAAAAGTCTTATATGTACTATGTTCTTTGAGTCCTTGCATGTTCAAAAATATCTGTGAAATTTTTATTCTGGGGACAAATTTTTTAATGGAATACTATTGGGTAACATTTTTCTTAGGACACTGAGACATTGCTTCATTTTCTTCTGGCACTAACAGTTACAGTGGAAAAGTCTGAAGCCAGCCTAATTATTTTTCACTGTTTAGGTCACTTGCTGTTTCTCTCTGGAGGCTAGTAAGATGTTTAGTAGACCTTGAACCTTAGTAACGTCACCAGATGTTGACTGGGACTTTATGTTTCCAATCTTTTCTGGAGAATTTGCAGTTTGTTATGCTTAATATCTTTCTTTTAAAATTTGCAGTTTCTTATGCTTAATTTCAACACAGACCTCTTCTACTTTACCTTTGAATTTTTATTTCTGCTGAATTCATTGTGATCTATTTTCTGAGATAATAACTATATTGTGTTGAAATTCACAACATAATTATGGCAAAAAATTATTTTGTTTTTTTCCCATAACTATCATTTTTCTCTCTAGTCAGTTTTATTGTTTTAGAATTTTATGAATCCTGCCTTTCTTCTACTGACTTTAGCAAATATTTTGAAATATGCCCAAAGAAAGCATAAAAAAGGCCTGCCCTTCAAGGAAACCTACTCTAACAGGGCCGTATCTGGTGTGAACTAGGGGCAACCAGCCAACTCTAGCCCCGCCTAAACTTCCTATCTCATATAAGGAAAAGAAAAAAGGGGGCTAAGGATTTATTCTGAATGTTACAGCCCAGGAACACAAATCTACTGAAATCATATATTTAATCGTAAGATGATAGAATGGTTACCCTCCCAACACCTTACCACTATATCAACAGGGCTTCTGTATAAAAACAAGAGCTCACAACTGAGAGAGGTTCAAGACACAGACTCTGTTTAATAAGGAGTTTTTAGAAAAACCCAAAGACAAGAGGAAGAAAACGTTCAACAAGGAAATTACTGGAAACAGAAGGTCGTGGCACCTGTAGCTACTGCAGACATTCAACACAGCCCAACCCTGCCAGATTAGCATAAAACTTTTACACCAAATGCCTGTTTACTTTAGTGCCTATTACATAATACATCATGTCAAGTTTTCAATGAAAAAATTACATGGCATTTTAAAAGGCAAGATAAAAAGTTTGAAGAAACAAAACAAGCATCAGAACATGACTCAGGTATGACACAAATTTTGGAATTATCACATAGAGAATTTAAAACAATTACAACTAATTTGCTAGTAATTAATAAAATGTAGACAAAATGCAAAAACAGGTAGGTAATTTAAGCAGAAAGATGGAAATTCTAAGACAGAATCAATAGGAAATTCTAGAAATCAAAGACACCGTAATATAAATAAAAAATGCTTTTGTTGGGCTCTGTAGTAAACAGATGGCCAAGGGAAGAACCAGTGAGCTTGATGATATGTCAATGGAAACTTCCAAGAGTGAGATATAAAGAGAAAACTTTTTTTTAATGCAACAGAATATCTAAGAAGTGTAAGACAATTACAAAAGATGTAACATATGCAGAGTGGAAATACCAGAAGTATAAGAAAGATAGAAAGGAAGAGAAGAAATATTTGAAATAATAATACAGTATTTTTCAAAATTAATAACGGACACCAAACTACATATTCAGGAAAGTCAGAACACTAAGTAGAATAAATAACAAAAACCTATACCTAAGAATATTGTATACAAACTTCAGAAAACCAAAGACAAAGGGAAAAGCCTGAAATAATCCAGGCCAGGGGGTGGGGGCCTTATCTTTAAAGGAATAAATGTAAGAATTGCACTGAATTTCTCATCAGAAACCATGCAAGTGAGAAGACAGTAAAGTGAAATATTGAGTTTTCAAAAAAAGAAACCCAAATTCTAGAATTATGTATTCATTCAGATTAGCTTTCAAAAATGAAGGAGAAATAAAGACTCATTCAGTCAAACATAAATGGAGGAAATTTGTCACCAGCAGGTCTGCTTGCAAGAAACCCTAAAAGTTCTTTTGAGGGAAGGAGAATGATATAAGTCAGAAATGTGGACCTACATAAAAAGTGGAAGAGCAGAGGAGAAGCAATAAATTGAGAGAAATTAAAATGTCTTATTTCTCTTATTCTTAATTCATCTAATAATAGTTTTTCAAAATAGTAATAGCCACAATGTATTGGGAGATTATTGTATGTAGACAAATGAAATAAATGGCAATGCTATAAGGAATGGGGGAGAGAAATCAGGAATACTTTGTTTATAGCAGTTTTATTCATAATTGTCCAAAACTGGAAACAATAAAGATATTCTTCAATGGATGAAGGATAAACACATAGTAGTATATCAATACAATAGAGTATTTTTCAGAAATTTAAGATAACTGAGCTATCAAGTCATGAAAAGACAAAGGAAAATTTAATGCCTGTTGCTAAACGAAAGAAACCAGTCTGAAAAGCTTACATGTGGTATGATTTCAAACATATGACATTCTGAAAAAGGCAAAAATATAGAGACAGTAAAGAGATCACCAGTTGCCAGTAGTTGGGAAGGGCTGGGTAGGGATGAATAGCGAAGCAGTGTGCATTTTTAGGGCCATGAAACTGTTGTGTTTGATACTACAGTGGTGGACGCATGACATCATGCATTTGCCAAAGCCCATTTAACTGTACAACAAAAGTAGTGAACTTTAATATAAACCATAGACTTTCATTAATAATGATGTATTAATATTGGTTCATTAGTTGTAACCAATGTCTCAAACTAACGCAAGATACTAACAATAAGGGAAGTCTATGCAGGAAGGGGGAGGGTATTTTGAGAATCTCTGTACTTCCATTTCTATTTTTCTACAAATATAAAACTGTTCTGAAACCCTTCACTATTTGTTTTAATATCAATAACAAAGATTAATATATTCATTTACTCAGTAATTTGCCTTAATTTTTAAGTACCTGCTATATCTCAGACACTGTACTTGGGGCACAAGCCCTTGTGAAATAATGTAATGAAAACATAGACTAATATAATATCATACTGGATTAAAGAGAGACCACATCTTAACATGAAGTGATTATTCTTAGATGTACTATCAGTCCCACTGTTACTACATCTAGTTATGGATGGGTTGCCACATTCATCTGCAAGGGTAACCACACACTATGTACATTTCACATAGACTCAATAAATTTCGTGTTCTTTAGCAAATATTTTTTTTTTTAAGGAAAACATTTGAAATCAAAAGAGGCTTTTACTAGAGCAGGAAACTGTATCACACAGTGCATTAATGGTGTTCTTACTACAGAATATTCTCTGGTTTCCAACTTTTGAGGTCTACGCATGCATATAAATGTCAGCAGTCTTAACACTTTTCTCTCAAGTTTTCCAACTCTGACATTTGTTGGCTCTGTTATGAGTAGTATCTAGTCTTTCTTGGGCTGAAGTTTCTTTGTGTTGTCTAACATAGTTAAATCACTCATTCTAAATTAAATAGACTAATTCATGTACTTGTTTACAAAATGGTATGCTTTTCATCTTGGTTTTCACAGCTGGTGTAGGTGAATAGGGTTTTTGCTTTAAACTTGATTCTGATTCCAAAACATCATCCAGCTTTCACTCTTTCTACACCTCAACTGTGAATTTTACTCTGGCGTTTGCAGCTTGAGATAGCATTCAGTACAGTTTTTAAAAGCTGCTACTAAGTTTTTCCTCTCTCAAGCTTTAGTTTTTTAAAAATATTATTGTCATCGTTGTTAATGAAAGGAATACTTAGATAATATAAATACATATACTTAAGAATTAAAAGTAGGATTTTAGTGGGTTTATTAATACTTATCTAAATATTTGTAAAAGTGACTATGTCATGGCTTAGGTAACTTAGATACCAAATAAACACATCGAAAAAATCAGAAATGCTTTCCTTTTACAAAGGAAAATTTAGATGTTTTGTTTGTGACAACCAGGGATTTTTTCCAAGTAAAGACTATAGAATTGTATTTTCACTTAATGCATTAGGTCTAGTCTGAGCTTCTTTAAATTGTGTACAGTGCATCGTTTTATACTGCTGTTATTTTTTAAAAATTCTCTATTGATATTGTTGGTCATTTATGACAAAGCAATAACTCTTTCTTGTGCTTAGAATTAAATAATGAATCCTTTATGTAGCCTAAAATATATTTTGCAACATGGCCTCTTGCCTTTCCAACCTCATGCTACCCTGTCACTTGACTCACTTTCCATGTATTGAATGACGCTAGTCTTTCACTTCCTCCAATAAGCCAAATTATTTCTCACTACAGTTTCCTTATCTATGTTGTTCCCTTTGTTTTCTATGTGCTTTTCCTCCTTGCAAAATACCACCACTGATCATTTATGCCTCAGAGAGACCTTCATAGTTTCTCCTCACTCAAATATGTTTCCTGTTGTTTTTTTCCTCCATAGTATCCTGCTTTATTTTCCATATCACTTGTTGAATATTTTGTATTTATTGTCCAATTTAATTTCCCCAAAGTGGAATTCTATGGTGACAACAATCATGTTTTACTTTCCCATCTCTGTCCCTGGAGCAAGGAAAGGTTCCAATCAATGTTTGTTGAAAGAAGAATGATTAGCTTCAACTCAATTTCGTTGAGTGGAATTAGTGCAGAAGTACATCAGATCCAAGTAAAGACCACCCAAATCACCTGTTTCCTCCAACATCCACAGCTTCTATGGCTAGAAACAGTACTTGGTACTGGTGACTATTTGGTACACCTCTTGTCCTCTTGTGAACACTTCTGGTACCACTTACTGAATGCTTGCTTTTATGAAGTACCATTCTAGCCACTCAGTGAGAAATACTTTGAGTTTTCCTAACTTTTCTCCCATTCATCATTTTATAATAGCCTTTCCTTTATTCCTTTAAGAAGTGTTTATTGAATGTTGACATATAAGTCATTGATTGGTATTTTGAAATCTAAAATGAATAAGAAAAGATAAAAGCTGCAGAGCTGGAGAGATTGGAAGAAGGCAGAAGAGAGAATGTAATACCAATTCATCATTCTATATATGTGTGTGTGTGTGTGTGTGTGTATACACATATATATATATAAAATTCGGTCCAAATATACATACATACACACATGCACGTGCACACACGCACACACACACACAGAAGACTAGAGGGAAATACACCCAGAGATTAACAATGTTTATCTATATGTGCTAAAATTACAATGAAAATGTAAAAAGTTCTTTTTTATGCAATTTCCACTTTTCAAAGATTTTAGGTCCTAAATTAAAAAAAATGTTATCTGCCTTCAACCCTTTCTAGATCTTAGCAAATTATCTATTGAACTATGCTACCTGGAAAATCCAAAGCTCTTAAAGTTTTCAGTTATAATTTATTATAGTATTCAGATCAGTATTAAAGTCAAAAATCTCTGGAATGTATTAATTATTTTATAAATATTTTTCATGATGAAGATTATTATTATTGGAAACAGGGCCTCACTTTGTCACCCAGGCTGGAGTGCAGTGGTGCAATTATGGCTCACTGCAGCCTCAACTTCCCAGGCCCAGCTGATCCTCCTGCCTCAGCCTCCCAAGTAGCTGGGCCAACAAGCCTGAACCACCATGCCCAGCTAATTTTTGTATTTTTAGTAGAGACCGGGTTTGGCCATGTTGCCCAGGTTCTTTTTGAACTTCTGGGCTCAATCAGTCTACCCTCTTCAGCCTCCCAAAATGCTGGGATTACAGGTGTGAGCCACCATGCCCAGCTATTGATTCTTATATCAATAGCAAATGTAATATTTTAATCTCATGTCTGATTTACCCTGTAATTGTATTTCTCAGTTACTATTGAGTATTACCAGGCTTAGCAAATAAAAATACAGTATACCCAGTGAAATTTGAATTTCTAATAAATGACCATTTTTTATTATAAGTATGTTCTGTGATATATTTGGAATGTATTTATACTAAAAAAAAATTACACATTGCTTACCTGAAATTCAAATTAACTGAGCATGCTTCATTTTGCTGCAAACTCTAATTAGTTCAGGACTTGAATAGGAAAGAGGAAAAATAAATTTTTTCACACCCTAACAAATCACTACAAAAGTTGCTCATAGAAGCTTGCAAATCTTGGAATCTCTAGAATGGCATGGAATATAAAATTCATCAACAAAAGTAAATGTACAATACTTAATACCTCTCATGGGGAATTCAAATGAAGTTTCATTGAAGGTAACTGAATCTAACTTAATCAAGGAGAATTTGGGAGAATATGTGTAGAGGCTTGGGGTAGTGGGAGTGGGTCAAAGGACCCACTCCCTTGACCTTTGAAGTCTCCCTTTTAATCCTTTGAAATCTAAGGTGATATCCTTGAAGTAGCCTGAAATCTTAAAGGCATGTGTTTTAAGGCATAGTAGAGGCTAGGATTTCTGTAAAGTGTGCATAAAGAATTTTCTGTGGTTTATAGTGGCCAGCATGAGTCAGTATGTAACATAAGAAGGTATTTGTGGGTTCTGTTATAGCAAAGTCTATTTTAAGCAGATTTGTGACCAACATCCTCCTGTAAGAGTTAGCTAGGTATGTGATATAACTCAGGGTAAGTGTCAATGTCCCTTATGTCAGGGTTCTCCTAAGAAACAGAACCATCAGAATATATGTATATATCTCATAGAGAATTATTTTAAGAAATTGGCTCACAGAATTATGGGGGCTGGCAAGTTCCAAATTTCTAGGGCAGGCCAATAAACTGGAAACAGGCTGGAGGTGATGTAGCTTTGAGTCTAAAGTTTGTAGGGCAGGATGTCATGCTGGAAGCTCAGGCAGAATTTCTATATTACAGTCTTAAGGCAGAGTTCCTTCTTCTCTGCCAAACCTCGGTTTTCCCATTCAAGGCCTTCAACTGATTGGATAAACCTCACCTACATTATGGAGACTAATCTCCTTTATGTCAAGTCAACTGATTGTAGATGTTAATTACATTTACAAAATACCTTAGTAACATCTAGACTAGTGTTTGCCCAAACTACTGGACATTTATAACCTAGTTAATTTAACACTTAAAATTAACCATTACACCAAGCTAGATGCTGACATTCTGCCTTGACCACTATTCCTCTTCCTGGTAGATTTTCCCAGGGAGTTCCACATATGAGGAATATCAAGAAGAAGGAAGTTAAATACGGCATTATTATTAGCCTGTATACTTCCTGATATCTTTGGTAAGCTTTTTGGGTAATCTCAGTCATCATCCTAAAATGTGACCATTCAGAAGAATAATTTACCCTTTGGGGGTGGAAGAGCTGGAAGAAGATGTGGAAGAAAGTGTGGGAGAAGCTTCAGATGCATGCCTTTAGCAGAGATATCTGTGAGCAGACTTATGAGAAGACAACCTGTGCCTGAAGGGGTTGCAGAATATAAGTAAAATTAGAATGTATTCAAAGTCCAACTAATCATTGCCTTTCTCAAACCGGCCACTCCTTTTGAAAGAACCTAAATCCAATTAAAACAAGCTAAGACATAGAATCCTTATCTTTTTCCTCCTGCAGACCCTCTTTTAAGTCAGCAGTGTGGGGCTGCCTTGCTAAGGGCCTGAGTTCCCATTTTCTTGGTTGAAGATAGTAGGTAAACAGTGGCAGGGATAGGGATCTTACAGGATATTTGGAGAGAGAAGCCATGGGAAAAGGCTGTCTGAGAAGGTAAGAGATTGGGGTAGTTGCAATCTGAATAATAAAGAAAGGTAATCTCATTTTATAGTTACAGGCTAGTGTGGCTTAGTAATGCCTTGTTTAAATATATGAATCAACGCAACATTTTCCAAAATTCACTATTTCCAGACCACTTTAGTGATTTTCATCATATCCATATAAATCAATTATATCACTTAATCTTTTATAAAATCAAATGCAATTTGATTCCTTTAAAAATGTAGCCTCATATTGTCTAACAATTTATGTGAAATCATGGGTGATGTTGTGAGTGTATGTATGACATTAAAAAATAAATTTTAAACTTATAAATGCAAACTACCTAAATCTGTAGCTCATACAGCGAATTGGGAGTATACCTTACTTTTAATAAAACATTAGTTTTATGTAAGTGAAAATTTAGTTTTTAAACAGGTATTTCCTAAACGCTAACTGTCTCAATAAATATGTCAATTATGTTATTAGTTTTCCTATGCACCGTGATTGCAGAATAACTGAGGCAGTCAAAATTCCTGTTTTAATTGAGTTTACTTTTCAAGTTGGGGTAACACACGAAAAAGAATATTTTAAATAATGATATAGTCTATAAAAAAAAAAGGTTAAAAGAAAAGTAAGTTACTGAGAGGGTGAATTTTTATATTTAATGTGGCTGGGTAAAATCAATATTCCCTTCTTGAAAATCATTCAGAGGCAACATGAGGGATACAAAATAGAAACATTAAGTCTCTTCTATAAAAATAAATGAAAAAAAGCACAGATGTATTAGCAAGAACCCTAACATATTAAAGAGAAGAAAGGATTGTCCAAATAGTGCATACCAATAGGGGTATAGAGAAAGTATCCTTGTGGTTGCAGAACTTAATTAAAAAGCCATAAGCATGGCTTACTGTTAAGTAAGTGGCACAATCCTAAGATTCAAAAGCAACAGTTTCTTGTTTGCCAAATTGGCAATAGGGTGCCTGGACTGATGGGAGTGGGGATGCTTCTCCAGGGCTGGCTTAGTTTTAAGAATGAAAAGATGCAGAATGGTGAGTGGGAAATCATACAGACAACACACAGGCAGGTTAGTCCAAGGGGGGATGAGAGATTCTTCACATCATTGTAAGCTGCCTGCCCCTTGTTAACCTCAATATTTTTTGATAAGTAAAAGCTAATAAATGTTTCACAAACACCAGCCTAGGGAATAAAAAACATTTCCAGCCAGCCTGGAATATAACACTGGTACATCCTTTGGAAAAACCTCCTTCAAATAATCAGGCTAGCAGAAAAATATGTTATTCACACATGAGTTATCATAATGGAACCAGCAACAATATAAACTCTAAAAACTCCAGGCTGCCTATTCTAATCCCTAGAGCAACCCCTAATAATACAACAGAAAAGGCTGGATGACTAAAAAGTAAATAGATACATTAAAATAGAATTTTAAAACACACTCAAATAATCAAAAAGAAAAAAATGAATAAGGAATAGAGGATAACAAAAAAACAAAAATAGAATACAAGCAGATCATAAAGAGCAAAAAAGTCATAGACCTAAAATTAAACACATCAATTCCTTTAAATGTGAATCAACTAAACAATTAAAAAGCAAAGGCAGAGGTTATCAACGTAGATTTTTTCAAAAAAGGAGAAAATACTACATAATAACAAAAAAGAATGCACTATTGGCAAACTCACATTGAAGCTGAATTTTTTAAAAAAGCATTATACTGATTTAAAGAAGCCTTATTTTTATTAGTCTGTTTTACGTTGCTCTAAATAAATACCTAAGACTAGGTAGTTTATATAGAAAAGAGACTTCTTTGGCTCATGGTTCTGCAGGCTGTACAATCATGGCACTGCATCTGCTTAGCTTCTGGTGAGGCCTCAGGAAGATTTTAGTCATGGCAAAAGAGAAGGGGAAATGGTGTGTCATATGGCAAAAGAGGGAGCGAGAGAGAGAGACAGGGGAGAGTTGTCACACTCTTTTAAACAATTAGATCTCACACGAACTCATTACCACTTGTTACTGCAGGGAGGGCACCAAGCCATTCTATGAGGGATCCATCCCCATGACCCAATATCTCCCACTGGGCCCCACTTCCAAAATTGGAGGTCACATATCGACATGAGATTTGGAGGGGACACACATCTAAGTCATGTCACTTATACAATGGATATATATTCTATGATTATATTCATATCAAATTCTAGAATAGGCAAATTCTCTCAGTCTGTTTGAGTTACTATAGAAAATACTTGAGACTGGGTAATTTATAAACAACAGAAACTTATTTCTTATAGATCTGGAGGCTGAAAGTCCAAGATTAAGGTGTCTAGTGAGGGCCTTGTCTTTGTTTCCAAGATGGTGTTTTGTTGCTTCTTCCTCTAGAGGAGACAATTGCTGTGTCCTCACATGGCAGAAGAGATGGAAGGAGGTGAACTCACCCCCTCAAGCCCTTTTGTAAGGGTCTCGTCTCAACCATAAGGACTCCACTGTCATGATTTAATCACTTCCTAAAGCCCCACCTCTTAATATTACAGGTTGAGTATCCCTCAGCAAAAACTGTTAGGACCAGGAGTGTTTTGGATTTGGGATTTTTTTTCAATTTCAGAATATTTGCATATACATAACTGAGGATGGTACTGAATCTAAACACAAAATTTATGTTTCATATATACCTTATACATATAAACTGAAGGCAATTGATATAGTTTGGATATTTGTCCCTTCCGAATCTCATGTTGAAATGTGATCCCCATTGTGGAGGTAGGGCCTGGTGGCTGGTGTTTGGGTCATGGGGGCTGATCCTTCATGAACATCTTGGTGCTGTCCTCATGGTAGTGAGTGAATTCCCATTCTATTAGTTCCCACCAGATCTGACTGTTAAAAAGAGCCTGGCACCTCCTCTCCTCTGTCTTCCTCCTCTCACCATGCAATGCCTGCTTTCCTTTCCCTTCCATCGTAAGTGGAAGCGTACTGAGGCCTCCACCAGAAACAGATGCTGGTGTCATGCTTCTTGAACAACCTGCAGAACTGGGAGCTAAATAAACCCTTTTTCTTCATAAATTATTTAGTCTCAACTATTCATTTATAGAAATGCAAATGGACTAAGACAGTAATTTTATATAACACTTTTAATAATTTTGTGTATGAAACAGTGTTGACTGTGATCCATCACTTGAGGTTAGGCATCAAATTTTTTACTTGTGGCAATGTGTCAGCACTCAAAAAGTTTCAGATTTTGGAGAATTTCAAATTTCAAGTTTTCACATTAAGGATGCTCAGCCTGTATCACATTGACAATTGAGTTTTAACATACAAATTTTGGAGGATACTTTCAGACTATATCACAAATAAATCTATAATAGAAAAAATTAGAAGAGTGGGTGTTTATAGGAAATCAAGGGCAAGAGACTGGGAAGGCCAATGAAGGAAATTTCTGGGCTGTTGTTAATATTCTATATCCTAGTAAGAATTTGATACGCAGATGTATATGTGTGTTAAAATTCAGCAAATGCACACTAAAGGTTTACATATTTCATTGTATGCAGACTTTAAAACAAAAGGAAAAATACCCTAAACTATAGATAATACTATAATATATAACATATATCAATATATAGTTATTACATATGCTGATATAATAATAATATCAGTATACCCATATCTGAGATTTATTTTGAGAAGTGACAAAAAAATGAAGTGGTTGATGGATGGCTAAAAGAATTTACATATGATAAATATAAAAACAAGTAGGTTAGAATGTTAGTTCTGAAATCGTGGTGAATATATGAGTATTCAATGTAAAATTCTTTCAAATCTCTAGTATATCTGGAAACTTTTGAAGTAAAATGTCATAACACAGGCCAACATGAAATCTATAGGAGGATAAAATTTTGAAGCAATATTGATAAACTCAATGTCCAAATGCATTTTTGGTGAATTAAATTGATATGGAAAACAGAAATAAATATTAGGATTTAGAAAATTTGAAGAACAAAATTGTAACAGCTAGCTTTATCACAACAATGTTACATAACAACCCACTGAAAATTTCATATCTTAAAATATCAGTTATTTATTATCATGGATCTGAGGTTGCCTAGGACTCCTTCGGGTTGCTTTCGGTGTAATGGCTTTGCCCTACCTTGGACGGATAAGTTAGATGGAGTATGCTTATTTCATGAAAATGGAAAAAGTACAACAAAACAATTGGAAATTTGTGAGATTTCGTAAGGCCTAGCTCCAAACTGGCAGACTGTTACTTCTGCCCACATGAAATTCACCAAAGCAAATTATATGACCAAGGCCAAGATCACCTGACAAAGACATACACTCTTTTCATGATGAGGCCATGAAAAAGATGAAGACAAAGAGAGGGAAAGAGGATTGGAGCTAACTGTGGAGTCTACTACAAATACAACAACATAACAAACATAGAACATTGCACCCCAAATAGCAGAATACAGATTATTTTTAGTTTCATACATCATATTTACAAAAATTGATTATTTGTTGAGCTATAAGGCATGTCTGAAGACATTTTAAAGCACCAAAATCATGTGGAATATAGTCTCTGACTAGACGAAGTAAGCTACAAATCAACAACAAAACAATAACTAAGGCAATGAGAAATTAGAAAATACATTTCTAAATGACTCATGGCTCAAATGAAAATATTTTGAACTCAATTATAACAAAATACTATATATCAAAGCCCATGGAATGTAGCTAGTCATTAGTAGGAGGAAATTAGTAGCCTAAAGTGCATATATTTAACCTGAAGAAAAGATAAAATATCAAGGATGTAAATATTTATGTAAAGTGTTTAGATACAAGGCAGAAAAGTTCATCAAATGAAAGAAGGAAGAAAACAATGAGAATATAAAATTAAATAATAAAGTAGAAAACGAAAATAGAAAAAATCAAGAACACTTAATTTGGTATTTGAAAAACTGATCAAATTGGTAAATTTCTTATGAATTTGATCAAGAAAAAATGTGAGAAAGGAGACACAAGATGAAGGATGAAATGGAAAAAAAATTACAGTTCCCATAGATGTTCAAAAACTAAATGAGGATTTTTAAGCACATTTATGTCAATAAATTTTGTTCACATCTTTCATCATTTAGCTAAATAATTTTCTATGTATGGTTATGCTTCTATAAAAATGTTTAAAAATAAATAAAATAACAACCTTGATAAAGTAATAATTAGTGACCTTTACTGAATGCTGATTTTGTGTCAAAAATATTTCTAATGTTTTGATTGACACATATCTCATTTAATTCTCACTAAACCCCTATGAGGTAGGTAAATTTGTTATTTCTACATTAAAAATAAGAAACCTGAGGCATAGAGAGTTTAAGTAATTTGAGACTAATTTGACCTAAGTCACAGAACTAAGCAGAATATAAGCAATCAAAGAAAAAACAGCAAGACCACAGAAGAGCAGAGCTAAGGAAAGTGAAAACATAAAATAAAATCAGTACCTAAATGAAGACAAAGTGAAAGCAACACAAAGCAAAGCAAAATAAGTATGACAGATAACAATAAGGGACAGAGAGGAATGAGGAAAACAGATGTATTAATCTGTCACAAACAAAGGGAAGATCGTGATTCCATAAAAAAGACATTGTGAATTAAGCAAAGAGGTTGCATCAGTTAAGGATTCTAATATACTATATGTAAAATACGGTTTTTATGTGAAGCTGTAGTAACAAAATGCTTCACCATCTCTAACTTTCTGTTCATTTTACAAGCAGAAAAAAGATGGAAGCAACAAAACAATGGATATGGTGCCTATATCTGTAAATTTTAACATACTCTGAATGTTGTCTTCAATTTCCATCTCATTGGTCGGACATCACACAAGGAAACACTACTGCATTGAAAATTAGGAAATGTAGCAGGTGGCGGGTATTGGATAGAACATTGCCACACCAAAGAAAATTGCAATTCTCTTTGTACAGAAGGAGAGAATAGATATTGGAAAGAGTATTAACAGCCACACTTCAAGTTAAAGATAGAAGTTAGCAACATGGATGTCCCTGGTGATAAACAGTTCCAGTAATATGGTAGGATTAGGAGCCAAATTAGAGTTACTGGGGTTAAAGGAAGGGTAAAGAGAAGTGAAGAAGTGTCAAAAGCATGCGAGGACAAAATTTTCATGAAATTTTACTCTAAAGGAAAGAGTAACTAAAGAAAATCTGAAGTACTGGATGAGCTTTAAGCACTACACAGTTATATAGACATACAATGTTTCACTTTTATTTGTTTTGTTTATAATGTTTTGAATTAAAATTTGTTCCAAAATCTCAAAATATGTTTATATATTCTCAAATATGAACATTAATATGAACACAAATGTGTATATGCATAGACATTTCTGACTTCAGCTGCAAAATTTTCTATTTCTTAAATTGCAAAATTAGGGAAAGTATTCATGAAATGAAATAGAGATCATGACTTATACAAAAAACAATTTACCACAAATGTTACCTTTGAGAATATTAATACAGCAGTGGCCTGTGGCCTGCTTGTTGACTTGAAACCATGTGGTCTATTGGGGAATCACTTTTTATTTCTCATTTGTAGAAGGGAATATGTGATCCCTACGTGAGTATTTTGTAAATATTATGCCTAAGAAATGAAATGATGATGTGGCACTGCTGCTATTTTAAAAGATTTGTATTGAAAGTGGCAAATTTTTAAAAATTGGGAAAAGTTGATAGTGACAGTTGGAGTCTTCTGTTGCTGTTTCCCACTGAAGGTAAGGGCTGTGGAACATTTCAAACATGTGGACTAGAATTGGGAAGTAGGGTGAACTTTTTATGAACTTTCTGAAAAAACTGTGTTTAGACAAGTGTTTATGATCAGTAGGTAGATCAGTCCAACCATATCTTTTATTGTAAGGAATGCATGAAGAATATTTAGTTGAGGAAAAATAATTTCCTTTTAATTTTACTGAGAAATTCAGAATTATTGAATATTTAATTAATAACTTAGATTTCCAAGTTAAGCCTTTTCTAGATTTAAAGACAGAACAGAAGGAAACATTTGTTCTGTTTTGTGTTTTGTTTTTTGAATGTAATACTTTTTCTATGACTTGGCATTCAAATCGTGATGCCCCAATTGTTTTGCTGAAAATACTTAAAGATAAGAAGGTTAATTTTACCCAGTTGGTATCCTATTTTGTATTAAAACCAACTAATTAAATATTTTGTGTTTTACTCTTTATTTTTCTATGCATTATTCTTCTCCTGTGCAACAATACTCAGCATTAAGCTCAAGATGTTTATGAGTCCAATAAATATTAGCTTATTTGATTTAAATATTGACATATCTTTATTGAACACTAACATTTGAAGTTATAAGGTCATTCAGAAGTTTAATGCACATTGGAGTTTAGTAAAAAATAGTAATATAGTTATTCTGTATGAAATTCATTCCATCTCTTCCTATGTTTTAGTGGTCATTTTTGCATAAGGGTTATCTTTGGTTTCCATAAAAATTTATAATTCTGGAATTGTTTAATTTTATGGAATGAATCACAGTCAGTCCAGGAGTCCAAAATGTTCATTTTAAAGAGACAATTTGTTGGATCCAATTATCTTACCTCTCCAGTCCAGCTAATTATTAACCCTAATCAAGTAAAGCTACACACCATATTATCATATTTATAAAATGTCAATATCTTATAGCTGTAGTTGTAATAAGTATTAAGGCACCAATGTATAAACATATTAAACAGAAATTTGAAAAGAGTAATGATATATTTGGCATTTGTAATAGAAATATAACCAACTGACTTTATCTAAAATAATATTTATTCAACTAGATATGACAATAATGATATTGGCCAAGCCCAGAACAACTTGTAAGGGAAGCAGGTTCACTCAGGGCTTTTATGACAGTGAAAGCCTATGCCAAATTTTGTACAGTGGGAAACCACTCATAAGCAATGTCTAGTTTTGTACAGTGTGACTTCTCTATGCCTAGTTTTGTACAGTGTGACACCACTCATAAGCACTTATTACCAGACTATGACTGAATGTTGCATCCAAGAAAAGCATATCCACGAGAGACTATGAGGGTGCTCCATGGAAAATGCTCTGAACAGCAACATAATCGTTGTCAGAATCTGAGTTAGGTACTACAGTGTATGGTTGCTTTCTTTTCTTTTTGTTAATGTCTAATAATTATTTCCAGATCTTTTTCTAGATATAGAACAATCTTACTTATGAGAAACCTGTTGAATATGGTTCAGGAGGGCCTGAAACTGGTCCTGCCCCCACTACTACAGGTATGACACAAAGATTCGTTCAGAGATGGGCTCATAATATGTTATGTCCATCAGAATCCTCCTTGAGGATATTATATTGAAGCAATTGGAATATACATTCCCTTCCATCTAGGTCACTATATGAAATGCAGTTCTAGAACTGGTAGTGTCAATCTAGTCCATTACATGGAACAAACTTGTTTGAGACAGAGAAAGAGATTATTTAAGCCCCTGTTACAACTATTCCAGAATTCAATAATAAACTTTTACATATCAGTTCTGTACACCAATAAATTGTGGTTTCTGATAATGCTAATTTGCTCTGGGTTTCTATTAACTGTAACTGCATGTATCTCAATTAATCCAGAACCTTTATTCATAGGCAAAGTGATCTGAAGCTTAAAAGGCACAGAAACATGAGAAATCATAAGAAGCGCAAAGTGAGGAGGAAGCAGAAGCAATTCAGGAAATAAGTTGGTTTTGGGGAAGGAATGAAGAACAGATGTCTAGAGATAGTAGCTATAAATTAAAGGCTAACCAGTACTGAATTATCTAAATCTTCTTAGAATCTAGTTTCAGTCTTTGTGATGCCTTGTACAACTATGATTTTTCTTATTCTAAGTTTGCGTGCCTTAGTTTCATATTTCCTCACAATATATTCCCCATTGGATCCTTGTAATAAGCTACCCCTGACCTCACTGTTTGCAGCTAACTTGAAAAATTATATTTTACTTGCATCTACAAGGGATAAATTAAGATAAATTATTTCAAAATTTTTAACAAAATACTCAAAATTTCCATGCTATGAATTGGTGTCGGTTATAGAAACATTTCAAACAGAGAAATTGTCGTTTTTTCTGAAAAATTTTATTTGATGGCAATCTATAAACAATACATTTTACGTAAAAATTCTCAATCTTAACAACTAAATTTATATCAGCATTTTTGTTTACATATTCTTTAGTCAAAATGCTATGAGACAAACAAAATTTTCAATTTGACTCAAATTTATGACTGCTAAGGTAATATTATGTAAATCACAACTCAGAGTCTAGAGGCAGGCCATGCACCAAACTCTGTATGATATATCACTCAATAGTGCAACCAAAGGCTCAGAATATATACAAATACATTTTAAAAAACAATGTGAAATAAACAAGTACTTACAACATACAACTTACTGAAGACCACAAAAAAAGAGAAAGAAAAGAAAAAAGTGAAGAAATTGGATGTGTCCGAGGTACGGTTAAGTTGATATATAATACAAGCTGGAATTTTGCTGAGTTGGGAAGAGTAAGAAAGGAGACCCCGAAAGAAGGAATAACAGAGTAAAGAGCCCCACATCTGTACATGTATTCCACCAAAATTATTTTCTAACTACTGAACTGCACACATACAGGGGAAACTTCAGAGAACTTAGTGAAAAGCAACAGCTGGAAGACTGAGATAAATGCATAGTTTCAACTGATGCCCACTTCTAGAAAATCAGAATTTTGAGTCTGAATCAAGCAAGTTAATAATTTATTCTACTAGAATACAAAAAATCTTTTAAAAAAAGGTAAACTGCAGTCTCTACAATGTGTTATTAACAATATTCACGATGCAATGAAAAGGTAGTAGACAATGGAAAAAATAAATTGCAACCCATATTTAAGAGAAAAAGCAGTCAACAGAAACCAATGGTAAAATACCTTGAATATTAAAATTAAATTACAAAAACTTAAATAATTATAGATAAAAAAGTTTGAGAACTTGAGCAAAATATGGTCATAATAAATAGGTAGATAAGGGATCTCTGAAAAAAAAAAGACACTCTAGAAAATAGCCCAATGGAAATTTTCCAAATGAGCAAAACAATATGTAGTATTAAAAATGTTGCTATATATGGCAGAATAAATGGTTACGAAGTTTGAGAATATGTGAATTTTAAAAATATATCAGATTTGAATAGCAAAGACGGAGGAGAAGTTGGAAATAAAACAGTAGTCTCAGTGATTTTTGAGATTATATCAAGGGGTCTAAGATATTCATAACTGAAATCCGAGAAGGAAAGGAGAGAAATAACGAGTTGGGGAGATGTTTAGAGGACATAGTTGTGTCCTTGGGACACAATACCACAGGTTGGGTAGTTTAAGCAACAGAAATTTATTTTCTTACAATTTTAGAGACTAGAAGTACAAGATCAAGGTGCTGGCAGGTGAGGGTAGGTTTCTGTTGAGGCTTCTCTTCCTGACTTGTAGATGGCCATCTTCTTGCTGTGTCCTCACATATGGCCTCTTCTCTGTGCACGTGAGAGGAGAGAGAGAGAGAGAGAGATCTGTGTTGCTTCTGTCTCTGTCTCTCTTTTTTTTTTTCAAGGCCATCAGTCTTATTGAATTAAGGTCCCACACTATGACATTATTTAATCTTTATTACCTCCTTATAGTGCCTGTGTCCAAATATAGTTATATTGGGAGTTAGGGCTTTAACATATACATCTGGGGAGAATATAAATTAGTCCATAACAGAGGAAAGATGCCTGAAATTTTTTCTAAAGGTGGTGACAAACAGCTACCATCATATCAAAGATTCTCAGCAAACCCCGAGCAAGATACATACAAAACACACACACACACATACACACACAACTAGTTTTATTAAGTGATAAACTGTTAAAAATAAAAAATAAAGAGAATATCCTAAAAGAAGACAGAGGAAAATATGTCAGATTTGATATATTATCTATAGGGGATTAACAATACAAATAACAACAGACTTCTGATAAAAAACAATAGAGGTCAGCTGATAGCGGGGTGACATCTTTAAGTGCTGAAATGATGTCTACTATGAAGTTAATATACAGAAAAAAATAATTATCCAAAAATAAGGGAAGTAAGCCAGGCAGAAAAACACAAATATCACATGTTCTCACTCATATGTGGGAGCTAAAAAAAAAAATCAAACTCACCAAGATAGAGAATAGAATGATGGTCACCAGAGGCTGGGAAGGGTCATGGGGAGACAGGGATAAAATGAGGATAGTTAATGAGTACAAAAATACAGATTGATAGAATGAATAAGATCCTGGATTTGGTAGCACAATACCGTGACTACAGTTAACAGTAATTTATTATATATTTTAAAATAACTGAAAGAGTGAAATCGGAATGTTCCTAACAAAAAGAAGAGCTAAATACCTAATGTGACAATTACCCTGATTTTATCAGTACACAAAATATCACATGTACTTTATACATATATGTAACCATCATATACCCACAATAATTAAAAATAAATGTAAAATAAAAGTAAAATAAAGGCATTTTCAATAAATTTTCAAAACGAGTAGGTCGGCAGTGTTCAGTACTTCTAGAAGAAGTGCTAATACTTTTTTTCAGTCTGAAAGAAAAGTTTGAAGCTGCAGAAAGAAATGTGGCACATCATAAATGAAAAATATATACATAAGCATGCAACAATATTTTATTCTACTTATTTAAAATAATTATATATGACCCTAAAGCAAAAATTATAATGCTCTTCTGTGGGAATTATAACATATGTAGATGTAATATATGTGATAACAACACACAAAAAAATGGGGATAACTGGAACGATACCCTCTGAAGCAGGAATCTAGAGTTTAGACATGCTACACTTCACTTCCCCCATCTCTTTGATTGGTTTATACTGTATCACTGCTTCTCTTTGTAGTCTGTGAAAAAGTCATTCAACTTTCAAGTCATTTGACTCTATCCAATGTACCTTCCTGAGAATTTTTAGAGTAAACAAGTGCTGTAGGCTTCATTAACACCAATGATGTACTTGTTCCATTGTATTGTAACTACCATATATGACAATCCTCTGGAGACTCCTTGAGAACAGGCACTATAATTCCATTGTTCTGTGTACATGCTGTAGCTTTTACAAATATATCTACTTCCTGGAAGACACTAAATGTTCAATGACTAAAGAGATGATTAAATGAAGGAAAAAATGATTGAATGAAAATATGCATCATTGATTAAAAGAGAAATTAGCAAGAATAAAGAACTTTTAGGGAAAAGAAGCTAAGTTTGGGCATACCAAACTGGTGGTGCTTAAGTAGCAATCATGTCAAGATGTTACAAAAGCTCTGCAACATGGATTTGAATTTTAAGAGAAAGGCAGAATTTAGAGATATAGCTAGTGGTGATAATTGAGACTAATCGCATTACAGGAAAATAAAGTGCACAGAAAAGAAACACTCTTAGAAATCTCTTAAAAGTAACCTTCTTTTAGCTTTAATCATATGGCTGCTAACCTCTGGCAGCCTAAAACTCTATCCAAAATTTATGTATTTCATCCAGCAAAAAAGATTTTAACTATATAAACTATGGTTGTCAATGGAAAAAATGTTTTAATATGTTACAGAAGGCTTATTGCCTAACCAGACTTGCTCTGGCTCTTTATTTTCATAAGTTAACTTCCTACTGTTTAAAATGCAGCTTTCTCTCTCCATGAGTTCTTTATTATCTGCTTTCATGATTAACATCTGGCATCAATAATATGGTATTTTGGGAAACAATTTTAATCATAAGTCTTTCTTGAGGATCTGGGTTTGTTTGGGATTTTTTTTATTACTTACACATGCTATCATTCCTTTTCTTTCTTTCTTTTTAAAATTCAAAATTAAACATTGAGTAACTTTTTTCCAAACCTTGAGGTAATATTGCTTGTACTACATGAACTATAATGAACATTTGTGAGCTTGTCCAATTACTTTAACAGATGATTTGTCTTCTCCTGTGGAGAGATTTTGTTTTAGCAGTGATAATTTATTCACTTTACAGATGGTTTCCTGACATTGGAAAGACATTCTGTTTTCTATTTAATGAAAAAAGGTAAATGTGGACATGAAGATTTTGGGGCCCAAACTAGAAAGAGTAGAATTATTGGAAACCTCCTAAAAATGTATTCAATCAAATACCCTTGGAACTTAGAACTGGAAGAGCAGTTAGTTTCATCAGTGTTTCAAGCTCACCATTATTTAATAAAAAAAATTCTAAGGCCCAGACAGAAAGACTATTCCATTTTGCTATCAGCAAGTGGCAAGGCCAGAATGAGTTAAAACTCGGGTACCCTATTAAATTCTGTACTGTATCTACTACCGGGACAAATTTGCAATGCTATATACACATTAAAGCACATATTTTAACATGACATTTTTCAAACTATGCCTTCACCTCCAATTACTCTTGATGCAGTCATGTTCAACTGCCCATTTTATAGAGAAGAGAAATTGAATTGGTAACAATGGGAGTAATTATATAAAGTCCATAGCTTCCCCACCCCACACTGGATATTTCCAAGAGGTGTCCTACATAGTCTTTCAGACAGCCCCCACTGTGTTTCATCCTCAGTTGTTGAACGTGGTACATTCATTACCACATTCTTCATTAATTTTTCTGGCTTTTCTGCCTCAATTACCCCTTAATTTACTCCAGGGATAACTTATATTAGCTGTCCACACCTAAATCCTTGTCTCAGAATCTAATTTATGGATATATAAAATTAGGACAAAGGGAGAATTGGGAAGTAAGTAATTTATCCTTTCCAGTCTCTATAGAGAAATGGGAAATAGAAACTGGGATTTGGGAATGGATTTTAGTGTAGCTAATCGATGATTTTTACTATAGCATCTGTTATTAATCACACTTAACTAATGAAAGCATTATAGTCTAGATATGTTATAAGGAGTCTGAAATCAGACAAGAAGTGAGTCCGTGCTGTGACTGACAAATATAATCTATTATTTACTTGTCAACAATTATAGGATGTGAGAACACATTCCCTGTGGCTAAAATAAACTAGAAATAGAAGTGGGTCAAATTTCTTTTGTCTTATTTGATTCTACAATTTATTTTCTCTACTTTGAAGACTGAGAATTAACATCTTTGATTTCTTATTTATAATAATTTTACTGGCTTATTTACATAGTTAAAGTTTCTATTACTATTTACTATTCATGGGCAACATGAATTAGATCCATGTATACTTACAAAGTTATCTATACACTTTCCAGTTTACTTTTGGTGATTAAAAACAGCATTTTTTTCTTTAAATTTATTTTTCGTTTTAATCTCAGCTATAAACTCAATGACTATACTACCCTCTTAGACAAGGGCCGAACTGATTACAGGAAACTTATTCTACTAGGACCTAAGACTCTGGTAGGAGTTCTAGTTTCTGATTTTTTTAAATGTCATATAGGCATAGCATAATATTTTTGACAAATTATCTTCTGCTCACTTTAGACTAATTGTTTTCTTTGCCCTTTCTGTCATCTTGATGATTTTTGTAGCCACTGTATTACATAGCTTTTCACACTCCCTTTGACAAAGTATATGGCTCAATAAATGCTTATTAAAAGAATTGTGAGTAGAGGCTGACTTTCTACTTAGAGAAAAAGAATACCGGTCTCTGAATATTTATTTCTTTTCAAATATACTATTAGATGTCACCCTATCAGAAATTAGTATCACCACCACCACCACAAAAACAGGGGGGAAAAATAGAATTTTAAAAAGGAACAATTCAGAGAATTTTTTTTTTTTGAGATGGGGTCTCGCTGTGTTGCCCAGGCTGGAGTGCAGTGGTGCGGTCTTTGCTCACTGCAAGCTCCGCCTCCTGGGTTCACACCATTCTCCTGCCTCAGACTCCCAAGTAGCTGGGACTACTGGCGCCCGCCACCACACCTGGCTAATTTTTTTGTTTTTAATAGTAGAGACGGGGATTCACCGTGTTAGCCAGGATGGTCTCGATCTCCTGACCTCGTTATCCGCCCGCCTCGGCCTCCCGAAGTGCTGGGATTACAGGCGTGAACCACCGCGCCTGGCCCAGAGAAGTTATTTTTTAAAGAGTTTTATGTGCTTGGAATAAATACAATTTTGATAAATGACATTGTGTAATATGTACCATCTGGAATCAAAATACTTGCCATTTAATAAAATAGATACAGAATGAATATTAGGGCATTTTTACAATATGATTGTAGAATAAGTATTCTTCTGATTTTAACAAATCATACATTAAAACAAATTTTGTTTGCCAACTTTTTTTGGAGGTACATAAAATATGAGAAATTAAATGTAAAACTAATTTTTCTTGTGAAATTTTCCTTTAGAGTTGCCAATAATGGAGACCATACAATTCTTTCCAGATTTGCATTGGTTTGATTTTGTTGTATATGTGTGTATGTGTATGTGCATGCATGTGTGTGCAGTAAAATATGCAAAATGGGCTATCATTTTGGAACATTCATTCTCATTTACCACTGTGCACAATTTAAATTTAGTAAAATTACAACATACTTTTGGCATGAAGTCCCTGAACTAATTATATGGTATTTAATTGCAAAGCTGATTGGTATATATTTACATGGCATCTGTAAAGATCATTTCAAATGACTGTGAGCTTATTATATTTTCTTGTGAACATGTTCAAATTCATAACTCTGTTTGAGAAGGAAAACCTTGAATATTAATTCATTGCCCTCAGGCCCCTTAGTCACAGCTGTTTCTTTTATAAACACAGAAGCTTTGATGTGGCAATTCTCATTTTATTCTGTTGAGATCTTTCACCAAACATTTGGAATTATTCCTTAGGGCCAAAATATTCTGTCAGATAACTTAGAAATTATTGAAATATCTTGATCGTTAGTGCTGAAAATTTACACTGATCATTCTTTTAAAAGTTTGTTTGCCTAGATTGTGAGGGTAAAAAGCTTCAATTTTCATAAGCAATGGATTGGTTTTACTCACTTTATTAATTAGTTTTATTTCTATCAGAAATTATGTATGCCTATATTTAAAGTTTGACATATTTTGAAGGATTGATAACTGAGGTTGAATCTAGACATGACTGATGTGTTTTCCTTTTTCTGGGATGTCTTGCCTTTAACCTTTTGAAAAAAACAAAACGATTGTATCAATCTTCAAACTACACCAACTTAATGTTGTCTGTCCTGTAAGCACTAAAACTTCTAGCATGAATTCTTGTGTATAGTAGTAATAATTGATCTGCCAAAATATGGGTAATACACACATGTAATCTAATTTTGTGTACCTTTGTTAGTTACTCAAAATGTTTAAATTAGTAAGTAAAGGAAACACTACATTTTCGGATGCTGTCTTAGTCCTTCTGAGCTGTTCTAACAATACTTGAGAGTGGGTAATTTACAAAGAACAGAAACTCATTTCTCACAGTTCTGGAGGCTGGGAGTCCAAGATTAAGGTATCAGCCGCTGAAGGCCTGGTCTTTCCACTTCCAAGATGGCTTCTTGTTGCTGCATTCTCCAGAGGAGGGAATGTTGTGTCCTCACATGTTGAAAGTCAGAAGAGCAAGAGATCAAACACTGCTTGATGTTCCTTTTATAAGAATCTTAATACCAATCACAAAGGAGGAGCACTCATGGCTTAATCACCTCATAAAGGTCTTTAGAGTGGGTCCAGTTTGACTCTTGTGCTTACAAGCGGAGGAAATTTGAATATGCTGAGAACCCCCAGGGAAGTGCACATACAGAAAAAAGACGCTATGAGACACAAAGAAAGACAACCATTTGCAATCCAAGGAGGGAGGACTCAGGAGAAATCGAACTGGATCCTAAATTGTCTAGATCCTAATTTCTAGATCCTAAATTTTCAGAACTGTGAAAAAAATACATTTCTATTATTTAAGTCACCAAATCTGTGATTTTGTTATGGCCGCCCTAGAAAGCTAACACACCTACCATGTTAAAAAAATCTATGAATTCTAGTGTTTTGAGAAGAAAGAAGCACATTAAACAATACATTTGGAAAGCAGTTGTTTGGAGTTCCACAGATTTGAAGGAAAACTGGAAAGCAACTCAAAGTAGTTTCAATATTTAACTGAAACAAAAAATCTCACAATTAGAGGAAAGAGGAATCCTACTACTATTAGGCATTAGAGAGTGAAAGTATAGGGAAAGGAGGTGTGGGGGTGGTTGTTGGGTTATCAGTGGGACATTTGAGCAAAGTTTCTTATGTAGACCAAGTGGAGAAATAAGACATTTCTAAAAGCATAAAAATAATATTCACTGAAAGGTACTTACCTCTCAAAAGTGAAATTAATATCTACCTCTACATATGCAAGTCCAAATGTAGTCAGAATTCATTTAGGTTTAGTTAGCTCAGTTAAGCGACCCATGGTACCATACATAATCGCTTTCCCTTCTGTCTGTAGCTCTCTTTTGATGCTTTACTCCATGCACCTTTACCTTTAACTCCCTATTTTTAACACTTTCACAAACACTTCTCCTTCCTTTTCCCAGGACTCATGAAGATATTTCAAGTGGGAGGTATCAAACACCTGCATGGCATTAAGTCTTTAATCAAGGTAATAAAAAACAGAGAAGATGCTGTCTAAACATATTTGCCTCATATTCCTCCTAGAATCTCACCGAAGTCATTGTGCAGAATTTTTATAAGGAATAAATCCATTACTGCAAAGAGAATTGAAGGGGAGGTCAACGGTGGAAGACAGATTTCAACATCTCTTTGGATGATAATGGAAACAAGGTGGAAATGTGTTAATTCGTTAATTAGAGAGGACAAGGCTGCAGTTTAATGTCTGCTCAGGAATGAACACAGAAAAGGGATTCAATCTCCTATTGGAACCCAGGAGAAAAAAAACAATATTTAGATACTCATACTGTGACTGTCCTTTTTTTAATCTTTCACATTTTAGAATCAATTTATAGGAAATGTATTGCAAACCTCATTGATGCTTTAGTACAGTATAAGTTTGAACAACTTTGACCACGAATATAAAGGTATATCTGACAAAAGATGATGTCAAAGTAGACAGGATGGTTAGAAAATTACCTCCTCTCACAAAGAGAACAATTGAGATGGACTTGTAGAGTTGTTGCAACTGGAAATAGAAGTATGAGAGTTTTTTTTCCTCCCAAAGTTTATTAACTAAGTTAAGAAATTCAAGTATTAACACAGCTATCAAAATATAGAAAGAAAGAAGGAAATAGATAAGTATACGTGTGCTCAATGATCTTCCATAACAGAATCAACACAGGTTGCTTAAAGCTGCCAAATCAAGAAAGATAAAAACATATTATTAGCAGTATGTAGATAACTTCACAAAAACAGTAAATACTAAGAACTGTTATTTCTAGGGAGTAGGACTGGGATAGAAAAGGTAGGGCAGTAAATTACTGTTCTCACTAGAAGCTTAGCTATTGGACTTTTACAAAGCTCACGCATCATTTAGAGACAAATTTAACCTTAAATTGGAAATGCTGTACTAATTTCATAGCATTAGGTTTTCATAATTTATCAATTCCTGTCACTAAAAAGATATGCAAAATATGAATGAATTATTCATGATAGACTGTTATGATGTAATGACATATACTACAAAATTCAGTGGCTTAATACCCCCCCTCCAACAAAAGTTAATTTCTCTCATGTGGTACACGTTCTTGTATCAGTCAGCAGAGCAGGTCTGCCTTATGTAATCTCTCAGGCAGCCAGACTAATAGAATGGCAGACCTTCTGCCATCTGTCACCTGAAACGTGCAGACTTTCCCTCTCTCCACAACAGTGGAAAGGAAAAGAGAGTTGCACCTGAGCAATGCAATTCTTTGACCCGGAAGTAATATCTGTCACTTCCAGTTACTGCACAGTGACCAGAAATATTCTTATGGTTTCTTTGTTTTCTTTCATGAAGATGAGAAAGTTTAATTCCACGATGTGTCCTGAAAGAGAGAAATATGGTCTGAGTAAACACTGGACAGCTTCATTAAAATAAAGAAATTTGCATTTAAAGATTTTAGGTAAGTACAGTATTGTGATCAGTATTTGGAAACCTGTACAAACCACTAGTATATTATAAGGGAAAATAACTAATACATTATCAAGTCTTTTTCTCTCTATATATATTTTTTGCCAAACTTTTATGATAAAACTTTTGAGACAACAAACTTGAAAGAATTTTACAATGAATACCTATATACCAAGCACCTAGACTCTAATATTAGCATTTGACTATTCTAACTCTGTCACATATTGTTCCAGGTATATGGCCATCTAAAATCTCTTCAGTGCATCTTTGTTTAAGAAATTCAAATGTTAATAATACCAATAATATTAATGATAATAATCTTGTTCATCAGCACCTAGTATATTTAGGCATCTTAACTACACTATTACTCTAAGAGGACTCTCAGGCAAAGCATATTATTCTTTGCCTACTGTAATTAAAGAACCAATGTTGCAAGTGTTTAATTAACTTGCTCAGTTCCTTTAGCAGATAGAGAATTCAAACTCATTTGTATCAGAGTCAACAGTCTCTATGCTCTTCGAAATATACCTCGCCATCCTTGCTTTTTGATACGCTGGTGTACTAAGTAACTCAAAACATTTTGTCTCTTTCCTCTTAGCTATATAAAGACCTTGTACATGATCTTACTATGCAGAAGTAGCTTATCTTGTGTAGAAATCTTGTTTGTTCCATGTCTGTTTCCATTTCTCTGAAGGCAGAGTCTCTACCTTTGAACCTGAATCATGTACTTGGTTTATACTCCCATTAACCAACAGCTTTTTTTATGTCATTTTTAATGTAAGTGAGAGGCCAGAAAATTGAATATATGGCAGAACTCTTGCCCTATTGGAAACAAATCCTGGCACCATAATATAAACAATGGATAGCTTTTCAGATGACTTTTGCAAAACACAGTTCTGCTAGTCATTTTACGGTTCTGATCTTTTTCCAGGACAACTTTAACTTGTCTTAAGAAAGCGTTAAGAACTCAAGACAATGAATCTTTTTCTACACTTGAATTTTGTTTGCTCAGCTGAATGTCACAAAGAAAGTAATATTTTTGAGAGTTATAAAAACAAATACAAAGATAATAATTCTGTGATTTGCCAAATCATGTTATATTTGCTTCACAGTTTTTTCTACAATGTGCTCATATATTATTTGCTTTCTTTTCCCAGTATAGAAATATTCTCGGCAAAATGTCCTGAGATCTGTCACAGCTGCATAAAGAACATAAATTCTTTAGAATTTTTGGTAAATATGACATTTCACTGTTTTGCTAAGCCATAAATCACCTTCGTTATAGGCAGTGCTGCAGATGTTGTGCAAACTTTCATTCAATGAGACAAATAATTTTTAAACAAGTGTTTTAATAATTTCTATGTATTTATATGTATTATCCTATAATAATCCTTTAACTTTTTTTCAGTTATAATGACATATTTTATCATTAGAATTAGTATAACATAGTGGTCAAAAACAGGGCCTCTGAAGCCAGACTGCTTAGGTATGAATCCTGTATCTGCCTTTCAGCAGCTATGTGACACTGAACAAGACATTCAAACTATTTGTTTTCAACAGTTCAAAATTTTCATCATTTTGTGCTCTCTTCTTTCCTGGGTTCTAAAGTAAATAATGATCACTTGCATCAGAGATTCCTACCAAATCCGAGTTCCTTGATCTTTTGACTTCGTGACTTACTTCCTCTTAATTTTGGGAGTCCCATCCTATGACCACACCCAGAATCTTTTCATCTCTCAACATTGAGCCTGTTAAGATATCTTCAGCTGTAGGCTCCCAGGCTCAGGTTACTCTTTTTCTTCCAGCTTATATATGCCCTAATGCCTCTCATACCCGTACTTCAACCTACTGAGCCTTCAGTATTTTTCTCCCAATTGTCTGTCGCCTCCTGATCTCATTATTTTTTTCACTATCCAACTTCAACTTCATAGTTCACTAGCCCCATTCTATCACCCTCAACTTCACTTGTCTGTTTACCCATGCATTGCATAAAAATTTAAAACCTTTGACATGGATGAGTTCACCATTTATTTTTCTCAGTTTTTTATTCATAAAATGGTCTGATCTGGTGGAGAAAGTCTATGCAATTGTGTGTATCAGAGTCCCTCCTAATAAAAAAATTCCAACCTATCATTTATTGGGTATTTTCTATGTGTCAGATGATGAAAAGTTTTACATCTATTCTCTCTTAATTCTCACAGCAACTGTGTAAGATAGATGATATTGTTCTTTATTTTACAGATGAGGATGCAATTCTTAGAAATGTTAAGACATTTACCAAAGATCAAAGAGTTAGTAACAGCACAGGGTGGATTTGAAACTTCATCTTTTCCCTCCATAGCACAAGTTCTTAGCCACTGTACATGTAATTACCAATATATGTAGGTTGAAATGTACAATTTTACAACGTGCTTTCTACTTGTTTTTTTTAACTTTCTGTTCTTCCCTTCTTTTGGATTCCGTAAATAACTTTTCACTCTTTTTTTTTCCATTGTATTAGTTTGACAGTTATACGTTCTCTACCTATATGCTCTGGTTAACTTTGAACAAAAAAATGCATCCATCCTTTATGACATATAACCTAACTGTAACCAATAAACTTTACACTCCTCCTAGGCAATGCACCATTCTTAGAGCACTGTAAATTTTAAGTATCTTTATCTACCCATCAATCTATCAAATACCCATATTATGATAAGAAATATTAGTGCATGTATGTGTATATGTTTGTGTGTTTGTGCATATATATATACACACACATATATATACACATACACATGCACACAATAATAATAAATAACACTTAGTAGTTACCATGTGTGTATATATATATACACAGAGAGAGAGAGAGAGATTAATGTCTTGGCCCTTGGCTTCCAGATATAGAGCTTCTAAAACTCTTGTAGATGGGGGCAATAGGATAATCTTTTGTTCTAATATTTGGTTTTTGATCCCAGTTATTGACACAGCTCTTAAGATCTCTGTAATTTTCTGAATGATAGGAACACCTGATACAGAACTCCTAAATCCTTTGATATATCCTGGGTGATTGAAGCATCTTTTGTTCTAATGAGGCAACTCCTTGATAGCCTCTGGATGGAGGCTAGTTGCCCAGGAAACAACTGGCTTGCAAGGGTTTAAACTTTCATCTGCCATGACCGTCGGTGAGGAAAGAGAGGCTTAAGGTTGAGTTGACCACTAATGGCCAGTGATGCAATCAATTATGCCAACATAATGAAGCCTCCATAAAAACTCTTAAGCACGCAGTCCCAGAGCTTCCAGTTTGCTGAGCACCTGGAGGTGTCATGAGGCTCCATGCCCCTTTTTGTATACTTACCCTATGCATTTCTTCCATCTGGCTATTCATCTGTATCCTTTGTAATATCTTTTATAATAAATCTATAAATGTAAGTAAAGTGTTTCACTTAGTCTGTGAGCTACCTTAGCAAATTAATCAAACCTGATGAGGGGCTTGCGGAAACTCCAATTTATAGCTGGTTAGTTGGACATGTAGGTGAAAATCTACTATTTGCCTTTGACGTCTGAAGTTGGAGCCTGGGGCAGTTTTGTGGGACTAAACTCTTAACCTGTGAGACCTGACACTGTCTCCAGGTAGGTAGTTCCAGAATTGAATTGAATTATGGAATACCCAGCTTCTGTCTGCCAGAGAATTAGTTTTTGGTGGGTGGGGAGAAATTCCCTCACATTTTGGTGACCAGAGGTGTAGTGTTCTGTTGAATGTGTCAGAGTAGGAAAAACACATTTCTTCCCACTTCTTAAACACACACACACACACATTTTTACACTCAATTATTTTGATGATTTGCTGAATTCTTTGACACAAGTCTTATCAAATATGTCATCTGGAATTTTTTTCCTCCATACCATTTGTCCTATCTAGGTTTTTTAAGGGTATTTGGAGGAGTTAAATAAGATAATTCTGTTGCAATATTTTTAACCACCAAAAATCTATCTTAATTTTTTAAAACATCATTTGCAAATAAATTGCTCAGTCTATCCTTGTATATTTCTTTTCTTTGATTTGTGCCCTTTTTTCTTGCTTATGAATTAAGTTTATGATATTTACGTGGAAAGATTATAGATAATATTATTTTGTTTTGTTTTGTATTGTATTTTAAGTAGGTCCATTAAATGATGGATTGAACATTTATAAGAGCCATAATTTACAAAATGGCTTGAACTTATCTCCTAGTTATTACTCCTGAGTTTTAAGAATGATAGTCACATTGTACGTAACATCAAGAAAGAGAACAGTATATCATTTGAAAGCTTCAGGGAACCTATAGTAGCTTTGTACATATGTCAAAAAATTGTATGAAGAAAGTGATTCCATTACTCTTAGCTTCACATGTCAATACTCCGAATGATGTCTGTATTCTCCTAATCTGTCCCCTGTCTCTGACCAGTCTTACCTCATGGGAGTATGAATGTTTAAGTGCAAAATTCTTCCAAATTATTGAATAGATTAACAAAGTCTAGAAAATTATACCACATGTTTATATATTCATCCAGACCTCTTTCAATAACTTATATGACATCTTCTTCTGGATCAATCATAGTTTGAACTTGTTCAAACTATGTGTAAAAACAAACTCATAATTCTTTCTAAATGTATCTCTATTAGAAAATATACTGCCGTCTATTCTGTCATGCAAGCCAGAAACTTTAATACCCTCGTTCCTCTCACTCCCCTTTATACAATCTGCCACCAAGTCTTGACAATTTTACCTTCTAATACTTTCATATTTGTCCACTTACCTCTAATTCCACCACAACCTTATAATCCAAACTTCCTTTTTTTTTTTTTCTAGCTAGTACTGTAAGACTGAAGTTCTAACCAATCTCTGAACATTTACTTTTGGTTCCCTGCAAACTGTTTTATTCACAGTGCCAAGGAGAAACATACACATGCACACAGTAATAATAATAAATAACACTTACTTAGTATTTACCATGGGTCAGGTGCTCTTCAAGGGACTTTACATATTTCAACTCATTTAATCCTCACGGTATGGTAGATGCCATTACCTGTCTCCATTTTACAGATAAGAGAACACTGAGGCATACATAATTTAAAGGTTCTGCCCAGGATATGAAGCCAGTAAGTGGCAAAGCTGGGATTTGAACTCAGCAACTTTAGCTTCAATGTTAGTGTTCTTTACCACTGCATGATGTTACTCTACAATGAAAATAATCCCTTATGATTTAAAACTCTTCAGTGACTTTCAAATTATTCCTAAGGACTAGAATCTTTAAATTCGGCGTGGAATATTCTTCCCTTCTACCTTGTGCTGCTAAGTACTTTTAGTCTTTTATATGTTTCCTTAATCATTATTTCTTTAGGGAATCCTTCTCTCAAATCACTATTATTAATTCCTTCGCAGCATGCAGCTGTCTGTTAATATTTATCACATATGAAATTGTACATATTTTTTGTGATTTTCAGTTAATTTGTGTCTCACTGTAGAATAAACCATAAACAATATTATTTCATCTGTGTGTAATACAGTCATATATATGGTACTCAAGAAATATTTAAAGAAGGAGGGAAGGTAGAAAATTCTTAGAGTTGAAAAGTTCTTGGAGAAACATACCATGACAATGTTATTTCCACATAGGACTCCATTTTATACTCTGCCTCTTGAATTACCACTTATTCACTGTTTGAAGTCCAGAGGTGGGTAACTCTACCTCAAGAAAAGTTACTTCCATTGCTGGGTGACTTGGAACAATATCAGAAAATTCTTTCTTAACTAGAGCCAAAATATGACTTCTTATCAATTTTAACCATATGTTCTACTCTTCATTTTGGGGCTTCCTGGCATATGTTTTGTGCCCTTTTCAAATGGCATGTTTTCAAATATTTAAAGTTATGTTCCCCTTCACATATTTTTTCTCAGTCTAATGATATCTGATTACTTCTATTTTTATGACATAATTTTTATAATTTTATTTATGTGCTTTGAGGTCATTTAAAACACTTTTCTTTTTGTTAATGTCAATTGATTTGATTTATTACTTTCAGCCAGCATTTTAAAAACTATGTTCAAAGTTTGTTGATCGGTTCTCCTTTCTCAATCTCAAATAAGTTTTGGTGTAAAAATAAGTAGTAAGTTTTGTATAAGGTTATAGTAAGGATTGGTTCTTCTTCACCCTCAAATAAATTTGGTGTAAAAACGTAGTTGCACATTATATTATTTTCTTGGAAATTTACATTATAAAATAGCATATTACGTTTCTGAGAGGCTTTGAAGTAAACAATTGGACATTTTTAACCTAGTGTTTTACAAATATATATAATCATTTTTCTGTGGAAATATGCCAGATTTGTAGGATTTTAAAGAATACTGTTGGGAAAATGTATATAAAGGCATCCATTGATCTTTATGGAATACAGATTGCTTATAACATATGTTTGTAAAGTCATAAGGCTAATGTAAAGTACACGGTACTTTGTTACTTAATGAAATTCTGTTTTTCTTAATTCACAAAAATCAGAAATATGTCAAGTGATTAGAATAAAAACTTTTTTATGTTTTCTGGAAGAAAAGGAAAATGAAGGTAGGAGTAAACATATTTGAATATATTTATGCCAGAAAAATGAAAATAATTTTTACTATAACACATTTTTATTAAAACATGTTCTTTAATGAAGCTTGCTAATTTCTTTGAAATATTCTGTTTTGTTAGAAAGCATTCAATATTTTTATTTAGAAAATCCAAAAAACACAATCAAATATAAAGAACAATTTGCAGTTTAAGTGGATTTCAAATGTTAAAACACTAAGATTCCACAAGAAATGCATTATAATAAACATAAAATTTAGAACTTATAAGAATGCAGTGGACTATATCTAAAAACAACAGCTACAAGAAATGGTAATGAACTAGAAGTGACTGCTGTTTCATTATTTGATATTAAATAACAAGAATTCTTTAGTGATGAAGTATTTGATTCATTCCATACCCATTCTCAAGCTAAATATCAAACTTGTACCACCAACAGCTACTTAGCAATCTGCAATTGTTTTATTATGATTACAATTAAGAAATATTTTATTTTCTCATTTTCTTCAGGTCGTTATCCTCCTGTTTGATTATTACATTTATACTGTAAATTACGGTATCTGCATAAGTAATTTTAAACATACACAAATGTGTCCTTTTTATTGTATAAGAATGTAATTGTTTTCTTTAGTGTTAATAAGCTATGGAAGAGACCAAAATAAAACTATCTTTGAGTTGATAAACTATCTTAACTCTGTGTCTGTTTTATTAATTAAAAGAAAAGCAAATTAATGCAGGCTGTGATGCATGTAACTGGCAAAAGCATCTTTGAATAGAAAAAATACACTGCACAAATGAAAATGGTGGCCGAGAGCAATGGGGAATATGACTTGTGTCCTAAACCTATTAATGGTAACCACATTTCATGTCAGAAACAGCTCATTAAACTAATTTTAGATTTGGTGAGAATGTGTTTAAATAATGACAGCCTGCAGAAGTCTGAAGCAGGTCATTAAAGCCATTGGAATTGGTGGTTTGATTTCATTTCCATCCAGACGGAGGTAGCGAAGATGAGGTCCATAACTGAAGGAATCTCGTTCTGCAGGCAGCATGGATGGGCTGGGACATATTACAGAGACATTCACACCTACAGTGACAAAGAGAATAGATGAATGAATTGGAACACAAGAGAAACTAACAGTGGGAAGACCAAAAAACTAATGCCATGGTCCTATGGAGGGCTTAGTGGCCTAATATATGAAAATAGTGGTTATACAAAACATTTGTGTCAGTGAGAAATTGTGCCTATCTGTTTCCCCCAAACAAAAGTTCAGCAAACTTAACAGTCATCTCAGTCCATGTTCTGCTACTTAGTATAGAGCACTAGTAAGGAAATACTGTTAAGATCTGTGATAGAAACAAATGTGTATAAGACGTCACTTGTTTTCTAAATTTGCAGGTAAGATAAAGCACATTTAGATTGCTGTAGGTAGGATTTAGGGCATCAGAGGTGGAGACAACAGTTCAGATTTGGGACTGAAAGAATGGGTAAGTACAAGAGTAGATGGATGGATGGATGGATGGATCCTGGATGGGTAAGTAGAAAATCAATCTAATATAAAAGAAAATGCTTGAAAATTACCTTAAAAGATGCAAAATAGTGTGCATAACATGATTTTAAAAGTACAATTAACATAACTTTACATAAGCAATACAGAAAACAATCTTGAATCTTCATCTTCAAATTTATTTAATTGGAAACTAAAATTTTGCTAAGAATTGAATGACAAAGAACTCAAGCCAGAAAATATCCCAGCAGCCTTTTCATATGGTTAGGATGGGAGTAATTGTGCACCTGCCTTGGATCAAAGCCCTTGGCACCAATGACTATGCTGAGATTTAGGAACATACAGGAGAGAAGGCCAGTTAAACTAGCAAAATTCAGGGTACTCTGTAACAGCTGATTTCAACCATGAATCCATATATTACCTTTAAATTCCTTTTCAAAACCATTCCAAACAAGAGATCTTCCCTGATTAGACCCACTGAACTTGGGCAATGCCCCTCCTCTGTGGCCTATTGTTTTATATAGATTCATATTGTAGTGAATAATTTTATGTTTCCAGCAAGGTTGCTTTGCTTTGAATTTATGCCATTTTGTAAACTGAATTTAATAAAAATAATGACTCATTTGAATAGCAGTTTAGTTGTTATAAAATCAGGTTCTCTTTTTTTACATACATCCAAGTATCACCTGATCATCTCACAGGCTTTATCAGCCAATATTATTATTCTACATACCTGGGCATTTTGTGGGAATTCTGGTTCAGAGAAATAAGGAAATGCACACAACTTATTTCAGAAAGTAAGTGGCAGAGCTGAGACCTGGCCGATTCTTTCTAATTCTACAATGTGTCTCTTGCCCAAAAGAATATGTCCCTTTCGATGTGCAATCCCCTTATCCTCATCAAGCTCATGTCCCATAATCAATGTATGTCTGAATAAATGAATATAAAAAAGAAGTATTCTAAATTTAATTACATTTTCATAAATTACAGTGTTTCTCAGGGAACACCAGAAAGTAATGTAGTTGAGTAAATAACATTTTTACCTAATCTTAAATCCCTGAAAGTTTTCAGAAAAATAAATATTTCCATCATATTGCTTAAGACAAGTTCACTGTCTCATAAATTTTGATGTCTTTTCATAGAGGAGATATGTTTCTTAGAGACCACTTTGTTACAACTAGAGTAGATGATGTGGCTAGAAGAAGCAAGTACTTAAACAGTTTTGACACAGTGTGATATTATTATATCAATATTCTCTCCAGGGAAACTCTTATATTTATTTTCTTAAATATTGAAATGACAAAATTTGATATCTACATTAAAAAGTAAATAACTAGATTTCTCTTTGTTGCTTTTCTACTGATAGAATTTTTTAAAAATTTGTATTCATGACAATGAAGGAAAGTATTGTTATTATACTGTATGAGTGAAAAAAACACTTCAGACTCAGGTTCTGGCTATTGCATTTACCCTTTGTCCTTGGGCAAATATCCTCCCCTAGCTGATCTTCAGTTTCTCTCTTTCAGAAATTCCTAATAATATCACACAAGTTTCTCGCAAGGATTAAATAGTAGTTCTCAAATCGTGAGCCAGCAACATCAATACTATTAATACCTGGGGAGTAAACTGTGAGGCCCAACCTCTGACCCAGCAAGTCAGAAATTCTGGGGGTAGGAAACAGCAACCTGGGTTTATAAGATCTCCAGGTGATTCTGATGCACACTCAGATTTGAGAACGATAGAAAATTAGAAACCTATGAGAAAACACTTTGATAAAACTCTAAAATGTGGGTCTATACTACACACATAATACTCCATAAGCTAAAGTCTTATACTTCTCAACTGTGTTTTAAATACTGCTGCCTCACTCCTAAACACCCTAATTCACAAATGCTCAGGATGAAATGCATAATTTGTAAGCAAGGGCTCTATGTGGAGTCACTTGAAGTTTACTTCCCACATCAATTGTCCGTGGGGCTTTTAAGGAATGTACCTGTAATATACCTGTAGAAGCACAGAACACTCGTCAGGAAAAATTATGTATTTAGGTCAATATTGTTGTTGTTCTATTTGATTCAGCTAAACAGATTCATCTCTTAACATTTTTTTTCTGTTGCATCTTTTGTTTTTGACTACAGGATTAAACAATACATTTCATCACCATGGAAAAATAACCGCTATGATGGCAGGCTGCCATTTAATTCCTGGATTGTAGACTCAAGTACACTGTTATTTAACTCCCCCCACCAAAAAAACAAAAATTCTTAAATAACTGAGCAGTTCCCAGTGGAAAAATAGTCTGTTCCTATAAATGATATGTTTATGTGATTATTTGCTTAAAAAGCTTTAGTGAGTAATACCCAGGCAGCACAACCTTTTGACAAATTATCTTTGTTATTCTCTTACAAACTATCCTGACTGAATATTACTTTTGGAATGCATTTTCTTAGGTTGTCCTGGAGAAATCTCCCCAGAGTTATTTTTAAAGGGTCTACTCTGAGTTTGAAGATGCATAGATAAATGCCAGGCTAGGTATCGTACCCCTGTGGCTGGACCTATTTTTACACCAAGTCCAGCCTAGTCTCATGCATAATTGTGAAGAAGCCAAGTTTGTCTCTAATGTGTCCAACATCTGCTTTCTATAATCACTTCTTCTCTTGATGATGCCTCTGCCTCCAAAAACTTTGAATTCATCTCTCACTCCCTTATGAAAAGCTCTTTTCAGGAAAGGAGAGAGTATTCTACCTGACGATTGCCTGTAAGTCCCAAGGAGTTGCCAGCTACCAGGGAAATTTCTTTCCATTTTAATTAATAAAGCCTTAAACTATAGTAGTGGTTCTCAATGTGTAGTTCCCAGAACATCAACTGGACGGCTGTTAGAGATGAAAATTCTCAAGTCTCACTCCACATCTACTGAATCAGAAATTCTGGGGGTGGAGTCACCAGCCTTTACACACTTGTTTGAGACTCCCACTGTAATTAGCGGAGTTTAATTAGAGACTCCAATTAGGAGGGTTTCAGGCATCAGCTGTCATATAGTGTTTAGGACAAAGATGCCTTCCTAATGCCTCTTAAATCATATTTTCTTTATTACTAGTCATGAGGTTGTTTGTGCCTGGTATGGTTTCTTAAATAAGCCTACCCAATGGGGCAGAAATATTGGAATCTCCTGGAGTAAAAGAAGATAGAGGCATTCAGTTTCTCTAATGGATAATAGTCCTCTGTAGATGACTCAAGTCCACTTTTTAGTCTTCAGTTTGAAGATTTGGACTTCTTGGTTCATTAAGACTGTCTGCGTATAGACAAAATTTAATACTGAAAATTGAAAACACACTAAAAATCTAAAGGAACATTAGCGGGGGAGGGGGCAACACATTTGCTCTTCTTAATGAAAATAAAGATACATTTAATGACCATGAGCCCTTTAGTCAAAGACATACTCTGCAGGTTACTTACTTTTAATTTTGTTATGATCAAGGTGAAGGTGCTGCAGATGAGCACTGATTCGGGGAACCTTTGTGAGTTGATTGTGCGACAGTTGAAGATCTAGAATTGATGATACATCAAATCCTCTTGATGGGAGACCCTCATCTGACAGTTTGTTGTGATTTAGTCTCAAAAAGGCCACTTTAGGAATCACATTAAAATAATTTTCTGGTATTCCTTCAATGGAATTGTTGTCTAAAAACAACTGCATTGTATTGGCTGGTAATCTTGGAGGCATATTCCTCAGGGCATTCTTGGCCATGTTTAGCTGCATGAGATTCTTGAGTCCTTTAAAAGTGTCTCTTTGAAAGGCATTGTCCACTAATTTGTTGTTCTGTAGGTCAAGAAGGGTCAGGTTCTCCAGATTGCTAAAGGTCCCTTGAGGAATTCTGGACACCTTATTTCTAGCTAATTGTAATTGTTCTAAACTTCTTGGCAATGGAGAAGGTACCTCCTCTAGCTCATTATCTTCCAGAAATAAGAAGAGCAACTTCTTCAGCTGGCTTAGGGCTCCTTTTTCAATTCCGTAGTTGGTTATTTTGTTCTTGTTTAGATTTATCCATCTTAGCTGGGTGGCATTCTCAAATGGCTTTTCAGGAATGGTTTCTATCAGGTTGTTTTGAAGATAAAGATACCAAATTCTTGAAGGAATAGCAGGAATTTCTTTGAGACCTCTATTTTCACAATATAAAGCAGTAGGAAAACTGGGTGGGCAGAAACATTCCATGGGACACTCGAAGTCATGAATAGTCCAATCATCTGAATCATGTACTTCATAGACCTGCCTCACACTTCTAGACCACACAGTGTCTGTTATGAATAACACCCACATGATGAAACAGATTGTGCCTGCCATTATAGCACCTACAGAAAAAGGAACACAACTGTTAGATATTTGAAGATCTTGACCTTTAGATAATTTTATACATCAAAATGATCAGTAAACATTGCTTCTTCAGGGAAGAGGTGAAAATATGTCAACATTTCATACACAGATCTTAATTAATATACATTAGTTAGTAGGCACCATATGCAAAGCATTTTGCAAACATTGAGAATAATTCACCGACTTGTAGCTTTCTGGTTGTAACCCAAACACAATAAAAGCCGAGAAATGGAAAGAAAATTTTAGCAGCTCTAAGTGTTTTTCCATTTCAAGCTATTTAATTTAAAGAACTGAACTGAAACCAGTAGTTGAATATGAGAGTACAAAAAAGTGATCTTTTAAAAACTCAAACTGGGAATCTGTGTTGTTCCTGAGAGGAAAGCATATGCTTTTACTTTTACTCTTAAATGAGCAGAACATCTGGATGAGATTTCCTAGGCCTTTTGGCCCTTGAACCAAAGGAATGAAGGGATCAAAGAACATTTTAGCACTTTATGGTGAAGGAAGGTTCTAGGATCTGAATAAAAATGTAATTAATCTGTTATTCTCTAGCTCAACCTCTCAAGTAAGTTTTTTGAGGGTGGGGGAAGATGTCTATAATTTTAAGCACACAATTAAGTTGTTCAGCCAAGCTATTGAATTATCAATTCTCTCTCTCTCTCCCTTTCTCTCTCTCTCTCTCTCTCAGAGAATATGTATATTCTGTCTCTATATATGTATATATATGTATATATAGAGATAGAGTTTATTATATAGAGTTGAATACATTGTGATGTATAGCACAAGTACATGAGTATTGTATTCAACTATGCCATTATTATGGTTGATAAGAAACAAAAACAACCAAAAACATATTTAGGATACGGGTGGAGAATTTCTTTATATTCATATTATCAGTGTGGATAATGGAAAGTAGGTTAGCGTTTACTAATATTTGATACATTTAAAACACATAAACCCTCCCCACTGATCATCAAAGATTATTGGTACAAATAATTATTTTAACAGGAAATATACATATATATTTTAATAATTTATAGCATACATATGTTACATATATATTTATATATATATATATATATCAGTAACATTCTGACCAATGTACATTTATTGAACTGATTGATAATAGGATGAAATAAATTTTACTGATTCCTTAGGAAAAGATAAAGTCAACTTCATTTATGAAATGCTGATCATTCAATTTTGCCATTAAATTGCAGAAAACAAGTGCAGAACTGCTTCTGCAAGCTGTCAAATTTTCTAGGATTGCAGAACGCTGCTCTGGCCATGTTCCAACAAAGAAACATCATTTTTTTTTTTCTTTTTCAGAATAGGGTTTTGGTTTAGTTATTGAAGTTGTAACCCTGCGTCTGTTGAATAAGTACTTTGCATGCTTAACTTTAAGAGTTTTTAAAAGTGCAAAATAGTTTACCTTGCCTTCCAGGAATACACCGTTGAGTCCTGTGTCTCAGTCTGAGGTTTGCTAAAAATCAGTTAAGAGAAAAAAAAAAACTTTGACGAAAATAATTTGTTTTTACTTTAAGCTGTCAAGTCGTCTATGAGAAACAGTGAAACCTACTCGTCCCAGTCACCATGAACACCTTTGATCTATTGTTTCCACTTTGACAGGGCTTCAGAAGACTGCTTACCTCAGCCTTCTTGGATCTTCTTCTTCCTTTTCTATTGGTCACTGCTTGTACATGGTAATGGATTGACCCAGGCTCCACTGTCGTGTTTTTATGAATCCTCGGTAAAATATATGCACTAGTAGATCCAAATTTAACCCCTCCAACAACCACGGAATCTTAGTGCCTACACAGCCCAGCAAAGGAAATTCTTACTTTAATCCTAATAACTCATAAAAAAATTTCTAGGCAATTTTCATTCCTAATTCACAGTTCAATTCATTAGTATATGTTGTCATGTACTGATATCCAGACCTTATTTACCAATAGGCAGCTGAAGGCAGTTTTAAAGTATAACAAAAAGATATTTTAAAAGATTTTAAAACATTTTCCCTAGATGATCATTTCTTAAAAATTGAATACAAATAATTAAAAGCCAATGTCTTCTGTTTATATGGACATATTTTATCTGTTCCTGATATAAAATAGATGCTGTAATGTGTTTGACTAAGGGAAAAATAAATAAATATATGTATTTGAAAAAATGTAAATGTGATATCTGGAAAGCACTACCTGATTTTGGTGCTAATCTTGGTATTATGCTTTTTTTCAGAGAAATAATTTTTGTATCCCTATTTCCTATTATATTTCTTTTAACAATTTATTCCAAGTACCTGCTAAGGTGGGATAATTTTTTATTCATTATAATATAACACATGTTTTGCATATAGTCCCTTATGAGACATTCTGTTACACTGCTACTTTTTTCTTTAACACATATCTAAAGTAGTGTGTCCTCCACTTCTGATACTTGATGAAAAAAAATTATGCTTCTTGAGAAAAGATGCAAACAAAAAATATTTCATTTAGGTGTTATTATGTGGATTGATTGTTGTTTTGTTTTTCAAAATCTCTCTTATTCTAGCTTCAGTGAATGTTATATGACTCATTTAACAGCTCACATGAGTATTGTCAAAGAGCACCGTGAAGAGGATTAAGCATTGGATTCAGAGGACCTTTTGTGAACCACCTCTTTCCTCTCTCCTAACCATAGGAGGGTAAATTAAAGTTCAGTTTTGTCATCTACAAAATAGTAATGGATTGCTTCACAGAGTTAGGTCTAGTTTGTTATAAACAATTACAGAAATAATAGCCTTATTTGGAATTAGCCCTACACTCTCAACTGGAAAATGCATTTATATTAAAGGGTTTTTATAGATTGAGATCCTATTTTGACATGATTTTTTACTAGTCCTATAGGTATGTAGGTGTACTCACATCACATTTTAAGAAGACAACCAAGTGTTACTTGCTTTCTCACAACAATTGTCTCCTCTCTCTGTTGCATTTCTCCCTCTCCTTTTCCTAAACCCTCAGGATTTAAACAACAGATGATCTTCAAATCTGCATGGCCCTCTTCCAGCTATTGTCTTACTGTTGATTTTTTTAGCCAAACTGATTTTAGTCTTTTTATAATTTTCTTATACAAATGTTGCTACATGTTCATTGTAGGAAAATTAGAGTAGTATACTGGCTGCCTCCAATCTATTTCCTCTTCACCATTCCACTCATGATCTGCCAACCAAAATATGACTTCTAATTCTGCTTCCCTAAAATGGTTCTGACAGAAAATCAGCAATGATCCTCACATTTACTAATCTGTTGAAGTCTTTTAGTGTTAAGCATACTTGGCCTTTGACAATACTGACCCACCCCCTTTTATTAAATGTTCGTCTTAGTTGTTCTGACATTACTCTTTCCTAGTTTTTCCTCCCATTTTCTGGTGACTTCTCTCTGTCTATATCCCAAAGCTCTATTTCCTCTTTATAACATTATTTAAGAGCATTTCTAGCATTTGGAACCCTTTGAGATTCTGTCCTCTGCTTTGTGCTCTTCTTGCTCTATACACATTTCCTGCATGATTCTATGGTTCCAACCATCTCCTCCATCATGGTAACTCCTGAGTCTGTATCTGCAACCCAGCTTCTAGAAGACCTGCTTTCCAATGTGTGTGTATATCTGCTTTCTAGACATCTCCTGTTGCATGTCTCAAGGGCATATATGTAAAACGAAATTCTCTGTCTCCTTTTACTTCTAACTGCTCCTGTCATTTTATACTTTTGAGACTTTTGTCACATTCAGTCTCCCAAACCACAAATCTGGAAATCATTCTTAACTCTTCTCTCTCATTCTGTGCGCATATGATAATAATCACATTTTAAGGACTTTGGGAGACATGACACAAATAAAAATGATCATCTACAATGCTTGCCGAGTTTTAATATCATTGTTTCCAGACTAAAAACATAGAATTGTTTCCACTGTCAGGGTAATCACTATCTGTGTCTCGATTTTTCCTGTAACATTCTAATCTACTTTTCTTCGATTATTGATTCTTGAAGAGTGGGTACTTTAACTCTTCTCTGGAACTGTTTAAGTTGAATAAATTTCAGAAGTTAGTAAGAATGTCTGAGTCATATGAACTGATATAAAAATTAATAAAAGACTCTGACTAGTCCTATCTGATATTTCAAAAAGGTAGAAAGGAATCCTAAAGTTTAATAAGGTGGCTATGGCACAATCTATCTAGTGACAATTTGATATTTTAAATGTCTATGAGGCTTTGCACATAGCAAGTAGTCAACACATGTTTACTGAAGGAATAAATGAGCAAATAAACATATAAGGCACTTGTATCACTTTTATAGCCATGAGTTTTTGATCAGCATAATTGTGTAAGTAGGAACATAATGGAAAGCCTTAGATTTTGATATTTTAAAAATGTGAGTTTGAATTTTCCTTTGGCAACTTAGTAGTTGCTTGGCCTTGCATAGGCCATTTAACTATCATGAGCCTAAGTCTCCCGATAATGTATTTTCCCTGAGAAGTGCTCGAGGTCATCTTAAGATCAAATGAGATAATGAAGGTGAACATGTTGGATAAGTATAGACAATTTTCATAGTGAAAAATTCAAAGTTCAAGGGGATCTTACAAATCATTTCTGCAAACTTTGCTTTCACATATGAGGAAATGATGCCAGAAATTTATTTCAGAAGAGAATGTGATAGTCGATAATTTTGCCTTCCAGACATAAATCCTTTCAGAAATTTGATAGGAAATAAAGCTGTTGTTGTTGTATTTTTTGTAACTTCCCTCCTTTTTTTTTTTAGCATTTTTTGTTTTAAATTTACTTATATTGCTTCTACTTCTTCCTACTAAAAAGGAAGATACTTTGCTAAACTGTCTTTCACTAAGGAATTTAGCTTGTCACATTCTTGAAGACTATTGACATTTAGAAAAGAAGACAATGCATGAGTGGATAAAAGACATGAAATTTCAAATTTGCTGGCACTTGTATCTGACACATCTGTTTTCAGCGATGGTTGGATGGACTCCTTAGGTGCTCCTGGGAGCTTTGTTTATTTAGAATTGATTGAACTTTTGCTAAGAAAAAGAATTTTCTCTTAATAAATCAATTTCAGCTTTGTTTGACTAAACTTTGTTATATAATTTTTTAAATATAAAAGGAATCCACTAAAATATATATCTAACACACATATACACACACATATATATAAAATCTTAAAATGTCAAAGTAAGACATTTAAAATAGTGTAATGATAATTTAAAAAGTCAAGACTACCACAAAACTCATAATGAAGGTAATAATTACCAACCCCACCCATTTCAGTGTAAGCCCTGCTCCCAAGAGGCCATTATTTTTAACTTTATTCGAAAGCTTTTTTTTAGTATTTGCTTTAATATTCCAGCTTATGTTATTTTTTAATTTGTCAATTTAACCTTTTTAATTAAGTTAACATTTAACATGCTTGCTCAGTCCCATATATGCATATCACAAGCTTTTATTAAATGAATATTTAGTGCATACTTTTTTATACAATATAAACATTGTCTACTACTAAAACATTGCAAAAGTACTATAGATTCTTTATTGTAGCACATTTATTTGCTTTCTCTCTGTATATGTAACTGTACATAATACATTACATATACAAATATTTCATTCATATTTTCCAAAATCTCAAACAGAATTGTAAAATCATTTGAAAAAATTGTTTCCACTCAGTGAATAGAGGCAAATGGCATGGTGCTTAAAGCCACACCTGCTTGGGTTTGAATACATCTCTGCTATTTAGTGGCTGTGAGATCTTAGACAATTATATTTCTAGTTTTCTCTGCCTTAGTCTCCTCATCTTTAAATTAACAATAATAATAACAATGATACTAATATGTACCTCATAAAGTTGTGGTGAAGATTAAATGAGTCAATATTTTGAAACGACTTAGAACATTTTACAATTGTTGATTAAAAAAAACAGACATATTAGATTCATTTTTTTCTCCTGGGAGATAGTATTTCTCCTGAGATGTCATAACTTCCTACTTCAAGGCAATTTCCTTGCTGTTAGAAAGCAACCTAAGCTAATTTGGTAGATCACAGTTATTAGGTTCTTTATGTGACATTTCAGTTGCCTTATAGTTATCAAAGGCTATAAGAATCCTCTCTTACAACGTACGTGGAGGTGTTTTGATAAAAGTAAGTGCAACTCAATTGTATCTAATATAGTAGACATTTACTTGCAGCAGGCATTAAAAGAATTCATGTAGTAGGTCTTCATTATAAGTTTTCTTCCAATGTTAAGTAAGCTTCCCTAAGGTATAAATTAAAATTAACACAAAAATAAATCACACTGTTTCTCTTGAATTACTGCCTTTTAAAGTGAATGTATGGATATTATAAACCTCGCTTTCTGGGTCTGTCAGCGACGGTTATGGTCCTGGACTTCCCTTCACCCAGCTTCTCTGTCGGATTCCTTGTTGCTTCCACCATCTTGTGTTTTCTTGGTTAACACCACAATATTGGCAGAGTCTATCCTCTAATCGCTTCACTTCCTGTTACCTGGGATATGTTTTTGCCTTTTTTTTTTTTTTTTTTAAATTCACGTTTTAAAATGTGTTTATTCAGCCTACCCTCCTACCTGGTATTTTAACTAAATAGAATTTTAATTTAAAATAGTGTTCCTTCAAAAGTTTGACGATATTCGAAGAAGCAATTGTCTTGGAACTTTTCGAGTTGAGACTGAAAACGTTGATAAAATGATGGCCTGAGTCTTCAGAATGTGACCCCTTTCCCTCTCTGAAAACCCTTAGGATTTTTTTTTCAATCTTCACTTTCTGTAATTTTATAATAGTGTGTTTTGAAAGGGTGTATTTTACTCACTCATGGGGCATTCAAAAATTCTTCCAACCTGGAAGTTCATGTTCATATAGTCTATCAATTTTTTTATATTCTCTTTTTTTAAGGCTTAAAATAAATCTGATTAGATTGTCTAATTCTATCTAGTCTTTTCTAATTCCCTTCTCAAAATTGTTTATGATTTCTGACAGATTTCATCTTCTGGTTTTTAAAATTTTCTATATCGTATACATTTACTCTTAGTATACATCAACTTGTTCTCTGATCTTTTTTACTAAAGCATTCTTTTGTTTCATGTAATTACTATCTCTATTATCTCACTTAGGATTTTAACTAAAGAGTTTTGCTGGCAGTGCGAGGTTTTTGTCTTCTTGCAATAATTTTGTTTTCTTTGACTTTTTTCTTGGTTTTACTTAACCTCCAGAGATATTTTATATTAGAGTCTTTCCTCATATGTCTGTTAGTGCTTTGCTGAACATAGATTCATATTTAAAAAGAAAGTCCTTATTAAAATATCTGTGAGAATTGATAGCACCAATCAGCTTTACTCTAGAATGAGTAGGTATGGACTTTGCTATTTTATTGGGGCAAACCAATCCCCAACTCAATATCTATATGTCTTTTTCTTTGTGACTATTCAGTTTCTCCAGAAAAATGTTCTTCTCTCTCTCTACATGCATACACACACAGACACACACAAAATGTATATACATGCTTATTTACATACACACATATATTATGCAATTGTACACACATATATGCATGTGGGGGTCTGCATATACTGAATATAAGTTGACAAAGAAATGTCAATATTTTGCCTTTCACTGCACTTTGTATCACTATGATTTTTTATTAATACTGGTAATAAGAAATTTTTCTGTCATTATGAATAAATAGTAAATAACCTTCTGTTTACAGCTTACTCTTTGTGTCTAAACCATCCTGAGGCTATGCTGATTCCAAAACTAATATTAAACTAGTTATAAACTCTGCCACTTCTAAGCTAGTTATATTTTGATTCAACTGGCATATTTATAACTCTTTTGTGCCAGTTGCTCCAGGACTCCACAGGAAGGCTTTCACTAGCTAATTAAACAATAAAAATAAATACAGCCTTGTGATTTTGGGGAGAGCTCTGTTACCAGCTACCCAGATCACTCTTATCTAGAATCATTTTCTTCCTGCTTCTCAAATTCTCTCCATTTCTACCAAGTTAGCCTTAGAACCATTGGCCTTCAGGAGATATTACCACAGGAGGCTAGCAGCTTAGACGCCAATCAGTTTACAGCTCATCTCCAAAACACTTCAGATGAGCTCTCATACAAGACACAATGTCTTCAGAATGCTGAAAAAAAATACTGTTAGATTCATAATATCTCCAATAATGTTGAGATTTCACTGAATCCCAAATGTATTCTTGTATATCCTTATCCTTGTTATCCTTAACATCTTAACATCTTACAAAACTGCCCTTCCAGGCCATCCAAAATCAGAGCTATATTTTTGCAATCAGTTCCTGCGTATTATATCTTGTCAACTATCATCAGATGGTATTTATACTCTTTCAAGTTATAGAGAAAACCTCTATGAGGTCATAAGTGTGATTTACCAGAAAGGCAGCAGTGCCATAGGACTAGAATCCGTTTGGTCTCATTTCCATTTATATCATGTACTTGCTGAATCAGCACTGCTGGGCAATTCAGATTAGGCTAGATAGACCAGACAATACTGAGTTTATGGGCAGTTAACATCAAATTATTGTTCAGTCTCCCCTAAGGTCCGAAAAGGATAATAATTACTTACTAAAGATAGCATGCTTTTATTTTGGAAAGCTGGAGGTTGAATCCTCCTATTAAGGCTCACCACTGGCTGCATCTAGCTGCCATATATTCTTTGAATATCGTTTAATCAGATGAGTGATAACCAGTGAAATCACTGTGACCACATCTCTCTGGAGAACCACTTCTTGCCATGGGACAAACTGAAAGCTTATACTTTCTCAGTAGTGGATTCGCATGTGGTTGTATGTGGCCTCCACAATTCAAAGAGACTATGTTTCTAGTGGTAATGGATGTAGGGTTCAACAAAATGTCTCCACTGTGAAGGGATATCTCAACTTGTCCTAGACCCTAAACCTCTATAATAAATCAATGAGTTGGCCACTTACAGCCTTCTATTTTATTTATCTCCAACATTTCTGACATTCAAGTGAATGTCAGAAAGTATCTAGCTAATACAGTTTACCCTCTTGATTGTATCACACGATGTCCTGTAAGACAGTATTTCTGCAGACTAAAATATGGCACAAAGTCAAGGAATTAACACAATCCAGGAATAGTATAGCAAAATTGTATTGCTGTTCTTGTCTGGTAAAAGAAAGCATACTGCTTCTGGTCATTTTGTTTATTGGAATAGAAGGAACAGACATTCCTCAGATCATTTGCTTCATACAAGGCACTAAGAGCTGTAATGATTTAGACTACATATGGCACAGCAGTTGCAACAGGAGTTGCCATGTAATTAAACTTCGGAAAATTCATTTTTATCCTCTAAGACTATTTGTCCGCTGTACTGCCAGGCACTAGTTTAAATGGAAATCTGCTGGGAATCATTAATTCTGCACTTTTAAGTCTTTGAAGGTGGCACTGATATGTCTATTTTTTTACTGACATGACCTTGCTATTAATCCAATATTTTTATAGAAGTGAGGAGCTCTGAAATATTTGAGTTTTTTTTCAATCAGAATGGGTCCTTCATTTATGGCTTACAGAGACAGTATGAGAAATCTATCACTTTCAAAGCTCATTAATTTTAATTATACATACAATTACTTGGGAAATATAAATATGAAAAGGGTATAACCTAGAACAAGATAAATTATTCACTTGTCCCATCTTAACACCAAACAACCCTTATAAAGTGGCTGATGACCCCAGGAATTAGTTTTGCCTCAAAGCCATATTTTCCTCTTCAGGGACTAGGTTTAAAAATATATATAGTAGCAAACACTTGTGATATCATTACAAAATACATATTTAAGAAAAAATGCTCTATCCTTAATTCTGGCATTTCTAGGTCCATGATTTGACTGAGGTTTAAAAATTCAATGAAGGGCAGAAAGTCTGCCTCATATATTGTAATGACTCAATTCAGGGCTCTGATGAGTGGTTCTGGAGTTTTACAAATCAAATAACAAGATGGCGAATTTCACTTCTTCATTGCTAGAAATCTAATTTGCAATTGGCCATTATTAAGTTCTCTTTGTGACGGGTGATTCTGATTTCATGCTGATCCTAATACCTATAAATAAAAAATATAGTTACTTTGCTCATTGGCAGTCAAGTGACACTACTTGATCTCTTCCACTCCAGCTTTGCTCTTCTTCACTAAAGGGGATCAATTTTCATGACTCTGCCTTCTACCTACACTATGGTCTGAATTTTTGTGTCCCTTGGAAATTCATATGTTGAAATGTTAACCCCCAAACTGATGTTACTATGAGGTGGGGCCTTTGGGAGGTACTTAGGGCCTGACAACAGATAAATTGGATTAGACCCTCATAAAAGAGGCCTGAGAGATCCCCCATCTCTTCCGCCATGTGAGGACATGGCAAGAAACCACCGACTATAAATAACAAAGAAGCTCCTGTCTGACACTAAATCTGTCAGCACCTTTACTTTGGACTTTTCAGCCTCCAGAGCTACAAAGAAAATACATTTAAATGGTTTATAAGTCACCCTGTGTATAGTACTTTGTCATAGCATCTCAAATGAACTAAGACAACCAGCAACCCATGGACATCACTAAAATCTTTTAAAAGATGCTGGTACTCCCATCCCTAATATCGGTCTCAATGCTTGGTGAAAGTATAATAAATCCACTACAAAATTTCATTTTGAGAAAGTTCTGATTTTGTGCCTTTATAATCTACCAAAGGATCAACTTCATTTAATGTAAGATTCCATTGAGTTCCATTTTGTGATAAGTGGTCCACGAAACTATCAGACTCCCACCTACTTAAACTAGTATAATAAATCCAGAACCTCTAATATAATAAATCCGGAACCAGAACCTATAAGTATGCTCTTATAACTAAAGCTAGTCTGCTCTATTTTTATTGCTCTCCCTCCTTTGTTGAGTATCCTAAAGATCTGTCTTTCCTAATGTGTAGCTAGTATAGATTAGAAAATTCTTATAGTTCATTTAGAATAATGTTTTCATCCCTAGATTTTACTTTTTAATTGATACCCTGTTACTACCTCTCATATTGAAGATTAAGGGGATGGGGCATGACAAGAATTATGTTTCCCCTAAAGCGAATGAATGCCTGAGTTGAGGAAACAGTCTCTGAACAAGTAGAAATTGCTTTACAACTCAAGAAGAGTGGGGCTTTTCAGCAAGCAAAGGAGCTTCAGTGAGGATTGGGGAATCCTTGGCACACCAGTGCATCTGAATCTTGTTGTATAATCCCTATTCCATTTCTTGGGAGGGAGGTTCTGTTTCCAGATCAATGCTCTAACTTTTTATAAAGAGACAAGTTGAATAGTGCATTCATTACAATTCAGAATAGGCTTTTTGATTTGAGCTCTCTTCCTGCAATGGGTAAAAATAAAGCCTTTACAGTGTTAAAATAATTTTATAACCCCCTAGATTTATAAAACCCTTAGATAAAGCTCTTCCAGAACTTCCTATCTATCCTTATTTACAAATTCACTGCTACAACCTTATAAAACACTTTGCAATTTTCTGAACTTGAGCTGAGAACACAGGTATCTGAGTTTCCCATTCTCTTTTTTCCAGCTGTTCCATGGGCCTTTAAGCAGCTACTCTACCTATTAATTATTTCATGCCCTTCACCTTTTTCTGTGACCATAGATACATTGTTCCTCAAAGCCTTACCTTTAGGAGTTGTGTCTTTCAGGTAACTATATGTTTCAATTTTATGAATCACTGTCTTCCAGACTTTCACTCCCAAATAATTTCAGGGTTTTAACCATCTTTTACCTAAGCTATGCAGATAGCCAATGTTGAAGTCCCTACATTGGCCAACAATCTGATGTATTAGGCTATTCTTGTATTGCTATAAAGAAATACCTGGAAAACGGTAATTTATAAGAGGTTTAATTGGCTGATGGTTCTGAAGGTTGAAGGTGAATCAGAATCTTGCACATCACATGGCAAAAGAAGGAACAAGAGAGAGAGGTGGTGGGAAGAGGTGCCACACACTTAAAACAACCAGATCTCACAAGAAATCACTATCATAAACACAGCACTAAGTCATGAGGGATCCTCCCCCATGATCTAATCACCTCCCACCAGACCCCACCTTCAACATAGGAGATTACAGTTTAAACTGAGGTTTCCTGGGGACACAGATTCAAATCATATCAGATGTCAATAACCAATTTCTGTTAATGATATCCTTGTTAAACAGGCTTCTAGAATATAAACACCAGAGGGTAACTCAATGTTTTCAGCAAAAAATGAATTTCTTTGAAGGAGATACGTGGAATTGAATAAGTGAAAGTCTTTCCAAATACAGTCTTTCCAGATACAGTCTTTCTTTCCAAATGAAAGTCTTTCCAACTACAGTCTTCTGGCTGGAAGACTGTAGTTGGAAAGCAGGCAGATGACAAAGAGGCTCTTGACAAAGAGAGATAATCTGACCAGGCAGTCAGTCATCACTACTAAACATAACTGAGACTAGAAGCTCCCACTGACACAGTCTTCACTGGCGGCTACTTCAAATGAATCCTAAACCAAAAACAAGCATCTGCCACAAGGTTTCACCCTGGATTTACAGGGATAAAGACAGAAGAAATACTTGTGGGCTACTGAGTCCCAATAAGACTACAAGCCAGGTCGGTTCAGTATGCATAGGAAGAGTCTGAAGTTGAGACAGGTAAAGAAGTGATTGTCTTCTACCCAGAAATATATAAAGACCTGATTAAAAATAATAATAATAAACTAGGCTTCTTTTTTTGTGCACAGGAATCTTCCCCTTGTTTGCCCCTCCAGGACTCTTTCCTACCCACAACTACAGGTCTCCTGCTGCAACCTTATCAAATTTTGTGCAGTTTTCTGAATTTACTGGTATGTCCTCAGCCCCAAGCCTTGGCTGCAATGAAATTTCTGCCAGAAATGATCTTACCACACATCTGTCCACAAAACACATATTTGATATAGCAATACTGTCGCCATGAAGGTTTCCAATATTTTCTGTCCCCCACTTATAGAACTAAGCACATACTTCTTTCAGAAACTACTGTAGACTAAAATAATTCCAACTAAAACAATTTGCAGTTCTTTCCACGTATATCTCCTAGATTGCAAGTTGCTTAAAGCCAGGCATTTTTTTTTTTCAATGACTAGCACTGTGCTGCCCTGTCATAGGTGCTTATGTAATGAGGAAGAAGAATTAAATTTGGTAATAACACGTAGCCCTAGTCAACCTTTACATTCCCCCAACAAAATAAGCTACGTGTCCTCTTGAATTTTAAGTATCTAGTTTCTAACTTTTTCCTCTATTGTGAGAATTGGATATAAAAAATAAAATTATTTAATATTATTAATATTTAGCATATTTATTCTTTATTCCAATAGGAATTTGCAGTTCCACCGATTAAAACTACTCTTTGAAGCTGAATATTCTAATTAATTTCTTCTCTATAATTAGGTTTTCTTTCTTTCTTTTGGCTAAGTATATCTATTTCTTCTTTCTTAAAAATTTTAACACAGACCTCACCTCTGAATAGGGACTTTTTGTATTTACCTCAATAATTTAAAATATATTTGGGCAAAATTGTTTTAAATAAAAATATGATGTACTAGTTTCCTCACTCATGGATAACATAGTTAAAATTTTTTTAAAAGACAGCTAGCTAAAGATACTATACAATTGAATATTAAACACTGACTTCAGCTATACACAGAATTTCAGTGGGAGCTGAAGTCTAAAGGTTAAAGCAGGTATCCAGAATCAGATGGGCAATAAGCTTGTGACCTTGGATAATTCACCTAATCTTCTTCATTAGTAAAATAAGGACAATGATGACACTTACGTCATTGGATCATTTTTAAGATTAGGTATAATTCAACATTTAACACGTTTAGAACATAGGCAATCATCAAAGGTTAGCTTTTATTATTACTACTGTCAGAAGGAATAAGAAAGCAGATTGCTAGGGAAAGAAAAACCTCTAACTGGAGTTGTAATGAGAATTTGTCTCAAGATACATCCATTAAAACATATCTTAATGAAAGCAGGATTTCACATTCATTTAGCCATAACTCAGGCATAGATGATTGTCATAATTTTCCATACAAAGCTCTTCTTCTGTTTTAATGATGTTTTGCATTTTTAACCATTCCTTTTTTATTTTATGCCTCTCCTCATGCACCATACTTTTAGTATATTTAAATACATCTTTTGGTTTATATAGGTTCCTGTAAAATGTTTATTTTTTAAAATATACATAAGCTTGTATATTTTAAATTTATTTAAATATTGTTGTTTATATCTCATTGGTTTTGTTTTCAACCAAAATTTATTTTTATGTTTCAGCCTTGCAATGTGTCCATCTGGTCCATGACCTCTAATTGAGAACCTGATTTTTCATGGAGGTATCTTTGAGAAATAGCTTGAATGTTCTATAATAATTTTCTTTTCAGTTTCTTGTTGGAATAGTCATTCATGTTGCTGGCTAAAGATCACATCCATATTTTCCATATTCATAATTTTGGATAAGATGTGATTTCTTTTTCTATTAAAGGGATACCCTTCTTAATTGAGGCATTAAGAAAGATGTCATCTAAAAAACTATAAAGAAAAAATGTCTGGTGCTGTTGTATTACCACAATAACTAAAGATGCTGAAGAAGTATATAACACAAACCTACTTTTCTTGTGTGTAATTCTTGAATAGAACCAAAAAAGTATGTGTTTGTTATTCTGTGTTTGGTGCCAGTGGATAGTAATGGAGATTCCAGAAACCACTGTGAATTTCATTTGTTGAATCTGAAGAAATAAACTGCACTGATGGTAACACAGCCAAGTTTTCTTCACCCTCTATCTCCTAAATTAGGGAAGCAGAAATAAAGTGATTACAATTATATTGTAAACACCTGAATCTGATGCCTTTTGTTCTGTATACAATTTTTAAAAAGACTTTTGCTAGTAGAAAGAAGGAAAAGTTATCAGCTACTTTTTGTTCACTTAAATTATCTCATTACTAATATTTACTGCTCTTAGGATGAAACTAATTTCTATAATCTTATATACAGTGTAATTTTTTCTGGTGAAAATACAAACAAATTAGTATATAAATGAATAAAAGAATAAAACCAGGAAAAAAGCTGTGTGATTTAGGCATTCAAAAAAAAAAAAAAAACAATTTTCAATACAGGTGCCTATCTGTGTTCAATACTTCAGAAAGTTCAAGGAGAATAACAACCTTGAAATAGTCATTGTCATTGGTCCTTTACTTTGCTTGTAAGTAATTTATCACTTGATGGTAAGTGATGGACTTAAAATTGTTATTTGGCAAAGAAAAACAATGCGAAGGATTATGGTAATTTAAATAGTAAGACATTTGCAGGGATTTTTTTGTTATTTTTTATTATGTGGATAACTGGAGCATTTTTTTTTTTTTTTTTTTTTGACACGGAGTCTTACTCTGTCACCCAGGCTGGAGTGCAGAGGGACCATGTTGGCTCACTGCAACCTCCATCTTCTGGGTTCAAGCAATTCTCCTGCCTCAGCTTCCTGAGTAGCTGGGATTACAGGCGCCCAGTACCACGCCCGGCTAATTTTTTTTATATTTGTAGTAGAGATGGGGTTTCACCATGTTGGCCAGGCTGGTCTCGAACTCCTGATCTCAGGTGATCCACCTGACTCGGCCTCCCAAAGTTCTGGGATTACAGGCATGAGCCACCGCGCCTGGCCTGGAGCATGTTTTTAAACAGGCAAATTTGACAATATTTTAGTTCTACATCAATATGAACTGAAGACAATAATCATTTACAAAAAGTTATGATATACCTTAGTAAGTGCTGTAAAAGGTAGTCATATAGAAGAGATGCTCTACTATAGAGTTCATAAAAATTCAATTAGGTGTCGGGTGCAGTGGCTTACGCCTGTAATCCCAGCACTTTGGGAGGCCGTGACGGGTGGATCACGAGGTCAGGAGATCGAGACCATCCTGGCTAACATGGTGAAACCCCGTCTCTACTAAAAATACAAAAAAATTAGCCGGGCGTGGTGGTGGGCGCCTGTAATCCCAGCTACTCTACTCGGGAGGCTGAGGCAGGAGAATGGCATGAACCCGGGAGGCGGAGCTTGCAGTGAGCCGAGATCACGCAACTGCACTCCAGCCTGGGCGACAGAGCGAGACACCGTCCCCCCCCAAAAAAAAAAAAAAAAAAATTTTCAATTAGGTGTCAAATTACTCCTCCATCCATTTGTCAATTGATTTGATCTCTCAAAAATAATTTATTGTAATAAGCTCAGTCAAATCTCTGTGCCATAATTTGCATTTAAGGCTATGATGAAATAGTTACATGCATTAATACAAACTGTGTGCTAGTATATTAGATGAACTTGGAATAAATCTTATGTGAGACTATTCTTACGTTTTATAACCTCAAAATGTCGCACAATCAAAACTTCCCCCAAATGTAGTTCAAACATTTGGATTTTTTAATACTTAACTTTTATACTATGAAGATTCCATGGAATTTTATCTATCACATCATTTTAACTGTGTCTATTAATTCTGAAGATCTTATTTCTAGAATCCTTAACATTGAAGTCTTTGTGTGTATATGATATTGCTATTACTGAAAATGGGTTTCTCTTACTGAACAAGAAGGAAAAAAACAATATCAAATTAAAATTTTATGCAAGTTTACACTGTAATTCTGTCTAGGGAAACATGATCCACTAGGCGCATGAGATTGCACAGTATCAAATGACCATCTGAAGCTCTTTGAAATATGCTTTGCACAATGAAATCAACCACAACACCTTAACTAAAGGACCGCTACAGAGGGTTTTTAAAAGATGTGTTTTCTTGCTTCCAAAAACCACAAAATACTTTCTTCATATCAGTTGAAATTTTGTAGTGAGCTCAAACATTTTGTTTACAGAGGTCTGTATCCAAAATGACACAGCCTTTATTTATATCTTGTATATTTTCTATTATAGTTGAAGTTATTGTTATATTTGCTTAAAATCTGACTAAAGATTATAAAGTTATAGAAGGAAAATGGAGGGAGGGAAATTGAACAAGAATGCACATTTTATAGAAAAGAATTCTTGTAAAGTAAAGCTGTTGGATTCTAAAGTGATTTGGCCAGGAATATGTACCACTAAGCACTTTTCTCCCTCATGTAGAAAACTGCAGATTTTATTTCAAGTATTTGAAAGTTAGAAAGAACTGGCCACATAATCTACTATACATTTTACAGATTTCTCCAAAGCCAGCAACTTAATTCTAAACATTGTTTTCAGCCAAAGGGCAATAAATATCTTCACTGTTAAATTTATTTTCAACTGCTGAAAATGGCCTTAACCTGTTGGCTTCATAAATTGAAAACTCACTCTCTACACTCATTTCTAGGATTTCTGTTCAACTCTATAAACTTCATGCAAGACTATTTGAATTCTTTGGCTTTTTAAGTCATTTAATAGCCAACTAATTGCATTACCTTTAACATATTCACTCTCTTAATGTTCAAGATAGTGCCCCAAAGTAATTTTTACCATATTCTTTACAAATTTCTGAATTCCTAGAAGACAAGAACAATAATCTAAACTCGGATTTCAAAAACAATGTTTTCTATTAATAATCCCCACAAAAAAATAAAAAGAAGCCAATTTTTAAATGAGGGTTCCTTCTAGAATATTTTAATATCCTTTCACTACCCTTACCTAAGGAATTGTTACAGTTTAGAATCATCCTGACAGCTTGTCAAAATTTCATGTTGCTGAGCCCTAACTTCAGAGGTTCTGACTTAGGCTTGTGAGGGAGCCTAGAAATTTGCACTTTTATCACGGCTCCAGGGTGTTGCAGATTCAAACTGGCCAAGCATAACACTCTGAGCAAATCTGCTCTACATTTTTTACTGAATTATGACTTCTGATCTCAACTATTTTTCCCACTGCTTCTTGGGAGAGCAGATCCTAGGGCAGAAGTATTCAAAACTGTTCTTTCTGCTATATTACAATATGTTAGTCAGGAGTTACTTGAGCTTGAAGTGGAAGGCAGGGCATAGAATTTCACTCTGTCACCTCTGAAATACAGCCTTGTTGTCCTTTAAAATTTAGAACTTTCCATAGCCTATGAGATGAGAGAGAAAAAATAAAGAAACTCCAAGTTTACTCTGCTGCCAATTGGCTGCTATGCCAATGTGAGGACGGTGACGAAAAACCTTTGTCGTTTTCTTGCCATTTTCACCAGATGGACTCTATCGTAACAATCAATTTTTTAGAAAAGCCCCTAAGGGTGGGTGGGGTGAGTCGTAGACAAACTGTCAGCTCCAGTGTTGACAGGATCCTTATTTCTGGGAGTTGCATTTCTCTCTTGGAAAACTTATAACCGCTGTTGCAAAAGCTATTAATTAGCCTTTACTATTAATTCGTTATGCTCATTTATTTGTTAACATGAGTTTATTCCCAGGGCATAGAGAAAGGAAACTTCACTCTTCTCCCAACTGGTCTAACATAACAGATGCCTTAGCACATTTAGCAGACTTGAATTGCAGGTGGAAAACCACTTTGTGTTCCCCAGACCTAGCACATTTTGGCAAAAGTCTTCTGCTCAGTAATCACTTGAATAAATGGGAGATAAACACCACTTCCATAAAACTCATATTCTAAATGGATGAGTAAGAGATGTGTAAACAAACGTAACATAAGGTACAAAGGGGAATGTGGCATGAAGCAGGGGTAAATATAGAGTTCAGATAAAAGAAAAGAAGAAAGAGAGAGAGGAGAGAGAGGGCAGGAAAAGGGAGGGGAGGGAAGGGAAGGTAAAGGAAAAGAAGGGGATGAAAAGAGAAGAAAATCAGGGCAAGAGAAGGTCATTTGATTTTATAATGGGAGACAATAATGACTTTATGGAAAAAGTGGCATGGAAAGTGACCCTAAAGTGTTGGTACAAGGGCCTGGGAACGTGGGAAATATTAAAAGTGATGAGTGGTCAGACTGGGTCTTTAAAGGAGTATAGTTAGAATTATTGCTAATAAACACCTCACTAGATCCTGCATTTGGTTAATCAGTATTTAGTCAAGTAGAGGTTCTCTAGGGCATTGAAAAGGCTTTATTGGGCTGAAGGGAGCAAGAGAGTATTTAAAACAAAACAAAAAAGTTTGCACCAAGCACCTTTAGAGTTTGTTACAAAAGATAAACTTCTCTTATTTCACCTACCTAATCATTTAAGAGACCGAGTGAAAAGTTTTCTTTACTTTCTACTCAGAAACAAAAAAAGCAAGCCAAGTTCGTCTCTAAAAAAAAAATAAAAGATTTTTTAAAAAGTCTTGCAGGTACTACATTTTCCCCCTCTTCTAGGTGTGTTTCAGCTTCTAGGAAAAGAATACATACCTTGGTAAAATTATCTTAAATATCACAACTTATTGATACTATTGTAGTTCCTGTAAGCAGAAAAAAATTGCATAGGTTCTCCCCAAATAAACAAAAAGTGTTGTGTCATTTTCTAGAATTTGTGCACATTTAATTTATGCCAAATAAATTGTATTTATTTTATTTATTTTTATTTTATTTTATTTCTTTTGATGGCGTTTCCTTGCATACTTTTTCAACAATGCAGGAAAACACATGGAATAAGGAATCTGGCCTCTATCAAATTATTTCTGTTTATTGTAGATTTTTAACATTTGTTTTTCCTTTTAAGTTTTCAATTTCCTGTATCCAAGGAGAAAAAGATATTGAATGATGGCCACAACCAAGGGATCATCCTGTCTTTATTCTGTCCTGCATTCCACTCCTCTTCTCCACTCCAGGAATTTGGAGAATAAATGCACAGAAGTCAAGATCATACAAATACACATTTCTGAGACTTTTTTTTCCCCCAGTGTTCCTCAGTAACAATGTTGACCTGCAGAGAAGGCACCCTTTTCCTAGGCTATAGGCGGGCATCAGAGGCTAATAACACTAAAGGCAGCCTTAACTTTTCCCCAAGACCATACCTAAATGTTAATTTTCTATTTTATATTATTACAAAGGTGAAAATGGTGAGCCCTAGACAAAGGTCTGGAAGGGAAAATTTCACCCTGTGCCTTCCCACTGAGTTGTCAACTTATAAGAAGGCAAACTAACAAGCAAATGTAGCTTTTGTGAGAAAGAGAAAGAGAGAGACAGGAGACAGAGAAGACAGATGATGAGGAGAGGAGGGAAGGGAAGTGCAGGGAGGAGAGGAGGAGAAGGAGACGGAGAAGGGAGGGAAAAGTAGGAGAAAGGAAGAGGAGAATGAGAGAGGAGGAGGCTGGAAGGGGAGGATGAGGGGACAGGAGAGGACAGGAGAGGAGAGGAGAGGAGAGGAGAGGAGAAAGAGTTCCTTAAGAGATTAGAAATCCTGAGAGATATAAATAATATCCCAGTACCTTTAGTACCATAAATGTCTACAAATCTAACAAATAACTCCTAAGTGAGTGCCAGAAACTATTCTAGACCCTGAATATATAGCACTGGGAATAACAGACTACAATTTCTGCTTCCATAGGACTTATATTCTATTAGGAGTAATGTAATAATAAGAGAATATAAGTAAGTAAAATGTTTATGTTAGATGGTGACAAGTGCAGGGCAGTGAGATAGGGTGTGAAGGGGTTTAAAATTTAGTTAAAGGAGTCCAATTAGGGGGATATTTTGTAATTATATGAATGAGGCAAATCATCGAATCAATTTAAGTTTTGGGGGAATACTATCAAAATCAACTCTAAACATAGAGGAAGGTTTATTAGGAAGATACCGAGGTCACTTGCATAACTAAGGAAGATAAATCAAAAAAGCAAACATGTAAGAAACAAACAAAAATTAAATAATTAAACAAAAAATGTTCACAGTTGTAGAAGAAACCACCAAAGAGAAATCTGTGGACTTCTACCCCGAGACTTGCTGGATTTAGTTTGCTGCTTTGGAATAGCTTTCATCTCTGTGTCTCTTATGGGGTTTCTATATTTTTAGAAGCGAGAATATTACTGACTCATTTCAGGTCATAAGAAAATCAATTGCAACCAAGAAAGACCTAGAAAGTCTTTTATTGGGGTGAGGAGGTTCTGCAGGGATGAGGTCACTGAAAAAGGGTAAGTAATGTGGACTAGGCCACTGAAATAAGGAAGGATAGAAACCAATTTGTACCTGCAACACTGAGTTAAATATTTCTTCAAAAAAAATGGAGGGGGGAAGAGGGTTATTTTCTGCCTAGGGTGTCCTTCTTGGTATCTCTAAGCAGCCTTCAGGTAGGAAGGATAAACTTACTAGAGTTTGAGCAGACAAGTCTGGAAGCTATATAGAGAGGCAGTAAAAGGGGAGACACCCATGGCAAGTAAAAAGGAAGTCAGGAGTCTAGCACTGTTCTGCAATTGCCTGGGTTACCTCCGTCTCTGTTTCCTGCTTATCAATGGAGAAAGACAGACAATCAAGGTAGCTGGTGATGTCAGTGTCTAACTCTGTAGCCTCAAATACACTAAGGAGCGCAGAATCTTAGAGCCCAAAGGACTGTAGGGTCTAGTCCAATCTTTTTAACTTATGGATACGGAAACCAAAGTTCACAGAGGTAATCAGTCATGAACATAGAGGCAAAAGTGTGACTCTAATACAGTTCCCTTTATTCCTCACTTAATCTTCTTGCCACTCTATGAAATCACCTGCTAAGCCAGGAAACCCTGCTTCATTTTATTTTGTTTCAGAAAATGTGTACTAATGTCTGTGGAACAGTTCATAGTCTTTTGGATGAGATAGAGCTGGGTTTAAGTGTCAGCTGCAAAACTTACCATCTGTGTGAAATTTGACCAATTTAACTCTTCTGAGCCTCAGAATTCTGGTTTGTAAAGTGAAGATGAGATCTATCTCATAAAACTTGTGTGATTATTAAAGGAAATAATCATATGAAGGTTTTGAGGAAAAATGTTAATGGTTGAAAAAACAACTTGTTTGGGTTGTTTGATATAAATTGAATTATTTGTTTTGTCAATATTGTGTATGTTTATTGTCATATCTTATGTAGTCCTTGATAAAGATGAAAGCAAAGATGAAGATGAGGAAAAAGGACAGGAAGAAAAGGAGGAGGAGGAGAAGGGAGAGAAAGAGGAGGAAAAGGAGGAAGAGGAGAATAAGAATAAGAATACAGTGAAGAAGCAGCCATCACCACCAAAACTCACACTTTAGATAAACAATCAAACCTTTAAGCTTTGTTCTCACTCTAAACTTGAGATTGGAAAGGTATGAATGAAAGAGAATTTTTCTATCTTAAGCTAAACATTCTCATCTTCTCAGGAGACCTGGACTCAGGCAACTGGAATTTTCTTATCAGCTCAGCAGGTGCTAAATGGGTTTACTTGGGAAACAAAGAAAGCATTTAACTTCTACATTAAAAGAATTATTTGGAACCTGACAGACTGCTGCCTGATATTTCATCTCTGAAGTAAGAATTAGGTACAGTAAAAAATTCAAGAATGAAAGACTTCTCTGGAGCCGAGTGTAGAATAATCTATCATGGTTACAAATAGCACTGAAGTGTATCTCCAACAGCTTTTTCAAGGTTTCAGTGAAATCTAATTCCACTTGTTTCTTATTTCTGGGGAAAGATAAAGAGACTAGAGATAAAGGCAAACTCAAAATGGTTGTCTTGTTTGAAATTGAGAATATTTCAAAATATATCCGTTGCATAAAGGTAAGATAATGCTCTCAACTTATTTTCTGGCATGTGTTAGTCTTATTTTTAGGTACTTTTCAATGTGATTACCTTTTAGCTTAATAACTCAAATAATGAAATGAGGTTAACAGAAAAAAACACAGTAAGTGTTCTTTTTGATGTGTTTTGTTTTGTTTTGTTTTTTGGAGGGAAAATACAACCAAGAAATAGCTAAAAGAAGGCTAGCAATAGTTCAGAAATATCCGGCCTTACATAAAAATAATATAATGGACTTTGGGGACTGGGTGAGGCAGGAGGGGGAGGAGGCATAATGGGAGGGGGCTGAGGGATAAAAGACTGCACATTCAAAAAAAATTAGGAAAAGAATAAATATTAGGTACCCAGGAATATGTCTAATAAAAAGTGTGTAAGGCTTCTACATAGACAAGTATAAAATATTACTTATAAAATATTACATACACAAATGTAAAATAAGGAAATGTTTAAAAGTCTAAATAAAAAGAAGAATATACCATGAAAAAATAAAAAATAAAAATCTGGCCTTAGCAAGAGCTGAAACATCAGTGAAAATGGTCTTGTATTGGAAGAAAGAGGTAATGTTCAAGAATGTAGTTTTAAGAAACTCTCCTGCAAGACTCTTTAAAGATATATATCTGGAAAATATTTCAAATGGGTATGTAAGTTTCTGAGAGTGTAGCGATTTATTTGTATCTATGACAGTCTTTCCTGTTAAATTTAAAATGTGTATTTACTGGGCAATGGCCCTCACTCAAATGATCTGATTTATGGTATCTAAGCCATGACTAATAAGTCTAGCAAATGGCATTTGATTTCATGTTGTTTGTTTTTTTTTAATTTAAAAAATCCTTTTTAAGCAAGTCTTGGCCAAGAATTTAGGCAGCACCTTGACATTTCAAGAATAGGCATCTGAACACCGCTTCATACATCCCAATAGCCATGAAGTCATAGTTCCTGTGGTTTCCACCTTTGACAAATAAAGGTCATTGTTTTCTCAGGACAATAGAAGTTTAATAATAAACTTAGTATTAAGAGGTTTTTACTCAGGATTCCAAGCCATTAAAAATATGAAATAAAATTTTTATCCCAGATTTTTTCTGGGAAATTGCCAAGGAATAAAAATGGGATGACATATGGAATTTTTATTTGTATTTGTTTTATGCCAATGAGTTGATAAATCTGAAAAGTAACTGCAAAATCTTGGAAAGCTGCCGTCTGACCTAATCTAAGAGAAAATAAGATATGTTCCTATCAACAAAATGCTCAGGTTCCATAAGAATGGGCCAGGTTTTCTGTCTGTGTATTTGTCTGGAAGAGTAAACCTACTCAATAGAATAACACTGGTCAAATGTAATTAGCAAAACAAATGATCTCTTCAGTCCTCCCAATTATCTTCTTACAGCAATATTTAAGACCAAACTGATGTAGAGCAGGAATCTACATGACACCTAAAGGAGAGTGAAATGCCTCATGATCTGGTCATTTCAAGCCAGGGCCCTGTTGGTCTGTGAGGGACTTTAGAACGAAAGGTTCCTTGGGTAGTGCCCAACCCAAATATGTCAGTGTTGTTAAGCATTGGCCGATGAAATAAAACAAGTTACCCAAGATCTTGTTAAGGAACAGAACTAACTCTGGGAAACTGATAAGGACAGTGTACAAGTGGTTGAGAATATAGGTTCTGGACCCTGTCATTACAGAGACCTCCAAATAAAGTCATTCTGAGGTTCTGGGAGTCAGGACTTCAACATATGAATATATGGGGACATAATTCAACTCATAATATGGAGGAAGAGAGGAAGCAAAAAGACTTCGAAAACGTTGAGGTCATTCATGTCAGATTAACTGAAGGTTGCATTGGAAAGGTGCATTAGCCTATTCTCACACTGTTATAAATAACTGTTTGAGACTGGGTAATTTATAAAGAAAAGAGATTTAATTGACTCACAGTTCTGCATGGCTGGGGAGGCCATGGCAAATGGGGAAGCAGGCATGTCTTACATGTGTGATGGAAGTGAAGGGGGAAGAGCCCCTTATAAAACCATCAGATCTCCTGAGAACTCATTCAATACTACAAGAGCAACTTGGAGGAAATCACCCCCATAATCCAATCACTTTCCACCAGGTCTCTCCCTCAACACCTGGGGATTACAATTCAAGATGAGATTGGGTAGGGACACAAAGCCAAACCATATCAGGAGGTAACAGTGGAGATGCGGAGAAATAAATAGATAAACTTGGGATCTATTTTGGTGACACATTCATTAGGAATTGCTAATGAAATGGATGTGAGGTATGAGAGAAAGAGAAGAATCAAGGATGCCTGCTAGTTTTTTGTTTTCAGCAACTATTGAATGCCATGTATTAGCTGTGCAACTCTAGACAAGTTACCTCACCTCTTTCTTCCCAAATCCTTATTTGTAACTTGCTGATAACAGCATATATAAATGCATAGGAATGTTGTGAGAATTAAATTTGCTAATGTATGTATAAAGTAGTAAAATACATATTTGTATTAGGTATTATTTTCTATTGATTTATGATGCATAATATAAATTCATTATTTTTAAAACATATAATAACACTCATGGGTTCAACATTCAATTCAGCAAACAGAACATTGCAAGTAACTTCCATCTGCCTATTTCCTTCTCCTTATGGCATCACCCTGCTGTTCATCCTCATTACGAAAATATTACCTTAATTTAGTGTTTATCATGCTTTTGGTTTTGTTTTCATAATTGTATCCTTAGTAAAGAAAATAAAATTTCTTTCTTTCACATTTTAGGTTCATGAAAGGGGTTTCTATAGTAAAAGACAGATTAACAAGAGAAAAGCATACAAATTTATTGAATATACATTTTACATGAAAAGGGAGTCTTCATTAGGAAATGAAGACCTGAAGAAACAGATAAACCTGTGTATTTTTTTGTGTGTGCTAGGTTTGAGGAAAAGTAGAAAGTACTGGAGATACATTATTAGAGGACAAAAGTGTAGGATCTAATGGTAATAAACTGAGGAAACTTATAAAGGCCTATTTGTTCAGGTTCCTCATGGCATCTGTATGTCTTTAGCTCTTTTCCTTCAGGTATAGGGAGAGCATCTCTTGAATAACTGTCTTATGGCTTACTTCAGGTGAAGATCAGAAAATTCTTCCTGGATTTTATGACCTGCTTCAGGGAAGAAGGGTGACCTTCCTGCTTGTGCTGTTTTCTCAAATGCTAAGGTTCCAAGATGACATATTGTCCCGAACCTCATCATACCTATACTTATGCATAAATAAATATGTCTTAATTTGTTTAATGTTGAACTTTGTAAAAAGTATATCATGGTATTCTCAGGATTGTTTATCCACTCAGTGTTCTATTACCAAGATTCATGCATGTTATTGTGTTTAGTCGCAGTACATTCATTTTTACTGCAGTAAAATATTCCATTGGACAACGCAATTTGTAATCTATTCTATTAATAAACGTTTGGATTATTGGCAGTCTTTTGCCATTTGTAAGGGTGTTTTGTATACATCTCACATCTCCTATTGCCCAAATGCAAAGTTTGTATTGGGTTTATCTTGCTACTCAAAGTGTGGGTTGACAGGCTGCATGGGCATCACCTGGGAGCTTGCTAAAACTATGTAACCTCGGCTCACACCTGAGAGTTTGCAATTTAGCAAGATCCTTGGTCAATTAATATGCACATTAAAGTTTGAGAAGCATTGTAGGAAGGGAATTGCTGGATTATATGATGCATGAACATTAAACTTTCTTGATAATACCTAGGGAGTTGTACCAATTTATACCAGGTAAGATTGTTTACCTGTGTAGTTGTACTAATTTATACCAGATAAAATTGTTTATACCCCCTTCGATCTTTAAATTGCCAGACTTCTTAATTTTTGGTAACTGAATAGGTAAAAATAATATAATTTTGTAGTTGTTCCTTTGCTTTTTTTTAATTTCTAGTGAGTTGAACATCTCTTTATTTCTTTTGGTATGTGTACTTTCTCTTTGTTCATTTTAAAATTAAGATGTTTCCCGTTTCCTATTGGTTTGGATTCTTGTTTTTAATTATCTGTAGGCTATATTTATTGTAACCATAATCTCTTGGTTTATGTCTTTTCATCTGCTTTGTAATATTATTTGATGAATAGAAGGTCTTAATAGTACTGCAGTCAAATTAATTAATCTCTTCCTTGATATTCTATCTTTGTTAAGGAACCATTCCTTGTTCCATATTGGAAATGTAGTCACATATCAATTTTTTCCAAATATTTTAGAGTTTTATTCTTGATATTTTAGTCTTTATGGGGAACAGATTTTGTAAGATAAAGAATCCAAATTCATCTTTTATTTTCTTTTGGATTACCAATTTTTCTAGTTATTTTTATTGACTAGCTCCTATATTCCCCAGTGATGTGCAATGACATGTCTCTGATGATATGCAAATTTCCATATTTGTGTGAATATGGTTATAGATTTTCTATTCTATCCAATTGGTTAACGTTTTTATTCTTTGACAGTATCACTTTGTCTTAATGGCCATAATACTTAATACATACTTAATACATAATAATTAAATCTTATAGTAGGACAAGTTCTCCATAATTTCTCATCAAGAGTGTTTTGGATATTTTTGGCCCATTGCTTTCCATATACATTTTAGAATTAGTTGCAAACCAAGTAACTAACACTGAAAGTCCCTTTTCTTCTTTTATATTTCAATTTTCATGTAGTATCTTCCCAGTCCTTTTTCTTCTTCTATCTTTTAATTTTCATGTAGTGTCTTCCCTGACATACTCCTGCAGGCAAAGGCATCTTGGAAAAATAGTTTGCAAAGTTCCACATCCAACATCACAGAATATAAAGATACAGATTTTAATCTGAGATTCTATAGATAAGTAAATGGCACTTTCATTTATTATTTCTAATAATGCTTTTATAGAGTCCATTGTGTTATGTAGACAATCATAAAATTGGCAACAATTGCAATAATTCTTTTCTTTTAATTCTTTATTTTATTTATTTATTTATTTATTTATTTTTATTATACTTTAAGTTCTAGGGTACATGTGCACAATGTGCAGGTTTGTTACATACCTATACATGTGCCATGTTGGTGTGCTGCACCCATTAACTCATCATTTACAATAGGTATTTCACTTAATGCCATCCCTCCCCTCTCCCCCCACCCCATGACAGGCTCCAGTGTGTGATGTTCCCTGCCCTGTGTCCAACTGTTCTCATTGTTCAATTCCCACCTATGAGTGAGAACATGCGGTGTTTGGTTCATGCAGTCCATTTAGTCATTCACCATGATATCAACAGCAGACTGCATATACACTGGTCCCATGAGACTAATAGAATGTGTATAGAAGCTTAATAAATGGCACTTGATATTAACATTGCAGAACAGGAGGAAAGTACGGAAAATGATTGATATTCAGTAATGATGCTGAGACATTTGGTTTACCATTTGAATATATATATATACACACATAAATAAAAATATGTAACAACTAAATTAATGTAAGTACACTCTATGATGTTCACAAAACAACCAAGTTGTCTAATGACATTTCTCAAAACATATTCCTATCTAAGCAATGCATGAATCTATTTTTCTTTTCAAATTGTGTTGCCAAATTCCACCAATAAACCATTGAATAGAAGTGGTGATAGTGAATATCTTTTCTTTATTTCATATTTTAAGCAAAATAATTCTAATTTAAATTGAATGTATACTGCATTAATTCCCAATGCAATAAGCAGACTTAAGGCTATATATTATACTTGAATTACTACTTTCACAGAATCAAATTAATTTTATATACAATGTTTTTACTATTCTTTTTATCATATTTTTAAAGTCTCTATTCTGATTTCTTCCTTGACCCATAAGTGTTTTTAAATTGTCATATGAATTTCGAAAAATATGTGAACATTCTTTATATTTTTTGGTCATATTCTGGTTTATTTTGTGGATGGAAAATGGGATCTATATACTATCTACTGTTTGAAATTTGTTAAAACAAATTTGGTTTTGTGGCCTAGAATAAAATTCTTACAAATGCTCTATTTGAATTTAACAAGGCTGTAAATTATCTCATTTTTGAATGTAAACTATCTACTAAATGCAGGTTGGAAATTTTGTAGCTCTAACATTTTATATTTTAGCTAATTTTTTTATCTGTTTGAATATTAATAATTTAAAGGTCTGCTTAGAAATGTACCAAAATGCTATTTTTTCTTCCTATAATTATATTATTTTTCTCTATATATTTTAATATTATCTCAGTTGCGAATGTATTTTAAATTATGGTATGTTTTTCTGGCATATTAAACTTTATGTTGTGCCATTATGAAGTTTCTTGTTGCTAATGATGTTTGTTGTCTTAAAGTGTATTTTGTCTGATACGATTAGAGCTGCACCGGACATTTGGCTATTATTTACCCAGTATGTATTTTTTTTCACCCTTTTAAATTTGACTTCTCTCTGTGATCATGACAAATAATGTTTTTCAGCTGATAAATTTGGTTTTATTGTGAATGCTGACATGCTGAGACTCTATTCTATTATCATACCTTTTGATTTCTACTGTCCCATTTTCTTTTTTGTTTCTTCTTTATTGTCTTCAATTTTTTTTCTTCAACTTTTATTTTAAGTTCAGGGGTACTTGTACAGTATTTGCAGGTTTGCTACATGAGTAAATGTGTGCCTTAGTGGTTTGCTACACTGGTCATTCCATCACCTAGGTATTAAGCCCAGCATCCATTAGCTATTCTTCCTGATACTCTCCCTCCCCGGACCCCTACCACCAACAGGCCCCACTGTGTGTTGTTCCCCACCATGTGTCCATGTGTTGTCATCATTCAGCTCCTACTTATAAGTGAGAACATGAGGTGTTTGATTTTCTGTTCCTGTTTTAGTTTGCTGAAGATGATGGCTTCCAACTCTATCCATGTTTCTGCAAAGGACATGATCTCGTTCTTTTTTATAGCTGCATAGTTATCCCTTGCTGTATAAGTACCACATTTTCTTTATCCAGTTTATCACTGATGGGAATTTAGGTTGATTCCATAACTTTTCTACTGTGAACAGTGCTGCAATGAACATACATGTGCATGTATCTTCATACTAGAATAATTTATATTCCTTTGGGTATACGATAGGCAATGGGATTGCTGGGTCAAGTGGTGTTCCTGCCTCTAGGTCTTTGAGGAATCACCACACTGTCTTCTACAATGGCTGAACGAATTTACACTCCCACCAACAGTTTAAAAGCATTCCTTTATCTTCACAACCTCACCAGCATCTGTTGTTTTTTGACTTTTTAATAATAGCAATTCTGACTGGTGTGAGATGACATCTCATTGTGGTTTTGATTTGTATTTTTCTAATGATTATTGATGTTGAGTTTTTTTTCCGTAAGTATGTTGGCCACATATAGGTCTTCTTTCAAGAAGTTCGTGTTCATGTCCTTTGCCCACTTTTTAATGGAGTTATTTTTTTCTTGTAAATTTGTTTCAGTTCCTTATAGGTGCTGAATATTAGACCTTTGTCAGATGATTAGAATGCAAAAAATGTTCTCACATTCTGTAGGTTCTGTTCACTCTGATGATAGTTTCTTTTCTTCTTTTTTTTTTTTTTTTTTTTTTTTTGAGATGAAGTCTTGCTTTGTCACCCAGGCTGGAGTGCAGTGGCATGATATCTGCTCACTGCAACCTCCGCCTCCTGGATTCAAGCGATTCTCCTGCCTCAGCCTCCTGAGTAGCTGGGATTACAGGCACGTGCCACCATGCCTGGCTAATTTTTTGTGTTTTTAGTAGAGGTGGGGTTTCACCATGTTGGCCAGGCTGGTCTTGAACTCTTGACCTCATGGTCCACCCATGTAGGCCTCCCAAAGTGCTGGGATTACAGGCATGAGCCTGTAATTATGGTGTAAGGAAGGGGTCCAGTTTCAATTTTCTGCATATGGCTAGCCAGCTTTCCCAACACAATTTATTAAATAATGAGTCCTTTCCCCATTGCTTTTTTTTTTTTTTTTTAAGGTTTGTTGAAGATCAGATGGTTGTAGGTGTGTGGTCTTATTTCTGAGTTCTCTATTCTGCTTCATTGGTCTATGTGTCTGTTCCTGAACCAGTACCATGCCATTTTGGTTACCGTAACCTTGTGGTTTAGTTTGAAGTAGGGTAGTGTGATGCCACCAGCTTTGTTCTTTTTGCTTATGATTGTCTTGGCTATTTAGGCATTTTTTGGTTTCATATAAATTTTAAAATAGCATTTTTTTCTAATTCTCTGAAAAATATCAATGGTTGTTTAATGGGAATAGTATTGAATCTATAAATGACTTTGGGAAGTATGGCCATTTTCATGAAATTGATTCTTCCTATCCATGAGCATGGAATGTTTTTCCATTTGTGTCCTCTCTGATTTATTTGAGCAGTGGTTTGTAGTTCTCCTTGAAGAGGTCATTCACTTCCTTTGTTAGCTGTATTTCTAGGTGTTTTATTTTGTTTGTAGCAATTATGAATGGGAGTTCATTTATGACTTCGCTTTCTGCTTGCCTGTTGTTGGTGTATAAAAATGCTAGTGATTTTTGCACATTGATTTTGTATCCTAAGACTTTGCTCAGGTTGCTTATAAGCTTAAGAAGCTTTTGGGCTAAGATGATAGGGTTTTCTTGATACAGAATCATGTCATCTGCAAACAAAGATAATTTTACTTCCTCTCCTCCTATTCGAATAGTTTATCATTCTGTTCTCATGCTGCTATGAATACCCGAGACTGGGAAATTTATGAAGGAAAGAAGTTTAATTGACTCCCAATTCTTCATGGCTAGGAAGCGCTCAGGAAACTTACAATCATGGCAGAAGGCACCTCTTCACAGAGTGGCAAGAAATAGAATGACTGCAAGCAGTGGAAAGACCAGATGCTTATAAAACCATCAGATCTTGTGAGACTCACTCAATATCACAAGAACAACTTGGGAACAACTGCCCCCATGATTCAATTACTTCCACCTGGTCCCTCCTACAACACATGTGGACTATGGGAACTACAACTCAAACTGAGATTTGGGTGCACACGTAGTCAAACCATATCAAATACCCTTTATTTCTTTCTCTTGCCTGACTGCCCTAGCCAGAAATTCCAACACTACATTGAACAGGAGTGGTGAGACAGGGCATCCTTGTGTTATGCCAGTTTTCAAGGAGAATGCTTTCAGTCTTTAAGCCCATTCAGCATGATATTGGCTGTGGGTTTGTCATATATGGCTTTTATTATTTTGAGGTATGTTCCTTTAACACCTAGTTTATTGAGAGTTTTTAACATGAAGGGATATTGGATTTCATCAAAGGTATATTCTGCATCTATTGAGATAATCATGAGTTTTTTGTCTTTAGTTTTATGTGATGAATCACATTTATTGATTTGTGTATGTTAAACCAATCTTGAAACCCAGGAATGAAGCCAACTTGATTGTGGTGGACAAGCTTTTTGATGTGCTCCTGGATTCAGTCACTAGTATTTCATTGAGGATTTTTGCATCAATGTTCATCAGGGATATGGGCCTGAAGTTTTTGTTGTTGTTGTTGTTGTTGTTGTTGTTGTTGTTGTATCTCTGCCAGGCTTTGGTGTCAGGATGATGCTGGCCTTATAAAATGAGTTAGGGAGGAGTTCCTCCTTTTCAATGGTTTGGAATAGTTTCTGTAGAAATAGTACCAGCTCTTCTTTGTACCACTAGTATAATTCCTCTATGAAGCTGTCTGGTCCTGGACTTTTTGTTATTGTTTTTGGTAGCCTATTTATTACTGCTTCAATTTCAGAAATCATTATTGATCTATTCAGACATTCAATATCTTCCTGGTTGTCTTGAGAGGATGTATGCATCCAGGAACTTATCGTTTTCTCCTAGATTTTCCAGTTTGTGTACATAAAGGTGTTTATAGTATTCTCTGATGGTTGTTTATATTTCTGTGGGGTCAGTGGTAAAATTCCCCTTTATCATTTCTGATTGTGTTCAGTTGAATGTTCTCTCTTTTCTTCGTTATTAGTCTAGCCAGCAGTCTATTTTATTAATTTTTACAAAAAAAAAACAGCTCCTGGATTCGTTTATATTTTGAAGAGTTTTTTGTGTCTCCTCTCCTACACTTTAGATCTCATCTTGGTTATTTCTTGTCTTCTGCTAGCTTTGGGGTCTGTTTGCTCTTGTTTCTCTAATTCTTTTAGTTATAACGTTAGGTTGTTAACCTAAGATCCTTCTAGCTTTTTGATGTGGGGATTTTAGTGCTATGAATTTTCCTCTTAACACTGCTTTAGCTGCATCCCAGAGATTCTAGTGCATTGTTTCTTTGTTCTCGTTAGTTTTAAGAACTTTTTAATTTATGTATTCATTTCATTATTTACCCAAGAGTCATTCAAAAATAGGTTGTTCAGTTTCCATGTAGTTGTGTGTTTTAGGGGAATCTCTTAATCTTGAGTTTTAATTTGATTGTGTTGTGGTATGAGTTTTTTTATCATTTCAGTTATTTTGCATTTGCTGAGGGGTGTTTTGCTTCTGATTATGTGTTCGATTCTAGAGTAAGTGCCATGTGACAAGGAGAAGAATGTATAATCTGTTGTTTTGGGGTGGAGAGTTCTGTAGAGATCTATCAGGTCCACTTGATCCAGAGCTGAGTTCAGGTCCTGAAAATATCTTTGTTAACTTTCTGTCTCAATCTGTCTAATATTGTCAGTGGGGTGTTAAAATCTCCCACTATTATTGTGTGGGAGCCTAAGTCTAGGTCTCTAAGAACTTGCTTTATAAATCTGGGTGCTCCTATATTGGGTACATATATATTTAGGATAGTTAGTTCTCTTCTTGTTGAATTAAGCCCTTCACCATTATGTAATGCCATTCTTTATCTTTTTGATCTTTTTAGGTTTAAAGTCTGTTTTGTCAGAAACTAGGATTGCAACCCTGCTTTTTTCTATTTTCCATTCGTTTGTTAAATTTTCTTCCATCCCTTTATTTTGAGCCTATGTTTGTCCTTGCACTTGCGACATATCTCTTGAAGACAGCATACCAATGGGTCTTGGCTGTTTATCCAGGTTGCCATTCTGTGTCATTTAATTGGGGCTGTTAGTCTGTTTACATTTAAGGTTAGTATTGTTATGTATAAATTTGCTACTGTAGTCATGATGCTAGCTGGTTATTTTGCAGACTTGTTTATGTGATTGCTTCATAGTGTCACTGGTCTGTGTACTTCAGTGTGTTTTTGTAGTGGCTGGTAACAATTTTTCTTTCCATATTTAGTGCTTCCTACAAGAGCTCTTACAAGGCAGGCCTGGTAGTGATGAATTCCTTAGCATTTGATTGTATGAAAAGGATCTTATTTCTCCTTCCCTTATGAAGCTTAGTTTGGCTGAATATGAAAGTCTCATGGGTGGGGGGTGGGAAATTATTTTCTTTAAGAATGTTGAATATTGGTCCCCAATCTTCTCTGACTTAGAACCTCTAAGTGTTTCCACTTAGAGGTCCACTGTTAGTCTGATGGGCTTCCCTTTGTAGGTGACCTGGCCTTTTTCTCTGGCTGCCCTTAACATTTTTTCTTTCTTTTCGACCTTTGGGAATCTGATGATTATGTATCTTGAGGTTGATCTTCTCATAGAGTATCTTTCTGGAGTTCTCTGGATTTCCTGAATTTGAATGTTGCCCTGTCTTGGTAGTTTGGGGAGGTTCTCCTGGATGATATACCAAAGTATGTTTTCCAACTTGGTTCCATTCTCCCTGTCCGTTTCAGGTACCCCAATCTGTTGTAAGTTTGGTCTTTTTACATAATCCCATATTTCTTGGAGGGATTCCTTTTCATTGTTTTTTATCTTTTCTTGTCTGCCTGTCTCATTTCAGAATGATAGTCTTCAAACTCTGAGATTCCTTTCTCTGCTTGATCTATTCCCCTGTTGATACTGTGATTGCATTATTAATTTCTCATGTTGTGTTTTTCAGCTCTATCAGGTTGGTTGTGTTCCTCTCTAAACTGACTATTCTGGCTATCAGCTCCTGTATTGTTTAATCGTGATTCTTAGCTTCTTTCCTTTGAGGTACAACATGCTCCTTTAGCTCAGTGAAGTTCATTATTCCCCACCTTCTGAGGCCTAACTTCTGTCAATTCAGCCATCTCAGTCTCAGCCCAGTTCTGTGCCCTTGCTGGAGAGGTGTTGCACTCATTTGGAGGAGACAAGGCACTCTGGCTTTTTGAGTTTTCAGCATTTTTGTGTTGATTTGTTCTCATCTTTGTGGGCTTATTTATCTTTGATCTTTGAGGTTGCTGACCTTTGAACGGTTCTTTTCTCTTTTGTTGATGTTATTTTCTGTTTTTCTTTTAACAGTCAGGTCACTCTTCTGTAGGGCTGCTGCAGTTATTTGGGGGTCCACTCCAGACCCTATCTGCCTTGGTTTTTTTCAAACCTAGAGATATCACCAGTGAAACAGTAAAGATGGCAACCTGCTTCTTCCTCTGGAAGCTCTGTCCCACAGGATTACTGACCTATTGGCTGTACAAATGGTATAAGAGGTGGATGGAGACCCTTGTTTGGAGGTCTCACCCTGTAATGAGGAACAGGATCAGGGACCCAGTTAAAGAAGCACTCTGGTTGTTTATTGGTAGAGCAGCTGTGCTGCTTTGTGGGGGACCCTTTCTTTTCTGGACCATTTGGAATCTCCAAAGCTAGCAGGCTGGGATGGCTGATTCGACCAAACCTCAGAGATAGCAGCTGCCCCTTCTTCACTGGGAGCTCCATCCCAGGGAAAGATAAGAACACTGTCCATATAACCCTAGGTGGAGTGGCTGAAGCCTATGCAGGGAGGTCCCACCCAGTGAGAAGGAATGGATGGGGGTCAAACTTAAAAAATCAGTTTGACCACTATCTGGCAAAGCAGCTGTGCTGCATTGTGCGGAACCCTTCCTCGTTTGGGCAATTTGGATTATCCAAAGCTGGGAGGCAGGAATGGCTGAGTCAACCGAACTGTAGAGATGGCAGTTGCCCCTACCCCCAGGAACTCAATCCTGCCTCAGGCAGACTCCAGCCTGTTGCTGTTGGCTGGCTGGAATTCCAAGTCAGTAGGTCATAACTTGTGAGCTGCTGTGGAAGTGGGGCCTACAGAATGATGCTGCTTGACTCCCTGGATTCAGCCCCCTTCCTAGGAATATGTATGGACGGATCTCCTGCCTTAAAGGGGATCCTGGGGCCACAATATGTAAATCTCCTGGGTCTCTGTGTGTGACTGAGTGGCTGCTCTGCCAAGACTCCACACAGCTCTGTGGATTGGACCCAAGGCCCTAGTGGCATGGGCTCACAAGGGGATCTCCTGATCTGTAGATTGCAAAGATTCATGGGAGAAGTGTGGTTTCCCAAGTGTGGTTGAACAGTCATTCACTGCTTCCCTTGGCTGGGTGTGAGGGTTCCTTCAGCTCCATGCTTCTGGGTGGATCGTCACCCCACCTTGCTTTTCTTCATTTTTCATGGGTCAAGTTGTTTGTCTAATCAGTCCCAGTGGGATATTTCAGTTGAAGGTGCTGAATTCACTCACATGTTTTCATTCCTCTCTGTCCACACTGCAGACCACAGCTGCTTCGAATTGGTCATTTGGCCCTGAACCCCTGCCTTCAGTAGTGAATGTATGTTTATTTTTCTTTATTCCACTTTTTAAACCTCTATTGATTTTTAATTTATAAACTTCATTAAATTTTCTTACTCTTAAAATTTTATCCTACAAAATTATCTTTGAAAAAATAAAGTAAAACAACATATTTATCCTCTTTTTTCTAATGATAAGAGGATTTCAAACATCTTCATTTATGTTTCCTAACTCACATAATTTTATTTACCTATTGCATGCAATATTTCTATTCTAGCCTCTTAAAATTTATACACATTAAACATAATCATATAATTAGATACTTAAAATATTTATTTTGATTAATCTAATATTTGTCATTTAATTTGTTCAATTTTCATCTTACTCCTTAGACAGTATTTCTGAGATCATTTTCCTCCTTGAATATCATTCTTTAGAACTTTCTAGGTGGTAAACTATACATATCTTTATTTGAAATAGTATGTTTAAAAATAGTTTTCATATATAAATGTTAACAGTTATTTACTCTAAGTGCTTCAAAGATGTTACACAATTATCTTCTGGCATGTATTGGTTTTAGTAGAGAAATTTACTGTCATTCTAAATGATTTTTTTGTAAGCAATTTTTTCCTGGATTAATACATTCATATTTTTACCAATTTGTGAAAAATAGTTCTCTCTTCAGATATTTCTCTTCTGCATTATTTCATTTATTTCTTTATAGGTCTTCATTTAGAGCTATATTAAAAATACTTGGTCTTCCTATGTCTTAATCCTTTTTTGTTTTTGTCTCCTTATCTCCTTTAGCAGAGCGCTGCATAACATTTCCGCTTAAATATCTTGTAAGTCATTTTCTTTCTAACTGTACTTAATCTGCTCTTAATTTATAGAGTTGTTTTAAATCATATTATTAGTGAACAGAGATAATTTGACTTCCTCTTTTCCAATTTGTTTGTCTTTTAGTTCTTTCTCTTGCCTGATAGCACTGGCTAGGTCTTCCAGTATTGTATTGAATAGACGTCGTGAAAGTGGGCATCATTGTCTTGTTTCAGTTATTAGAAGGATTGCCTTCAACTTTTCCCCATTTAGTAAGATGTTGGCTATGGATTTGTAGTACATGGTTGATTAACATAAATGCAAAAATTGTCACCAAAATACTATCAAACCAAATACAACAGCACATCAAAAAGAAAATATGCCATGATCAAATGGATTTTATTTCAGGGATGTGAGGATGGTTCAACATATGCAATAAATATGATTCATCACATACACAGAATTAAGGAAAAAACACATGATGTTCTTAATAGATGCAGAAAAGGCATTTGATAAAATTTAGTATCACTTCATAAAAAAAACCTCAAAAAATTAGGCAGAGAAGGAACATAATTCCAAATATTCAATCTCTTTTAAATCACAAAGTATAGTAGCAAGAGCACTGCTTTTAATTAGAAACCCTAACAACAATAAAAGAGTTAAGAGTGAGCTTCATTTCTGCATCTCAATGGTTACATCATGTTAGCAGATTATTTTCTCTCCTCAGTTTCAGTTTTAAAGTTGTGATGTTTCATACTGGTGAAACTGTTCACATATAGGTGAAACTGTTCCACAAAGTATAAAGTGCCACATAAATGGAAGATTAATTTTTTATCCCACAAAAAAGTTTTGAGAACCTACTGTGTGCAGGCATATTTCTGAAGACTATGGATTGATCTTGTGGGGAGGAAAAGCATGTGCTTTACTTGGGTGGAATTTTCTTTGGATTGTGACAGTATGAATAATATATACACACACACATACTGTGCACAAAACAGTGTCAGATTCTAATGAATACTACAACAAACAAAGAAACAAAACTAAAGCAAGGTAAAGGGTAGAGATCAACATGGGGTGCTTTTTAACATGAAGTGATTAGCAAATAACTCTAATTATTTTGAAAAGAGACCATAATTAAGGAGGAAATGAACTATATCACTAGCTGGGGAACAGGCAGAGACAAATGCATAAAAGCCCGGAACAATGATATTTATTTGGAATTTTCAAGAAACAGGGAGATCAGTGTGTTTGGAGAGGAGTGGGCAAGAAGTGTAATAAGGGAACATTACCTTGGAGGTTATGATAAAGGCTTTTAAGTTTGATGAGAAGACATTTCAGGTATTTAAGATGAGACAGGGCATGAGCTGATTTGTATTTTTCAAGCCTCACCCTGACTTTTGTTTGAAAATTAACTGCAAGATTCCATGCTTGAATATTTTCTGAAATAAATTTGGAGGTACTATATTAATACAGAATAGAGGTAATAGTAGATTGGACCAGTAGTGGTAAGTAGTAAGATTTGTGATATATTTTTAAGATACAGCCCAAAAATTTGTTGGTGAATACTATGGTTTGACTGTGTCTCCCAAAGTTCTTGTGTTGAAAATTTGATCTCAAATATGAATGTGTTAAGAAGTGGGGCCCAGTAGGAAGTGTGTGGGTCATGACGTCATCACCCTCTTGAAGGAATTAATGCTGTTGTTTCAGGAGTGGTTTCCTTATAAAAGAATGAGTTTGGTCTCCTTTTGTTTCTCTCTCCCTCTCTTTCCCCATCTACTATGGGATGATACAAAACAAACAAGCAAAAATGTCCTTGAAAAATTCCAGCCCCTCAATCTTGGAAGTCCCAGCTCCCAGAACTGTGAGCCAGTAAAGGTCTGCTTATTATAATTACCTAGTCTCTGGTGTTCTGTTAGAGCAGCACAAAATTGGGCTGAGACAATAGATTAAATATGAGTAAATCAATTCATATGAATTAATATGTCTCTATTCAGTATCCCAAGTTATGAGGGTAGACAATACTCTCTGAAAAAAAGATAGAATACTGACCGCTAACATCATAGTTAATGGTTAAAAGCTGAAAGCTTTTATTCTAAGATAACAGACAAGATAAGCATGCCCATTCTCACCAGTTCTGTTCAGTGTAGTACTGGAAGACCTAGCCAGAGCAATTAGACAAGAAAAAGAGATAAAAGGCATCCAAATTGGGGAAAAGGAAGTAACATTGACTCTGTTTATAGATGATGTTTTATACAGAAAACCCTAAACATTCCACTAAAATAAGTGTTAGAATTAATAAACAAATTCAATAAAGTTGCAGGATAAAAAATCAACACACAAAAATTAGTAGCACTTCTATACACTAACAATGAATGATCCAAAAAAGGTATCAAGAAAACAATATCATCTATAATAGCTTCAAAAATACTTATCAATTGACTGGGTACAGTGGCTCATGTCTGCAATCCCAGCACTTTGGGAAGCCAAGGTTGACAGATCACGAGGTCAGGAGATCAAGACCATCCTGGCCAAAATGGTGAAACCCCATCTCTACTAAAAATACAAAAAAGTGAGCTGGGCGTGGTGGTGCACACCTGTAGTCCCAGCTGCTCTGGAGGCTGAGGCAGGAGAATCACTTGAACCCAGGAGACGGAGGTTGCAGTGAGCCAAGATTGCGCCACAGCACTCCAGCCTGGCAATAGGGCAAGACTTTGTCTCAAAAAAAAAAACAAAACAAACAAACAAAAAACAAAACAAACTTAGCAATTAATTTAACCAAAGAAGAGAAAGATCTGTACATTGAAAACTGTAAAACATTAGTGAACAAAATTAAGACACAAATATATTGACAGATAACCTGTGTTCATAGGGAAAAATGTAGTGTTGTTAAAATGTCTGTACCACCTGTTTTAGTCCTGTCCTGTGCTGCTATAACAAAATACTTGAAACTGTGTAATTATAACAATTTATATATATTTATTTATGTATTTTATATATTTATAAATTTTATTTATAACAAATTATTTATTACCAAAAATGAATAACTTTATAAAAATGTAATTATAAATTAAAATAAGTATGTCAATTTTATTTCTTACAGTCCTGAAGACTGGAAAGTACAAAGTCAAGGCGCTCACATCTGGTGAGGGCCTTCTTGCTGTGTCATCTCATGTTGGAAGGGTAGGAGAACACATGCACATGTGCAAAATAAGCCAAATTCATTTTTATAACAAAACTATTTCTTCCAATAATGAAATTAATTCATTTATTTGGGCAGAGCCCTCATGACCATGACCAAATCACCTCTTATTAGGTCCCATCTCCCAACATTATTGGATTTGGGGTTAAGTTTTCGACATATGAAATTTGGGGGACACACTTAAGCCATAGTACTATCCAAAAAAAATTCAACACAATACATATGAAAATTACAATAACATTTTTTACAGAAATAGGAAATAATTTCTAAAATTTGCATAGAACTAATCAAGATCCCAAATATCCAAGGCAATGTTGAGCAAAAAGTTAGAGGTCTCACACTATTTGACTTTAAATCTACAGCAACCAAAAGAAAATGGTATTGGCATAAAAATATACACATAGGGCAAGGAAGCTGAATAGAGAGCCCCAAAGTAAATCCATGATATTATGGTCAGTTAAGTTTCAACAAAGTTGCCATGAACACAAAATGGGGAAAGAAGACTCTTCTTAATAGTGTTGAGAAAACTGAATATTCACATATAGAAGAATGAGATTGGATCCTTAGTTCATACCATACAAAAAATCAACTCAGAATGGATTGAAGATTTAAACATAAGACCTGAAATTATAAATCTACTGGAAGCACACACAGGATTGAAAAGCTCCTTGACATTAGTCTCAGCGAATATTTTTAGGATATGAACTTAAAAGCACTGGCAATAAAAGCAAAAACAGGCAATAGATATTACATCAAATTAAAAACCTTCAGCCCAGCAAAGGTAACAATCAATAGTGTGAAGAGACAACCTATGAAATGGGAGAAAAGATGTCCAAGCCATACATCTTATAAGGAGTTATCCAAAATATAACGTACAATACAATAGCAAGGAAACACATAACCCAATTAAAACATGGGCAAAGAATCTGAATAGACATTTCCAAAACAAAGACATACAAATGACCGGCAGGTATATTAAAAAATGATTAACATCACTAATCATCAGAGGATTGCAAAGTAAAACCACAATGAGATATTGCCTCGTGTCTGTTACAATGGCTATTATCGAAAAGTTGAAAGATAAGTGTTTGCAAAGATGTGGAGAAAAGGGAACCCTTACACACTGTTGGTGAGAATGTAAGTTACCACGGCCATGACAGAGAACAGTAAGAGGCTTCCCAAAAAATTAAAAGTAGAACTAACCTATGATCCAGCAATGGCACTTCTGGGTATATACCAAAGTAATTGAAATTAGTATTTCACAGAGTTATCTGCACTCCCCTGTTCATTGCAGCATTATTCAAAATAGCCAAGATATGGAATCAATGTAAGGGTTCCTTCATGTATAAATGGATACAAATGTGGTGTATATACAGATGGTCCTCAACTTAGAATAGTTCGGTTTATGATTTTTTGACTTTATGATGGTGCAAAAGTGATAACACATTCAGTAGAAACCATATTTCGAGTATACAATCACACAATTGTAACCTTCAGTACATTATTCAATAAATTACATGAGATATTCAATACTTTGTTATAAAATAGGCTTTATGTTAGAAGATTTTTGTCTAACTGTAGCTAATGTGAGTGCTTTGAGCATATTTAAGATAAGTTGTGCTAGATATGATGTTCCATAGGTTAGGTGTATTCAATGTGTTTTTGACATATATTTTCAACTCATGACAGGTTAACTGGGACATAACACCATCATAAGTCAAGGAACATCTGCATATACAGTAGATTACCATTTAACCATAAAAAAAGGAAGTCCTATTTTTGGAATAACAGACAAAAGTGGAGAACATTCTGCTAAGTGAAATAAACCAAGCACAAAAAGAAATGTACTGCATGATGTCACTTATATGTGGAATCTAAAACAAGTCAAACTCATAGAAGCAGAAAGAGTAGAATGGTGGCTACCAGGAGCTGAGGGTGAGGGCTGGGTAGATGGGAAAATGTTGGTTAAAGGGTACAAAGTTTCAATTAGACAGGATAAATAAGCATGGGAGATTTATGGTGTATGGTAACTGCAGTTAATAATAGTGTATTGTACATTTGAAAGTTGCTAATAAAAGCAGATCTTAAATGTTCTCACAATAGAAAATTATAGGAATGTGAGGTAATGTGCTTGTTAATTAGCTTTAACCATTTCACAGTGGATACACATATCAAAGCATCATGTTGTCCACTGTAAAGATATACAATTTTTATTTGTCAAGTACACTTTAATGAAAAAATATATTTAATAGATAGATGTTTGTAGATAATTCCATGGATTAAAGTAAATTGCAATGTTTTGTGTAATGTTAAAGGGAGTAAAGCAGAAGCAATTGTGCTGGAGCTCACCAGGAGAGGCCCGCCTCATGACTGACCTTTGTAACTTGTTCCTTCCAACCACAGCTTCATTCCATTAATGCTACTCAGCAACCACGTCTGGAAAACTTACTTCCAGGCCCTGTGTTTTGTCAGGGCTAAGATGAGGAAATTTACAAACACACATGTAAACACATCTAAGCCCCCCTTAATGCCACGGGGGGTTACTAAGTTATAATATACACTCTGAGAACAGAGATCTGGTCTCAAATGAGAGTTACAACACTTCAAATCATGTCTGATCCTACACCCAGGTTTTTTTCCATGCCTAAGTAGAAATGTACCTTATAACTATTATTTGAGCTAAAATAATCCTTAAAGAACATTCCTTGAATTATCTAATGTATTGTAACATTTAAATTAATGTCCAAATATATGTTATAATGACAGTTAGGTCTGCTCCCCACAAGTCTTTCCTTATCACCCAAAAAAATCACCACTCCCTCCATTTCTTCATAGTCCTTCAGGTCATTTATTTCTTCATAGCGCTTATCACTACTGTCATCATGTCATAGACTGTGTGTTTATCTGCTGATTGAATCCCCTATAAATGTCAACTTTGTTAGGATAAAGATTTGCCGGTCTTGTTCACTACAGTGTCTCCAGCACCTAAGCCATTTCTGGAGTATAGTAGAAGCTTTATTTTTTAAAAAGTTAAATGAATTAATGGAAAAGGTACAGATGGATGAACAATGAATGAAGGGAGTTGTTAAAAAAACTTTGATAAATGATTTTTATTTTTTAACAGATGTTTGTTTTATAATAAAGGATATTAATTCTACTTGAGAAAGTTCAGAGGAGGTATTCTGCTGAAGGGTTAGAGTAGCTTAAGACGAGTCTTAAAAGATGTTTATGTGTTTCCAAGTGAAAGGGGCATGAGGGGATTCCAGGAAGAAAGGCGTTTTCATAGACACCAGAGCAAATGCAGCTGCAAATTAGTAAGTATGGTTGAAACAGTTCAAGCAACTTAATGTAGTGCATGATGAAGTCTGACAAAACCTGGTAAGAGATAAGTCTAGAGAAGTAACTAAGGACTAAATTGCAAAGGACCTTTGAAAACTGCAAAGGACCTTTGGTGTCCTGGAATGCCTTTTGTGCTGCTCTGAGGAGCCTGGATCACATCCTGAAAGCAATGGTACATCACTGAACAGTTTTAAACAGATAAATAATATGGGACCAGGTTTATATGTCAGAAAACTTGCTCTAATAACGCACTTGATGATTAAGTTAGGCAAAACATGAGGATTTTCAGAAATCTAAGTGAAAATTCAGGAAGTCTTGAAATAAAGACTTGGCAGTGAGGCTAGAGAGGGGCTTATTTGAAATACAATCCATAGGGTAAAGTTACTACTAAGGCTCTTGAATATTTTTAGAACATACATTTTAAAAAATAGAACATCAGGTGCATTGTAAGGGGACAAGACACAAATATAGATGGTACTCTTTGGGCCAATCCAAATTTTAAAGCTACTAGAAGAAGTGACATTTTAGGGCTATCAAAGTGAGATTAGGATGAATGCGTGAGACCTCACTTATTTATGTTGCTGACATTTCTATTTTTTTTTTCATGTGTTGTATTGCAATTTGTTATATCTTATCTGGAAACAAAATCTATTGAATATGTGTGTAAAAACAATATAATTTGCTAGACATTTTTAATGCATTTTGATTCATTTCATATATTTCAAAAAAACAAGACTTTTTTTTATAACATTGCCATTTTTATATATATTTTTACTTCTGGTAGTAAAATTACTTTGCAGTTCCCTTTAAATAAAATGAGAACTTCCTTTTACTTGTGAGTGAATGTTAAGTATTTATGATGGTTTTAAAATCCAACCAAAGAAAAGTCTAAGGCTATCATTATGATAAAATTACAACTATAGAAAAACCGGAACCCAAACTTAAAAGATCACAAGGAAAAAAAAAACTCTTAGTCTTTTTGAAAACCAACCTTTTAAACTCTTCAGGATTTCTAAAAACATAGCTATTACCGGTTGGAGAACTTTTAACTGAGAAATCAACATTCCTCTTGCTCATTTAGTGGTCTATTATTCATCTGTATTTTTTGTACTTATTAGGGCATGATAATTCCTCACAAACCTCAAAGCCTGAGTACATTATAGCTCTCCTTCACCATAAAGGCACCAGTTAACCCTAATTTTTGTCTTGAGAACAAAAAGGAACTTTCCTTATTTTTCCATTTTCTCCCCACAGTAAGGGATTACAGTTAAGGTTCTAATGCATCAGTCTTGGGAAAGAAAGAATTTATATGCATTATTGCTTTAATCCACTCATGGAGGACTTTATCCGCTTTATCCAAAAGGAGATAAAATCAAGATCACTATTGTTAGTGAGACAGTTGAGAGAATCTCTTGCCTTAAATTCAACCTGCTGTTGACATTCCCCATGGGTACCTTCTTAAAAATTTCATCAAAGTGAACCCTTAGCCATTTCTCTTGATAGAATACCAGTTGGACAACTCTGAAGGGAAAAGGAACTTAGGTGGGTAAGAAGTGTTATAAAGCCACTCTCAAGCAAGTTTCATGGCAGAAGTGTCTCATGCTATCTTAATGAAAGATGTATCTGCATTCCTTGCTTATGGATGAAGAAGTAGAGGGCTAGAGAGCTTAAATTAGTTAGAATATAGAAAAAAAAAATATTTATTCTCATAGATAGATAGATACATAGATAGATAGATAGATGATAGATAGATATGCTGTGAAAAGCAGGCTACTTTCTATTCTGCCTCCCTAGAAAAGAGTACTTTTCTGCTTTTTAATTATTTGTGATTTCAGTAACTTAATCATAGTATCACACTAAGTCGGTGTTTTGAAAAATATGCAACACTGAGCACCGGTATAAGAATCACCCGTGGATGCGCTTTAAAAATGCAAAATCCTATGTTGCACAATTCATTACGTCTGTATATCTGGGGCATGTCTGGTAACCTGGATGTAGAAATACACCCTTACAGGCTGGTTATATACTTACCATTTTGAAAAACACTACCCTAAATAGGGTGAGGATGGAGAGATGAGGAGAAAGCTGATAAAAGTTTCACCAGATTTTCTTCCCTCAGCACCTCACTAGGGCTGCCCAGTGAGTGAAGGAGTAAGTGGGAATCTTCTCTTCTCCAGCTTTGCCCTGAAAAGATGAAGTCTTCCCTCTAAAAAGAGGAGTTGTTCCTAAACAGGGTATATTCCTTTCCCAGATGCTTCTACAACAAAGTGTCACTAAGTGCTTAACTTTGTCTTTGTCAACCAACATTAACTACAAAGGGAACTGCTGTTTTAAAAGTCATAGTTTTGCTTCTTAGGCATGAGAATAACATAGGACTTTGGATAGAGAGAAATCAAAGGCTTTTAAAGATGCAGACAGACTGTCTGCTGAGAAGATGTTTCCTCTAAGTAGTATAGAGACAAAGCTCATTTAATTCCATCACATTCTTTCTAAAAGAGAATTTATGGCACATTATCTACCCTCTATTTGAGAATAGGTTTCCAAGGCTTGATAGTGACTTTTGTAGACAGGGAAAAGAAAATTCATTTTCAATTCATCTACATTATAGTTTTATCGAGAAAAAGTAGATTTCAAGTTTAAACCAACAAATAAACTGAGGCTGCTATCACACTCTAAGGAATTTACCTTAATGTAGAAAACTCATGAAAATCAAAAATACACATTGTACCTAATGTAATATCCATCGCACATATCTGCCAGTCAACTCAGTCTCAATGATGATCCTCTGATGAAAGGCCGCTGTACCATAAGATAGAGTTCACTAAAAGTGGTGTGTTAAAACATTTTATGCCTTAGAGATACATTTTATTTGTACTAGACACATATTTGACTATATATACACTGGTATGGGATGAGCAGACCTTTGTCTGCATAACATTTGGCTCCACACATAGGTTTTATTGTTAACTAGGTAAAACAGAAGTTATTTTTATAAATTATATGCAGAGTATTTATCATTGTATAGAATTGTATATACTCATAGAAAGCTGAAAGCTGTTATTACTGGATTATGAACTCAAAACCTATGATCCAGACATATTGGCTTCAAGCTAAAATGATTTTTTAAATATCTATTTCAGAAAATTTTATATTCATTCATTTTTAATCCTGTGAGTTATCCACCATTTCTTGACAACCAAGGAGTGAGTGCTGAGATCACATAGCAGCTTCTTATCTAATAGAATACCATTGTATATGAACCAGTAAAAACACCAGGAATGGGAATAATGACAAATATCTAAGTAAGTTGTGAAATCTAAGTACCTATTATAGGTGTTTTTAAGAACTCTTTGTAAGTGAATGCTAGAAGTAGACAAATTATTTAGTGGAAAATCCTATGTTCACATCAGTAAAATATTGCAGGCCAGAGATATCTTTTGATTTCTAATCTATTGTTTTATGTATTTTATATACAAAGTACAGAAATTTCACAAGAAGTCAAACACAGTGATGCCATTTGCTATGTTTTATTTTGCTAGTAGCTTATTAAACATAACATGCAAATAATCAAAGAGAAACATACATGACTTAGAGTGAAAAATAATTCTAGAAAAGTTTCACTAGGTAAGTATGCAAATTCTTATTCTAAAAATACTTCTTTAAGTGCATGAAGCTTCATGTATTTTGCAATATTCTTGGCCTCAATATCTACCACCTATTTTTTAACCAGACAAATTTGAATGTATCAAGATAATTTGGTGCAAGAGAGTAACATCCATATGTATTTAATCCAAGCTTTGAGGAACATTAAGATTTAAGGATTATAAAACTTGGCTGATTTCCATGCAACCAGTAAAAGGTTTTGCACATCATTTGACAGTAGAAATAAAAAAACACTAAATTTACAAATAAAGCATTGAGTTTGATGTCTATTCGTGTATATGTGTGTGTTCTTGTGATGAAATAGGCCTGCCTTTCATCTTTTCTTTAAAAAAAATAAATGTTTACAAAACATTTCCCTCAGATTTTAAAATTCATGGAAGTAATAAACAGTAATAAAATATGGATACTATGAAAACTGACACACAGAAAAACATAACCATAAAATATTGTTCCAGGATACAGATATTAATTAAGAGTGACTTCGTTAGCAACACGTAGACATTCATACATATCCGGTGGAAGACTGGTTTCTGAGATGCGATTGCCATCCAAACGCAAATGCTTGATCTTGGAGTAGGATAATGGCCCCAGGATCTTGCAGAAGCTCTTTATGTCAAACTCTAAAAATTAAAGAATAGAAAACATTAATCATTTTTCAGTACACTGGCTCAAAACAATACAAAAAATTTATGTTTAATATATTATAAAATAGGACCTCTTCCCATTTAGAAAAGTCATAATATAGTATATGTTTGAATTTGCAACCATTAAAGGCATATTTCAGGCTACCAAAATGGCACAGTAACATTTAGTAAAGAGTAATCATGGTAGATCAAGATATTCAGTGGAATATTTTAAATAACAGAACTTATTTTATTACTAGAAGTTGTTTTTAAAAAGGCATTCAATAAGTGTGTCATATTATCTAACAACTTTTTTGAAATAGTATAACCTGAAGAAATATAAATGGATCCCATTGTTGTATGAACAATCTCAGTATAAGTACTCTTTGGTTTTACATCTAAAAATAAGAAGGGTTAACTAGATGATCTATAAAGAATTTTCTAGCAACCACATACCATGACCATGATAAAAATTCCAAGACAAAAACCAAATCATTCCAGCAATCACACACCATAGCAATGATCAAAATTCTAAGGCAAAAACCTAATCATGGCATGTCCACCATCTGAACTCATGTTTTTGTTTATTTGTTTATTTTTGTCCATGGTCAAAAAGCTGCCACAAATGAAACACTGACTTACTTTGTAATAGAAACCAAGAGTGTTACTGAATTGACTGACCTGTGTATACACAGAAACTATGTTTGCCTATGTCTATTTTAGATTAACATTTTCAAGTCCTTTATCTTGTTTTCATTTTCAAACTCTAGTTAACAAAGACTTCAGTGGAACCCCAAACACACATGCTTTTTAAAATAACTCATCAGTTAATTCCAGGGATTTTTCTATGGTACCAACATTTGAGAAAGTGAGGAAAAATGGAAAGAAGATGGGCATAGTCCCATCTTGGAATTCTACCTCTGCCACTTACCCAGGTGGGCAACACTGGAACACTTATCTGATCTTGTTAGAAATAACACATCTATCTTACCGTGTTGCATGAAGATTAAATTAAGTTGTGTAGAGCACTTCACACAATACTAGTACATAGTATGTCCTAAATAATGACTAATATCCTTTTGATTTTGCTGTCTTTCTAAATTACTCTACACTAGGAAGATCTCTGATTGGGCTAATGCTTAGAGTTGCAAGTTTGAAATAGAAAACAGTTTGTTTTGGCTATATATTCCCTAATATTAGAAAAAAACATTGAGGGGAACTTTCTGTATTAAGTGAATGTGAAATGTTGATATAGTTGATTATTATCTGGCAAAATAACCTAAACTGAGGTGATACATAAAAAGACAAGGAGAATACCTGACTAAATGTACAAAGATAAGGAAGAAAGAAAGGAAACTATTATGTTACCTTTTCAAATGACCACTATGTACTGGGCACTGTGGTTTCTATCTCAGCTTGGCACTGACAGGCCGTTGGCCTTTCTCCCATAGACCTCTCTTCCATCCTTTACTCATGCAATGTATACCTTCAAATGTGCCTACTTCTGTATCCTTCTTTGTTTCAGAGAAAGAAGTAGCCCTGCTCTTACGAATAATCTCTACCCACCAAATCTAATGTACTCCGTCATCCCTTAAGCATCGTAAATTCCTTTAGCATTTTGGTCTGTCAGAGAGTATCCTTCCTCCTAACCACATATGTTTAAAATGAGGAATCACATATGGCCACATAGTGAATTTTCCACTGGAAACAACAAGAGGGGTTTAGCTGTGTTAGCCTGACTGTGTATTGTGTGACAGTCAAACAGCACCAACCCTTACCTTGGCTGCTTTTCAGAAACAACAAAGAACATGTGGAGCTTCAGAGTTGGCGAGTATGGTCTTCTTTATGAAAACGTTTAACCCTACTAGAGGTTATATGAAACTGGCAGAATTAACAAACATCATATGCATAAAATATATTGTAATATTTTCTGACAGCAATACCTTTATTCAGCATGGCCAGAAAACCAATTTTCATCATGTAGAGATGTTCAAATTCAATAGATTATTTTGCAGACATTATTACTTTATATGTGAATCAATGTTTCCTGCTTGATTTTTTCATTTAGAAAGCCTTATCTGTGAATCATGGTTTTTCTCTTCTACCAAGCTCTGCCAAAGATTAATGGCAGAGTTATCCTGGTAGGAAATGGTGGATTTCAATTTCCCATTGGAATCTATACTGCTTAAGTTGAAGAATGTCCCTGAAGACCACATAAGTGCATAAGCAGTCCAAATGCATCAGATCAAACTTCATCCAGAAGATAAATGAAAAATAAAGAGAGGAGAAAGAGAAAGTGTGGAAATATCAAATGAGGGGCAGGATTGTACCCAAGAAAAAAAAAGCTCTGTAACACTATTTTTCTTCTAAAAAAAAAAAAAAAAAAAAAGATGTTAGAATCTCCCATCATATTTCTTTTTCTCTTTAATCTTCTTCACAGTCCTCCAGAGCACTGTGATGGCCACACACCATAACAGAGATAACAGAGGCAGATGATGATCATGACAGCAGAGTAACATGGTGAGTCCCAAGTAGTTGATGTCAGGGAAGACCATGAGACTATATGGGGCCAGGCACAGTGGCTCACGCCTGTAATCCCAGTACTTTGGGAGGCCAAGGCAGATGGATCAGTTGAGGTCAGGATTTTAAGAACAGCCTGGTTAACATGGTGAAACCCCATCTCTACTAAAAACATAAAAATTAGCCTGGTGGTGGTGGTGGCCTGAGGTGGGAGAATCGCCTGAGCCTGGGGGGTGGAGGTTGCAATGAGCCGAGATTGCACCACCTCACTCCAGTCTGGGCGACAGAGTGAGACCCTGTCAAAAAAAAAAAGAAAGAAAGAAAGAAAGAAAACGAAAGAAAGAAAGAAGGAAAGAAAAAGAAAGAAAGAAAGAGAGAAAGAAGAAAGAAAGAAAGGAAAGAAAGAAAGAAAGAAAGAAAGAAAGAAAGAAAGAAAGAAAGAAAGAGAAAGAAAGAAAGAAAGAAAGAAAGAAAGAAAGAAAGAAAGAAAGAAAGAAAGAAAGGGAAAGAAAGGAAGGAAGAAAGAAAAAGAGAGAGAGAGGGAGGGAGGGAGGGACAATATGGGCTTCTTTGTGGCTATGGAGTTTGCCAACTGTGCCACTTTTGAACTCATTTCTTCCTCCCTCATCTAGATCTTGTCAAAAAATAAATGTAGGACACAAATCTAAGCCATAAAGGAGAAAATAATAAGAGATATATATGAGGAGGTAACACAGCAGGATGAGTTGGCCCGGAATTTTTAGTTTGAAGACTTACATATTAAATTCTGTGACCTTAATTGTTCCTTATCTGGATACACCAAAGAAAGGCTGGATATTGGATATATGATTGAGCTAGAATTATTCTTTGTTTGAAGTAGAGGGATATTTTGTGGACATTTTTTTTTTTTCCAAGACAGAATCTGGCTGTCTTGCCCAGGCTTGAGTACAGTGGCACGATCTCGGCTCACTGCAACCTCTATCTCCCAGGTTCAAGCAATTCTCCTGGCTCAGCCTCCTGAGTAGCTGGGATTACAGAAGTGCGACACCACGCCTGGCTAATTTTTGTATTTTTAGTAGAGATGGGGTTTCATCATGTTGGCCAGGCTGGTCTCAACTCCTGACCTGGTGATCCGCCCACTTCGGCCTCCCAAAATGCTGGATTTACAGGAATGAGCCACAGCGCCCGGGCGACATTTTGTTTTTTTAATGGAGCCAGATGCAATATCTGTGTTGTGCAGCCCAGGTATTTAAACACTTGAGCACACATCAAACACAGGAACAGCTTTTTACTTACTCTCAAGTTGATTGACCTCCAGGTAATAGTTTTCAAGGTTTTCATTGACAGTTGGTATGTTTTTAAGCTTGTTATAGGACAGATCCAGCTCAACCAGGGATGACACATTGAAAGAATTTCCAGGTATTCCACTATCAGCCAGTTCGTTGTGAGATAAACGCAGATACTGCAATGCATTAAAACGCTTGAAATACTCATCAGGGATGTTGCTGATCTTATTGTTGTCTAAGTAGAGAGTTAGAAGAGAGACAGGGAGACCAGAAGGCAGTCTGGCTATCTGATTGAAGCTCAAGTCAAGGTATTCGAGTGATTTAAGACCTTTAAAAGCAGCTGAAACAGCATCCTCTTTCAGCCGATTGTGCTGGAGATGGATGAAGGTCAGGTTTACCAATCCTTCAAAAGAGCCCAGCTTTGTGATCTTGTTATGAGTAAGCTGCAGATCCTCCAGAGATTTGGGAAGTGGGCCCACAGACTCTGTCAGGTTGTTGTGGTTTATATGCAGCTTCTTCAGTTGTTTCAATTTAGAGAAAACTCTCCCTTTTATCTTGGAGTTTTCTAGAAGGTTGTGATCTAGAATGAGCCACTGCAGATCAGTTACATTCTCAAAGGCCTTTTCATCAATATGGTCAATCTGGTTATTCCTAAGGTAAAGATACTTGATTCCAGGAGGCACCATTGGTACACTTTTCAATTTCAGCTCATCACAGTACATGGCACTTGGGTAGCTTTCAGGGCAGTTACATTCTGGTGCACAGTTTGGTGATGATTGCCCATAAATTGATAGGGGAAAATCATAATCATAGTACTGGCCACTGGTACCACCAATCAATGCCAGGAAGAGAGTAAATGCACTTAGACTCATTTTTGGCAAATGGTTTGAATCCTAAATAAAGATGAAACATTTATTAATTAAAAAAATATATACTTTCAAGAAAAAGACATTCAATTTGCAACATTAAATTCATTAGAAAATGTGCATTTTGTTATTTTATAGCTATTTTTAGTGCATCTAACAGCGTCTTTTAAATTTTTATTTAGGTATGAGGACAAAGGTGTATGTTTACAACTATGTAGTGAGCAGCTTTCAGGTTAGATTGCGTACACGTGCGCCCCCTTCTGGGCGAGCCCAGCCTAATTGTTCCAGTCAATCTCCAGGCTCTTCCTTAATGAAATGCCTTCCTGTAAGAGGTTTCTGGGTGGTGTTCATTGACCACCGAATTAGACTACTGCTTCAGATCATCTCTCAAAAAAAGAGAATGAGAAGACAGTTTTTAACTGTATACTCTACCCTACCATTCGACATCATTAAAATGACTCATGAAGAAGATCCTTACGGGAATATGGGCAACCTGAGGTTTTGCTTGTATGTGGGAGGGAAATGGAAGGCACATTCCTTTAAAAGTGTCTGGTTACTGTTGGTTCTGAGGAAGGAGAACAGAATTCTTGGTGCTGGTGTGCATGCATACTAGTTCATGTTGTGCTTAACATTCTACACTTTTTAAAGCACATTGCAAAACTGTGTTCTGGAACTAATATTTCATAAATTAGCTATTTACTAAACAAAATATTAGTAATATTTAATAATTGCTAATGTTTATCAGGAAAATGTCACACATTCTGAAGGTTTCTCTTTCTGGAAAGAGATTCAACAGGTAGAGAAAGATAGTATTTTCCAAGTTTTCAATTAGAGTTATAGTCTCTCTCAATTACTCACAAGTTCTCTACTTTCTTCATGCCAAAATCGAAGATGCCATGGTTTGCATATCTGGCTTTTAGTGGCCTCACAGAATGGAGGTGGGAGAGAGGTGTGATGTTTTTAAAGTTTGGATTTAATACTGGTGTTAGAACTATCTAGTAAATTATTCAATTGAGAATATGAATTTGAAATAATGTGTAACAGTTATCTTCTCATAGGAACATGTTTCTAAGGTGAGGCTCAAAAAAGTACATTTCAATGTCTTAGGTGCAGCAATTTAGATATGGGAAAATTGGAATATAAGAGTTAGACTTTTATAGAGTGAACAGTTGTGGCTGAGGCAAAGTTGGTAGCCCTGGGAGATAAATCATTAATGTGACGAAAGATCTACATTCTAATAGATAACTGAGAATATTATATCTTTCTATGAAAGTATGATTACAAGCTTTTGGATCAAAGTAGTTTGGGATAAGCAGGATCTTTGGGGTTAGAAACTGAAAACGTCTTTTATTTGTTTTAATTTGAAATTGTAAGGCACTTTATTTCAGATCAGATGGAACGTTATAAAACAGCTTTTAGAAATACTTTGATTGCTGACATAAGGTAACATGTAGCCAGATTCTCAGTAAATTACTCTCTAAGATTTTAATGGGGGCATTTAATTTTGCTGACAGAACTTGGCCATAATAATAATTGCATAGCACTAAAAAGAACGTGATGACATATTCCCAGAGTTATTTTAAGTTATAGAATGTAAATACTGTAAAGATTTGTCTTGCTTTATTAATAAGCTATTTTAAATTTACTATACACCAAAATATGGCAACTATAATGTGAGTATTAAATAGTAATGAAAAATGCTTCCATATTTTTTGGCAAAGTAAAAACAAGGATGCTGAATTGAATGAGAGTTTGCAACCATATAATGACTCCACTATGAGGCAAAATCACACTGTACTACCCTCAGTTTTTTCAAATACCTGTGGCTATAGAGAAAATGCTGTTTTCAAAAACGAAATCATTTCCCAGAACTTTTTAAAAAACTCGTTCCTTAAGGCATATATCCAAGAAACAAATTTTTTAAATTAACAAAACAGAAATAAATAATCCATAAGAGTTCCTAAATCTTTTAGCTCATGTTTTATAACATAGAACGTTTATTGTAAATTATAACAAATTGTCACAATATGCTTATTAAAAGATATTTTGAATGCTGATTAAAATGACTTTTCTTTGCTCCAGTATTAGGGTCCAATACTAACATATATAACTAACTAGCATACATAACAAACATATTAATTTCTATATTTTTTCACTGTGTCTACTTTAACTATTTTCTCATTCTAACCTTGAAACTTTTTATAACTTCTCTTGCCAAGCAATACAGCATATACTGTATAAAATCTCAAATCTATAAATCATGGAAAACATATTAACAAAATGTGAAACTAAATGCTCAGAACTGTGGATTTGCTGTTGAATAGCAATTGGCAAAATTGCTCTGGAATTTTTCCTGTTCCTGTTACAAAAAACGCTGTCCCAAACAGTTAACATCCCCAGTGCAATAGTTAAAACAGCACTTACCTTACTGTCTTGACACTGCTTTCGTTAATTCTTAAAGCAGATGCACTATGGACAAGAATCCACCAATATATGCTGTGAACTCTGTCAGGACGGAACTGGCTGCCAGATTCTGAGTGATACAAGAGCTGAAGGGGGGTGGGGAGACCCAGCCCAGTCACGCCAGTCTCTGAATGGAGTTATGTCATTGTGGGGATCTTGTGGTGTGGCATGTGAACACTGCTCTCTAACGAAGTGCAGGTGAACGTGGGGAGAAAGGACAGCCCAGCTCATTCCCTATGGAATGGGAGAGAGATATGTGTTTAACTAGCTCAAATACCATAGCTTTTAACCAAGAATTGAGTCCTGCTTCAAATAAGGAAGCTCACTGTGAGAACATTTTTCTTACAAGCCTCTTTACATCTGTGGCTGTGGCAACAATTAAGTGCAATGTGCTCAGCCAACTATCATGTTTATCTAAAGATCTCAGAAATCATAAGCAGGGCAAATAATTTCAGGAAAACGCAAATGAACAGACTCAGAGGAATTGAATCCCTTTGCCTATCACTTTTGAAATCAATATTGATTTACTTGGACTAACTTAATTTTTTGGCCATGAGGGTAGCTTACATTAGTTTTAAAAATATAAAATATGCTTCATATACACTTGGATACACATGATAAATATCAACATTTCAAGTTTACTTCTAATGCTAAGGAGACTCATTTTATGTTATTCAGGTCTGGAACCAATCAGCAAAGTCTTGCCTGTTTTTTATTTTGTGGATTTCGTTTAGGAATTCACCCAAAACCTTACTTGGGGAGAGCATTCTATAGCTTAATGCCAAAAAACATAAAAGAACAGAGAAAAAAATAAATTTATACTAAAAGTATCACAAGGCAAGAATCTTTCATTGCATGCTAGTAATTTTTTTTCAAAGTTAAAAGTTATTCAAAGTTATAATCTCCCAAAGGCCTGGCTGGATATATCTTTCATTATCAGCTCCTGATGCATGGTTTCAGCAAATGAGAGATGTACTTAAATCCTTGTCTATTTCATTTTGTGATTTTATCAGATATATTTATGAGATTTTTTTCTAAAATGTTCATTTCCTCATGTTTATAAGAACTTTTACACCAATATATTTTAATATAAGTTGTCACATTGTATTTTTGTCTTTAAAAATAACTATATCACATTTTAGCAGTGAGACTTGTGGAAAATTAACTCCATGACTAATACTGCATTTGTCCGAAAAAAAGACTATTAGAATAAATGGCTTATTTTTGTAATAGCAGTGTTCAAAAACAAAAAGTAATCTTCTTGAAAGTAACTAATGGAATTGTAAGATGATTCATAAACATAACATTTTTCCTAATATTATTTTAAGAAAATTATTGATAGGCCTCAGTTTCAACAAAGTAACTGAATAAATTTATAAGGAATTAAGAAAAAAAGACAAATCAATCGAATATAATTAAGTGATCTTGTTATAAGAGGATTCTTAAAACAATGCTATGTATTAATTTTGAGTGTATCAAATTCTATAATCTGAGCTCTTGTTAGAAAAACTCCACCTATCCATTCCTTAAGATTTTTCTTTATAAAGCAATACATGTGTTGTGGTATTTATAACAGACCTCAAATGCATTATATTGGATTTAGCTCATTGTAAAGTCTTGTCAACATATACTTTTTAATAAAATCAGTTCTGTGAAACCAATAATTGAATAATTTTGTGCGTTTCAGAGCATATTTTCAGGGTCCAATAGAAAGAAATGAAATTAACATTTATAGTGGATCTAATATATTCCATGATTTATACTCAGAGTTTTCACATTTCTTCCTTTAAATTTCATACATTAAAATTCCTATGGTATGTTTTACTACTCTATTTTCAGGAGTATAAATGGAGAGTCAGAAAGTCTCATTCATTTGCTAAAAGTCACCTAACAAGTAAATGTAAGAATAAAACCATGAACATCTTCACTCACTGGGAAGAGGGTGAACAGGATGGAGCTGAGACAATGTAGTTCACTCAATCAGCTTAAAATACTTTATAGACAATGTTACTATCAGTTGAGAAAAAGCAGAAATATTAAATAGGCAATAGTTATTTAAAAAGTCAAATGTTAATTAAGCAATAGTTTCTTTCCTTTTACATTACACACTAACATATAACATGCATAGCCACATCCACATCTCAGAACTTTTGGGTAACGTATAAACATTCCATCCTGGCCAATGGTGATTCACATCATTGGTGATAATGAGCATTGGAGGCTAAATGCATTTCATCACAATACAGGTTAAAATGATGGGAGTTCTCATTGTTCACCTCCCACTTATGAGTGAGAACATGGGGAACAATACACACCCGGGCCTGTCAGGGGTTGGTGGGCACGGGGAAGGACAGCATTAGGAAAGATACCTAATGCATGCAGGGCTTAAAACCCAGATGACGGGTCAATAGCGGCAGCAAACCACCATGGCAAATGTGTAACTAAGCAACGAACCTGAACATTCTGCACATGTATCCCGGAACTTAAATTAAAAAGAAAAAAAAAAAAAGATGGAATTGCCCTCTTCAGCCCAGGGACTGGATTCCCTGTTACCTGAGACCAGCAAGGATAATAAAGCATGTTATGACTGTTTCACACACTGTGTTCTGAACCCAGCCCTGGACTTACAGGGGAAAAGAATAAATTAAGTATTCCATCCCAGAGATAACTATCTTTTGGTATATCTTCTTAATGTGTGGGTATAAACATAAACACACAGACAATTTGGTTTTCACATATATCATAACATTATGCTTATAGTGCCAGACCCATTTTCATATAACAGTAAATCATTGATGTTTTTCTATATCATTAAATATCATTCTCTACTGTCATTTTTATTTGCTACATGAAATTCTGTTATATGGATATACCATAATGTAGTTGTTAGTTTTTAATATTGAACACTTGATTTCTCTTAAAATTTGCAAAGCACTATCACATAAAATGAAATTTTAATCTTTAAATTGGTTGTACCTGCTTTGTCTATTCTGCTTATCTCAAAAGATACATTTTAAATGAAAGCATATTTTGAGTAAATGGTTTATGCTTTCAAATCATAGAGTGGAGTGGATTTGAATTTTTTCTCTTCTCACAACAATCTAATTCCCATTCTTAATTTTAGCATCTTACAAGTCATGAAACTATCTTTTATTTACATAGTCCTTATACTCATAGCTGTATGTATTTTCAAACTTACTCTACAATTGCTTTTATTTTTCTTAGTATCTTACATGACAAGTACATTTTTGGAATTATCAATGATATGGTTTATTATATGTTTTTCAGTAATAAGTGTGCATTATAAGAGTAATATATATAAATTGGAACACTATACCAAAACATTAACCAGCATAGCAGTATATAAGGTTAAACATTAAATAACCCCTGGCTTAACTAACTCTCCAATTGCACTTTCTATAAGTAATTGTTGTTTAGACTTTATTAATTCAGATGTTTCAGACATGTCTTATATACACAAGAGAATTTCATTTCTCTTTCCTCTTTTATGGCAGCCTATGAGATAACTCAGACAGTTCAGAACTCAGATAACTTCTTCACTTAGGTAAGTGCACAGTCATAAATTTGCTTTTGGGAGAAATTCCTCTTTTCTCATGATAAGCAATGCTGTATTGAGGAAGTTTTGTGCAAGATAGCTTAAGGAAAATCCCAAAAGTAAGTGGGCTTTCTGGAGAACACAAATTTGTACACATATTTAAAAATTTTATAATTATTACCTAATTACCTCCAAAATGTTGTTCTGCTTATCACTCCCATCAAAGGTAGATGAGAATACACTTTTTCACCAGTCATTCATGAAGTTTGAATATGATCAAGCTTAAAATATCTATGATCTAATTGTTAAAGTTTTATTTCTTAAATAATATCTGGTAGTGCCAGTCTCCCTTCTTTATTCCTTAAGTGTAGGCTTATCAAACCTTAAAGCATCTGACCATGGCTAAACTCCCTGATGCCATTTTCTTTCCTCCTTCTGCCTTACATTCTAGCCATTTTGACCTTTACCCAGGACCTGATATATGAGAAGTCTGTTCCTACTTCAGGTCCTTTACCAGCTGTTCTCTTTGACTGAAGTGCTGTTCCCACAGACTAGCGTTTCTCAAACATTTTGCCTACAGGACTCTATGTACTTAAAATTTGTTGACGTTTTGAGGACCCCAAAGACGTATGTGGAGTCCATCTACCAGTGTGTATCACATTCAAAATTAAAACTGAGAAATATTTTAAAGCATTTAAGTAATTCATTATGATAAAAATAACAAGTCCATGCCATGTTAATATAAATACCATTTTTGTGAAAATATTAACATGTTCCAGAAAAAAACAATGAGAAAAATGGTATTGCCTTATATATTTGCACACCTATTTAATGTGTCTGAAGTTAGCTGGATTTTTATGTCTGTTCCCTTGTTCAATCTGTTAAGATATGTTGCTTTGATTGATGCATATAATGAAAAACTCACCCTACATAAATATTTAATTGAGAAAACAAGCATTATTAGTAGCCTTTTTAGGTAATTTCAACTCAATTTTATTCCATTTAAATTCCAACTCAATTTCAACTCAATTTAATTATCTCAGAAGTAAGCATTGAATTTTACCAGAAGCCACAGGACATCTGACAATGACATTGTTCTGATGGCTAGTAGAAGATCTGCTTGTGTGTTCTGACTTTTTCCAGAATTTTCCATAGTCATGATTTTCAAATACAAATGTGTTTTCAATGACCCAGTTTGTTCTCGGTAACACTACTGTATTCCTATTTATCTTTGTTTATGTCTGCTTTTATTTCTGCAATCTAGTTATTGTCCAATAAACCACTATTTTGTAATCTTTGTAGTCTTGTTTTGGAATAGTATTTTTATTTTTTTCAACTACTCTTCTTTTTGAAGAACAATCAGAACTCATCAAGTGGTAGTTTCTCAAAGGCTAGTTGCAATGTGGTATTTAAAATTACATCAACGAAGGTTTTCTACTATTTCCAAATTCTAATTTTTGCTCGAAAGTTTAAATTTTGCCAACTACTCTCAGTTGTTTTTCTTGAAACGAAAAATAGACTTTATTTTTTGAGAGTGTATTTACCAAATACTCTAATCTGACAAACCACACTTTTAATTAAAAACGGGTTCCAGAAAAAAAGTGGCTAGTTCAACCAGAGTCAGCTGTAGATTTGTCCATTTGTAAGGCAAAAGTACAATCCACAGATATAGTATTAATTCAATCTTCATGTCTTGAGTAAATCTTTATTTTGATTAATTACTGTATCATTGGAAAGTAGCTCGCTGTAATTTATTTTGCTGACTTTTTGTCCAGCAGACATTCAGCAAGGGTTTTGTAGTCTTCAGCGTTTGTGCGTATTTCTCAGACCATGCAATTTGCTTTATCTAGTAAAATGGTCAGTGGCTTTGCAATTTCCAGTTTGAAAGCTATAACAAATAATTTTTGGCTTTTAGAGTCCATTACATCTACAATTAACTATTTAGCTCATTTTTCTGTAAAATCTGAATGATTGGTCTCAAAATGTTGCTAGAATTCAGTTGTTACCATAAAAATATTTAAAATGTTTTGTTGTATAAGACAAAATAAATCAAATTATTAATATATACAATTGAAATGTAAATATTATTTCATTATTTATTAATAATATTTATTAACATTATTTATTGGTTTTCATTATATTTCTGTTGCCTATTTTAATTTTCGCTTACTTTCTTTGGAGAAGGGTGCTCTTTCCCATAATTCAGAGAACTCCTTCATATATGAATTTTGTGCAGTGTAGCTACGGGTTAAGAAAAAAAGTCTTCTATCTCCCTTTTGGAAGATAATGTGGTTTTTTGTTTTGTTTTGTTTTTTTGAGACGGAGTCTTGTTCTGTCGTCCGGGCTGGAGTGCAGTGATGCAATCTCTGCTCACTGCAACCTCAGCCTCCAGGGTTCAAGCAATTCTCCTTAGCCTCCCTAGTAGCTGGGACTACAGATGCCTGCTATCATGCCTGACTAATTTTTGTATTTTTAGTAGAGACCGGGTATCGCCATGTTGGCCAGGCTGGTCTCGAACTCCTGACCTCAGGTGATCCGCCTGCCTCAGCTTCCCAAAGTGCTGGGATTACAGGCATGAGCCACTGTTCCTGGCCTCATTTTTTAAATATAAGAAGAACATATTATAATTTTTTATCATTGAATATAACATTAAATTCAAAATAAAAATATGTTAAATAAAATTTAAAGAGTTAACAAACTTTGAACAAATAAAAATAGTATTACAAAACAAGCCTGCAAAGATTACAAAAGAATGATTTATTGGACAATAACTAGATATTGCACAAATAATAGCAGAGATAAACAAAGATAAATAGGAATACATAGTGTTACTGAGAACAAGCTGAGTTAACCACGAAAAGCACATTTATATTCCAAAATCATGACTACAGAAAATTCTAGAAAAAATAAAAATACATAAGCAATTATTCTACAGCCATCAGAACAAAAACATCATCACATGTCACATGGTTTTTGGAAAACCCCATTGTTCACTTCTGAGATAATTAAAGTGAAAAGTACAAATAACATCTTAATATTATCAGAAAAATATTTTTTTCATTTTGGACTTCCCGAAAGGATCCCAAGGTTCATGATACACACTTAGCGAGCTGTTGCCCTGGACTGTTTTATCATTGACTGCTTCTCACTTAGGTCTCTGCATCCTCAGACAGGCTTTTGAACCACAAAATCTGAAGTAGTCTTAGAGCCTGCTTCAGTTATTCTCTACCATTTTAATATATTATAATTTCTTATCATTTGTCACTCTTGGAAATTATATTAATATTTAGTATATTTATTAATCATTTATTTTTTAACTTTGACCCTTGTAGTATGTCACTTCCATGAAAATAAGTACTTGATCTGTCCCTTAGGCTTGACACAAGGAAGGCTCTCCACACATATTTGTTGAAGGAAAATATTCTAGAATATTTTTCCAGAATATTGCTTGTGATTCTTCATTTGTCTATATTTTTAGATGAATTTCCATATAAATTTTGTTATAGCAAAAACAATATAATCGTATTTGAATGCAGTCACACTGATTTTATAGGTTATCTTAAAGAAGTCGACAACTTTATTATATTGTGTTTTGACATCCAAGGGTAGATTGTCTTTGCATTCATCTGTGTGTTTGTGAACATCTAGCTTTTAATTGCACCTGAATAATAAATTAATTAACTTTTGAAAACTCCATACTATGCCAGAATCATAATGGAATATGGATCCCACTTTAAGTGTTAAATAATTTAAAATGATATATTTTTAATCTTTTCTTCAGGTTCAGATTATTTTATTTTAATCAATGAGCCAGCCAAACCTGGAAGATATAGTCCTATGATGGCTGATGCTGATAAAGGTTTCAATTTTGTTGTACAGGATAAGCAAGAAAAAATTAAACTTCTCTTTATTTCACATAAAAGCAAGTAAAGCACAAGAAATATGCCCGTAACAGTTACAGTCTTCTTTCAGACTTCAAACCCAGGTGTTTCTCTGACGTGTGCTTTGAAGCTCTCATAGCAGATAAACACCACCGTATGTGAAGCATGTCTGCCAGATGTTAAGGTGTGATATGTTTTGAGTATCATATACATAATAATTACACATAGCCTGGGATTTAATTCAAATTAAATAGGAAGATGTGTAATATACTATTTCAAATATGAAAATAAAAAGTACATACAAATTGTACTATACCAACTACAAATAGAAAAGTGATGACATCATTCTGCCTTCTTCTGTCCGCTAGTAATCAGCAAGTGTATATGTAATTAGTGAATACATTCTAGCAGTTGACTTCTTTACAACATATGTACTGTGTGATCTTAGGCAATCCACTTAGCCTTAGTTTGTTTATCACTGAAACAAGAATGGTCATGTTCCTACCTCATAAAGCTTTCTTTGTGAGTTTAAATGAGTTACTGGATGTGAAATCCTTGAATAATCCTTTGCATAAGGTAAGCATTCAATAAATGTTAGTTATTATTTCTGTTATAGAAATCCATCATTTTCAGCATGTATGAAAGAGAATAACAAGGACGGTGTTGCATTGTATAGGAGCAACAAATTCCCCGAGATCAGAATCTTTGCTTCTGTGCCTTTCCTTGTCTGCTCTGCAGCTATCACTGTCCACGTACATAAACTCTTTAAACCTCATTTTCCACTTTCATAAAATAGAATTAATTACCTTTATCATGTGGGTGTTGAGTATTAAGTGAGTTGATACATTAAGCACTTAAAGCATTGTAAGCATATAGTGATTTATTTTATGTAAGCTGAAACATACAAATTATGTTTACATAAATTACATTTAATAACATACTAATATTCATAAATATTATTAATAAATTGTTGATAAATATTTATAATAATTATAAATATTATGCTTGATATACTAATATTTACACTTAAAAAGTTATAAAACCAAATAAAAATAACAACTTATCATAAATGTTATAAATAAAGTAATGAGCAGGCAGTGAGGGAGAATAAAAGGTTGAGAAAGCAGAGAAGGCCTCCCGCTAGGATAAACCAATATTTAAACTGGATAGGGAAAGGTGAGAAAGTAGAAGAAAAGATGTTCAATGTAGAGGTTTCAGGATTTTGAATGGGGGCCAGATGGTAAAAGCTTGGTGGTTGAACGGCATGAAAATTGTTATTAGACATGTAATGATAATGGGTTCATGGAAGTCATTCAGGGCATACTATAGCTATGGATTTTGGATTTTTAAGTGTTTTAGGATGCTGGTGATTATAAGCAGTAGAGTCACAAGAGGAAGCAGGAAGTCAAAATGGGACACAACAGTATTAGTCCAGGCAAGAAATGAAGATAATGGACTAGAGACGTGACATTAAAGATACATAGAATTTAGAATACGCAATTGCAATGTAATCAAGTGTAGGAAAAAATAGGCAAAGCTTCTACTCCACCCTCTGAAGTTTGCTGGAAGTGAATTAACAATAGGCAGATTAATAGGAGAGAAAGATGTACAAACTTGTTAATGTGCATAGAGCAAAATCACAGGAAAGTGATTACCCAATAACCCAATGAGGTCCAGTTGCTTATATACCCCTCTTCATAAGTAAAGGAGAGATGAGAGAAATGTGGCAATTTTGAGAAGTACTGAATTATTTTTAGGGAGAATTAATGGACCCAGTAGGCAGACATTTTCTTGGAAATGAATCTCTTAAGAAACTTAATGGGGCTGACAAGTTACAGGAAGATCAGGAGCATAACTGCACTGTGAACCAAGGTTGTCGTAGTATGTGGATAGTCTCCCAGGTAATCTTTCAGTAATGCCCTCTGAAGAACAGATAAAGTCAGTCTGGGCCTGGTGACCCCTGATTTTAGTTTTTTCTCTTCCTTGGTGGTTAATCTTTCCTAGTTATTTGGTGAGATTTCCAGGGGTGGCAAGTGTCTTAACATATTAACATTTATTTTTGAAAGGTGGTTCCTTAGTCAGATAAGGAAATTCCAGAGAGTCCCTCCCTGTGCTTGTGGGGGAGAGGTCAGAGAGACCTTGAGGCTGTTATTTAGTTCAGCATGTCAAGACATCATATTTTGGGATATTGTTTTCTAAGCCCCAACACAGTGAACAAGATAAAAACAAAAATATCCCCTTATAAGTTCTCTGTCTTTGTGTATGTCCTTCTGAGTTTTGTATTTGCTGTAGATTGATTGTTTTTTTTTTTAATTTTACTTTAAGTTCTGGGATAAATATGCAGAATGTGCGGATCTGTTACACAGATATACATGTGCCATGGTGGTTTGCTGCACCTAACCTATCAACCCATCATCTAGGTTTTAAGCCCCACATGCATTAGGTATTTGTCCTAATGTTCTCCCTCCCCTCGCCCCTCAACCTCTGACACATGGATTCAGGGAGGGGAACATCACACACAGGGGCCTGTTGATTGATTGTACTTTTAAAACATATTGGCTTTTTTGTTTTGGCATGTGTGTTTGCGTGTGTGTGTGTGTGTGTGTGTGTGTTCACATGTGTATGTTTGTTTTTTTTTTTCCTTTAATTGGCAAGCCATCTTGAGTAGTCACGGACCACTGCTTTTCCGTTTTGTGAGTCAATACATAGTACTACTGTGTTTTTTGGTGTGTATTTGGTAATTTTTATTAAATCTGTTTTTTCATTAAATAAATTTGACTTTCTTTTCTGTTATTCAGGATTTCCCTTACTTTTTTGTACTATTTTAAAGTTAGTGTCTTTTGACATGTATAATTTTTTATGGTAAAATTTTTACTGTTTTCAATACATATTTTATTTTCCTCTATTAATCAGTTCATTAGAACCAATTTTTCTATTTATTATTTTATTCCAAAATCAGCTATTTGGTGAAGATATGAGATCCAGAAAGTAAAGGCGACATCAGAAAAATTATCAAAACCTTTTTAAAGTAGCTATAAGATGATCTCTCTTTCTTTCCCACTAAGAGCCTAATTAAGAATGTTAAAGATCCTATGCACTGAATTAGTAAATAAGTAATGGCACAACTCGAATTAAAATCAATACAAACCTATAAAATCAGTGTAGAACAGCTTAGAATTTTTGATTTGCTCCTTGAAAAAAACAAGCATTTATTCATCAGTTCATACATGAATATCCATGAAGACTTAGGTACACTAGAAAACAACCCCTGACCTCAAGAAGCACAAACTCTAGTTGGAAAAGATGCAAATAAACATACAGTTATGATAACATGAAGTAATGCAGTTTGGATGTCTTCTCAAAATCTCATATTGAATTGTAATCCCCAGAATTAAAGGTGGGGTCTGGTGGGAGGTGTTTGGGTCATGAGGGAGGAACCCTCGTCTTGGTGCTGTCCTGGAGACAGTGAGTGAATTCTCAGGAGATCTAGTTGTTTGCAAAATGTGTGGCACCTCCCCACCACTTGCTCTCTGGCTGCTACTCTGGCCATGTGAACTGCTGTTCCCCCTTCGCCTTCCACCGTAAGTAAAAGCTCCCTGAGGCCTTCCCAGAAATGGAACCAATGCCAGCACCATGATTCCTGTATGACCTACAGAACCATGAACCAATTAAACCTCTTTTATTTATGAATTACCCATTCTCAATTTTTTCTTTATAGCAACACAAGAAAGGCCTAACACAAGGAAAGTGAATAAAATACGTGGAGATCTTAGAGCAGCAGCCTTAGGCACAACCCCGTGTTATTGGAGAAGGTTTCTAAAAAGGAGGTGAAGACCAAGATGAAAATTTAGAGTAAAGAATGAGCTGATGTTAGCCAGGGGAAAAAGTCCAAACAATTCCAGGCAGAGGGAGAGTTTTAAAGGCCCAAGTAAATGGGTCATTCTCTGTGACAGAATTCATGAATAAGGTCTGCAGTGGCATTCAAAGAAGTAAATTCCTTTTTCTTTGAATTAACTTTATAATGGCTCAGAACACACCATTTTTCAAGGAGCTAAATTCATCAAAGGTTTAACTGTGTAAGTAACATGTAAGATTAAAAAAAAATTTTTTTTTTTTGTTTTTTTTTTTGAGGCGGAGTTTTGCTCTTGTTGCCTGGGCTGGAGTGCAGTGGCGCGATCTCGGCTCACCATAACCTCTGCCTCCCAGGTTTCAAGCGATTCTCCTGCCTCAGCCTCCCGAGTAGTTGGGATTACAGGCACCCACCACCACGCCCAGATAATTTTTTATATTTTTAGAAGAGATAGAGTTTCACTATGTTGGTCAGGCTGGTCTCTAATTCCTGACCTCAAACGATCCACTCATCTTGGGCTCCCAAAGTGCTGGGATTACAGGCGTGAGCCACGGCGCTCAGGCGATTAAAAATATTTTTAACTTAACCTATTAACAAATGAATACTTTCCTAAGAGTCCAATAGGCATATCCTCATAAAAATATGGTTTTAAAGACTTAAATAATCCTACTGTGTGTTTTTTAGTACCAACGTCCTGTGGCATGTTTTGAAAGTGACATAATGTTGACTCATTAGAAAATAGATTCCACTAAAAACAAATAGACCTCTAACAGAAAATGGTGTAAGTACTCCTCATTTTAGTGTTGAAAGTTTTGATTCTGAAATTTAATATGTACCTGTCATTCCAAATATCCTTCCTTGGTTATATTTGCAAGGAAATAGGTGAACTTTAGGATTAAGTAGTTAATAAACTTTTAAATGATACACATTTTCCAGGGTTATATGGTTTCTCCCAAGCTTCAGAAGGGAATTTCAGAAAATAGCTCTGGGGTTTTAAAAAGCAAGTTGTAGTTGACTTATTCATAAGCCACAAAGAAATTTTCATGATAATTATTTCAATATTGAAAACTCTAGTATGCTTCTAAGCTTCTCTTCTGCAGAATAAACATTTTTGGATACTCACCCAAACCTATTATATTCCAACCCAGGCTGAATTTCTTCTTTTCCACAAAAAGGGAATTACCTTGATGTCAATAAAAGTCCTTCCAAAATTTGCAAGAACAAAAATGGGTGATACACGATACTTACTAATTTTGATAGCAATTAGTTGGTTGAAATATTTCCGTTTCTTTAAAGCTATACTTTTTGGTTTCTCTAGTTAGAGTTGGCCATAATTCAGGTTTTGAAATAGGTCAATGATTTCCAAAGTTGGTTGTTGATCAAAATCATCCAAATAACTCTAAAAAATATAGATACCTAGGAGATTTTCCTTGGAGATCATGATTACATACGCATGACCAAGGAATCTACATTTTTGACAAGCATTCAAAGAGGCTAGAATAATCAAGTAGTGTAAGTAAGTTATCTTCATCCTTCTATTTCTATCTTTCTGTGTAGTAGAAGATTCTGTTACCCCAAATTTGAAGGCCTAATGCCAATAAGTAACAAAGAACTTCCTTCTTCGCACTATTGAAACAATCTTCTCTTGAGGGTCTCAGATTCCACATCCCTGATTTCTTATGGTTTTCTACACCAATTGAAGAGCCCCCCTCTAACCTCTGTGCATTTTCAGTTGTCTTTTGGAGACAGTGTCTTTGCCTTATTATTGTTTTCTTTGAAATAAAAACAAAATGTATGACTACAATGGATGAAATTCAGAGTTAAACAGAAAATTCTCACAGGGGATGGAGAGATGAATTCATTGGGGGCTGACTCTTGCTTACCTGTTCTGTCCACATATAATAAAAATGTAAGAAAAGAAGATGTCAAAAGATTCAGGGTCTTCAACAATATTTCTGTTGTTCAGACATGGCCTCAGAAAAGACTGAAAGCTAGCTACCCACAGAGTATTGGGTTGGTGCAAAAGTAATTGCATTTTTTGTCATTTCAATGGAGGTTTTTTTGTCGTTTCAATGACAAAAACCACAATTACTTTTGCATCAACCCAATAATTATTCATTATATGTTGGTTGAAAATTAGTAAACTATATTCAGGCCTACAAAGAAAATTAGCATATTTATTTTTCATGTTTTATTTGTTCTCTCTTCTTTCAAACCTGGATGGTAGGAAATTGGCATTTTGAATTTTTATAATTGGTATTTTGTTGATTTCTATTTAAGTAGTCCTTTTAATTTAAAAAGTCACTTTAATCTTTTGGATTTTAACAATCGCACCATGATCTATGAGATGTAATCTGTGAGTGGGAAAGTTTAGCTTATCCTCCTGGTGATAGAGGGCTAGGATAAGAAGTGGCTACAGGGAACTGTGTGATAGTTCTTTTGTTCCTCTTGTGTCATTACTGATTGACTTCTGCATCTGCAGATTGTAGCTCATGAGCTTGCACCCTCATCTTTTACATCAATCATGAACCCATCAATGTGGTGCTCTGACTCTCATCTGACCCCTGTGATGGTTTTGTGTCCCCACCCAAATCATTTTGAGTTATAATTTCCATGATCCCTATGTGTCAAGGGAGAGACCAGGTAGAGGTACTTGGATCATGGGGGCGGTTTTCCCCTTGCTGTCCTCATCACAGTCAGTGAGTTCTCATGCAATCTGATGGTTTTATAAGGGATTCTTCCCCGTTTGCTCAGCAGTTCTCCTTCCTGCTGTCTTGTGAAGAAGGTACCTTACTTCCCCTTCACCTTCTGCCATGATTGTAAGTTGCCTGAGGTCTCCCCAGCCATGCTGAACCATGAGGCAATTAAACCTCTTTCCTTTATAAATTACCCAATCTTGGGCAGTTCTTCATAGCAGTGTAAAAACGGACTAAGACACCCTGCTTTGGTGGTTGACTCTGCAGTAACAGAACCAAGGACAGAGTGCAGGGAGCTTAGTGAGGGCAGGAGACGACGGACCCAGGTGAGTTCCTGTGTTAGTTTATATTGCTCCTACAATAAATTACCAAAAATGTAGTGGCTTAAAACAACACAAATTTATTATCTTATAATTCTGTAGTTCAGAAGCCCAAAATAAGTTTCACTGGGTTAAAATCAAAGTGTCAGCAGGACTGCATTACTTCTGGAGTAGCTAAGAGAGAATCCATTTTGTTGCCTTTTCCAGATTCTAAAAGCCACCAATACCTTGGCTCCTAAACTCACCATATTCAGAGACAGCAGTGGCCACTTGAGTCTTCCTTGCATCATATCACTCTGACATTGCCTCTTCTGTCTCCTTCTTCTATGTTCGAAGCTGCTCTGATTACATTAGGTCCACTCAGATGATCCAGGACAATCTCCTTATCTTAAGGTCAGATGAATAGAACCCTTAATTTTTTCAGCTACCTAAATCCCTTATTGCCATATAATGTAAAATATTCACAAGTTCTGAAAATTAAAATGTGGCCACCTTTGAGAAGCCATGACTCTACTTAGGACGGTTTCCAAAACATTTTGTGAAATTACAAGTTCACTTAAATAAAATCTGTAAAAACATTTGATTAGAAGAAACTCTGTTATTTAGATCTATGACTTCTAATATGTTTGATAACTTAAAAAATAAATTATAACCACACTGCATGGGATCTCCTAACATATACTCTAACATTAGAGAATTCGACTTTCTGTTTTTATGTTTTTCATATCCAGTTGGGAAGGTGAGTTCAGATGTGACCTTTAATAAAGTAATTCAGCTGTTACATCTCCATATTGTTAATTTAGTATTCTTTTGGAAGCCAGGGGAAATAAAATTATAGTGAACTTATTCTGGGTCTGGTTAACATCCTTTCTGGGAATAGACTTTGGATTAACCTAAAAAATACACTGGGAATTTTGCTTGTGGGTATGTGGATTGTTTTTCCCAAAAGTGACGCTGCACACTAGACTGGGCAAACAGAAGAGGGAGGGTGTGAGTGCTGGCAAGTCTGGATTTGGTTCTGTGATCATGACTCAGAGTGGAATCTCAAAATAAATTATAATCTTATTTTGGCACTTTGGAAAAAGGAAAAAGACAAGTACCTGAGTAGAAAAACACACTGCAATTGTGCTGGATCATGGACCACAACCATTGAAAACACTTTCCCAAATTTCTAATATCACTTTGGTCAAGAACAATATTAGGATTCATATTTATCTTATCTCCCTCCTTTCTCTGCCTTCTTGTCAATCCTATTTCCCTTCATCATTCCTGTGATCACTTGTGGCACCTGCCATTGTTCTATGAATATATATGTGTTCAGTACATATGCTCTCCACACAAACAAGGACTGAACAGAACAAGAAAGTACAAAAGCAGGGGGTGTCTCATGATTTTTAGATTCACTACCTCATACTTTATAATCCTTTATATATAATTGTTTCTGACATCCACTGTGGCCTAAACTATATGGTTAGAGTATATATTTTGAACGTTTATTAGAAAAAGTTTAAAAAGGAAGTAAAATATGTATTCTTAAATATAGTTAATATGTGGCTTAACTTGAATCCCATCCCTCCCTTTCTCAATTCCAAATATTACTTTATTTTAAAGAATATTTTAAAGTGTAGAAAGGAAAAAAATAACACTGGGAAAGAGATGAGTTTCAAACATGAATAAAATTCCAATGTCTCCCTCTCCCACCAAATCAAAAGTCTTTCTGAATGAGGTGGCGAAAGATGTCCACGATATTACTTTTCTTTTATAGACTGTGACTCTAAAGTGCCAAGTGATTCATGACATAGGACATTCTTGCATGCATATTGTTTTTACTTGATCCTTATTAAAACCCAGAGAAATACAATTAGTCTATATTAAAGATGAGGAAAGTCAGGCCTCAGGCACAGGAGTTTAGCCTCCAAGATTCTGTGACTTTTCAGTTCTACCAGCCTTGAAATAGATAATATTTTCTCTCATGTTTTCCCTTTGCCCTTGAGTGGTGGTTCTTCCACCAGCCTTTTCCACCCCACCCTGCCCCGCCCCAAACTCAACTCAGACTCTTCCCCCATACATAGTTCACATAAGCCCTTGGACTTTGCACTCAGTATGCTGCCTACCAGTTTCAGTTACTCTTTTGTTTCTGTCATAGCCCCTATCACGATTTACCTTTTATTTACTTTTCTGATTACTTTTCTTACGTATATGTATGTGTGTGCATGTATCCCTCATTAGAATGGGCCCATGCCTGTTATTTATGGTGTTGTCACTATGGTACTTTTAGTATCTAACACAACATTCTGCACAGGGTAGGAATTCAAATATTTGTTAAATGAGTCAATCCACAAATGAAGATCCTGGTTTAATCTAGTCATTGTTCATACTTTTATACACACCAAAGGATTCTGAATTCTATTAAGTGCCTCTTGAATATTCTGTAAGAATTACACCAAAATGGGGGAGTGCAGAGATGAAACAATGTCTTTGAAGAAGTTGGGAGACACCAGAATTTCCCCACATTTTCCAAGCCATATCATGCAAGCATTTGAGTTTGATTCTTTTATATCACAGTAGTCTCTTAAAACTCCTCTTTCTCAACTAATTTTTGTTTCAAAAATATTCATGTTCTGGATCCCACAGATTTAACAGCCTGTCTTTGCCAATTTAACATGTATTATGAACACTAAAGTTGCATATAAATGATAAGAATATAGGACTTGAGGGCAAGCAGTAGTATTGGTTCTTTCACTAGCTTGGTACTTTTTCTTTCTTTTTCTGGGCGGTCATGTAACCTCTTTTATCTTTACAATCTTTAACATTTTTAGAAAGTTAATGAAGTGTAATTATGTAAAAAATAACCACAAAAATAATAGCAAGCATATAAAATGCCATTAAAATGAGGTATCATTTTGAACCTATAAAAATAACAAGATCAAATAAGTGTACTTTATTTTATTATAATGCTAATTTAAGAAATATTTTTAATTAGCCGTGTGTAACAAAATGTTTATATGCTTTGATCCAGCAATCCCACTATATAAATAAAATATTAAGTGATTTAAAACCAGGACAATATATGTTTCAACACTATATAATAAAAGAAACAAAAGAAATTCTAAAATAGAGGATGAATAACACAGATAAGTGACTATATAGTTAATTCAAGCAATAAAATATATATTATTAAAATTACATGGTATAATATAATAAAGTGGAAACAATACTATTCAGGGAATATAAATCAGCAAACATGTAATACAAAAGTTCATAATTTCTATCTGCAGTGATATAACAATGTACACTTGGATTGCAATACACACCAAACAATGAAGCAAAATACATTTTAATTAAATCATTGAATTATCTCCTTGAGCTAATAATTTCCTTTAGCTTTTATTTAGTATTATAATTTTGGACAACTCTATCAATAAATAATTCCTGATGCAGATATGGGATTTGTTATTTTATGTGCCCTTTTTTAAAATTATGATTTAATTCTCTCATCTTATTAATGTATTCTTACTCCAAACAAAAATAATGTAAAATATTTACCTGTTAAATTTATTTGGGCATTTTTGATGAAACCTTGAGAACTTTTCATTTAATTTTTACACTGGTAGTTATGGTAATTTTCTTAGATGAAATTGTACTTTCTGATTTGAGAAAAGAAAAATTATGAATAAAATTATATATTCTATGAATGCCACTACATTTTTATATAGTATGATAAATATGATCTATTTTGTCAAGTACCTCTCTCCTCATCCATATACCTATACTTATTTTAAAGAACATAATCTGATTACTTGGAAATCATTACCTCACTTAAAAACAACAACACTATTTTAAAAGAAACACACAGTCCAATGACCAAAGAAGACTTTTCAGACATTATACCTAGTGTAAACATAAGCAAACCTCAAACAAGACATGGCCCAGTTTGCAAAAAGAAATCTTTGAGGTGACTGTTTTTAAACTTCATTAACTCTAAATTTCCATTTCACCAGTAATGACACTTCATAGTTCCTAAGGACCATTTCCTAAGGGCTCTGCCTAGCTCACCAAGACACACAACCCAGTAACTGTGGAGTTGACTCTCCTTCATTTTGCTAGCTGAAAACAATGTGGTGTTCTACCACAACTGTAGTTTTTTGGGTCCAGAACCAAACCAGAGAATTTCATTTGGTTTTCTAATTTGGTCCAGCTGTTGAAATAGATCACTCTTCTTTTATTTTCTTTTTTTAATTTTCTTTTCTTTCTTTTCTTCTTTTCTTTTCCTTTTCTTTTTTCCTTCCTTCCTTTCTTTCTTTTTTCTTTCTTCTTTCTTTCTCTTTCTTCTTTCTTTTCTTTCTCTTTCTTTCTCTTTTTTCTTTCTTTCTCTTCCCTTTCTTTCTCTTTCTTTTTTTCCTTCCTTCCTTCCTGCCTGCCTGCCTTCCTTCCTTTTTCCTTCCTTCCTTCTTTCCTTCCCTCCCTTCGTTCCTTCCTTCCTTCCTTCCTTCTTTTTTCTTCTTTCCTTCCTCCCTTTCTTTCTTCCTTCCTAGCCTTCCTTCACTACCTTTCCTTCCTTCTACCTCCTCATACCCTGTCTTTTTCTTTCTCTTTCCTGGAACCACTCTTTGGACGCTCATAGCAAAATGGAAGTAATCTTATTGAAAGAGTCAGTTTTCATTATCAAAATTGCTAGTAGCACACCTGCTTTATAGTGCAGATATCTGTGGATATTAACAAGAAGTCATGATGACTATATTAAATGTGGTAGTGCTGTGTCTCCTTGAGCTTTCCCCACTGCCCTCTAGTATCCAAGTTACTCCTTCAGGTTTCTGAGGCACTCTGGCAGAACTCAAGTAGCAAAACATCCCTTTAATTCGACCTCCCCTGCCCTCCGCCACCATCACTCCAAATTAAGGAAAAGGAAGTAAATAAAAGCAAACATAAAATAAAAGTATAGTTTTGAATAATAGTTCCATACCTTTTGAATAATTGTTTTGAAAGTGAAAGACTAATCAAATAGTCTCCTTTGTTTAACCACTCATTTATTGAGTTAGCTCATTCAGTCAATACAGAATGCCCAACTGTGTGTCTGGGATCATCCTGTGTTCTGGGAACACAACTAGAAAGGAAGGGTCTCTGCTTTTAAGGAGCTTATGTACTTGGGAGAAGAAAGGTAATAAAAAAGTAAACAATATAATTTCTTAAAAATAACGAGTGTTATGAAAAATCAATAGGATAAAAGATTGAAAGTGATGAGAGTATATGTTGTTTTATATTAGTATAAATGGTAGTAAGGGAAGTGACAAGTGACCACAGATCTGGAAGTATCTCAGGCAGAGAGAAGAGCTAATATAAATATCCTGAAGTAGGTAAGGGTTGTCATGTCAGTGGTAAGAGTTAAGTGCGGAGAGTTGGGCAAAGAAGTAATCCTGTACAGGCTCATTGTTTGTGTTGTTGTCCAAATATAATGGGAAGTTCTTGAATGGTTTAATCATGGAGTAATATGATTCAATCTAGGTTTTATAAAGGAACTGAGACTGCTGAGTGACGCAATTGGGTAGAGAGAGAGAAAGAGAGTAGAATGGAAGCAGAAAAATCCCTTTGAATATTTCCCAGCCCAGGGGAGCGATTGCGGTGTTGAATTGGGTGGTAGCAGGAGAGATTATCAAAAAACAATATTGAGGACAAGTTTTGTATGGCACACTGATAGTACTTGTCAATGGATTATCAAAAATTTTTCCTAGATTTTCAATGAATGAATAAATGCTGCTATATTATATAGGTAAGTAAGAACCTGTTCATTATTACAACCCTGAAGCCATAAAAATAATATGTTCTCGTGGAAGAAAAAGGCTAAGCATACTAATACCAGTTAGCAGCAAACACATTTGGAATCCAGGTATACTACTAGTACTTAAAAATTGACGAGAAAAAACTATTCCTCTTGTTTAACATTCAGGGTGTCCACAATCAGTACACTAAACTGTTTCCTGGTGATTTGAAAAGATGTGCTCCACTCACATTTTTATTATTCCTTTTTTTCATTCATTCAACAAATGTTTATTCACTGCCTACTATGATCCAAGTCCCAAGAAAGTAACATAAAGAAGCACATAGGCAGAGTTAAAATTTTTTCTGTTAAAATTCTGACAATATTGCTTCGTTTTCTTCTGAGGTTTAGTGCTGTGGAGTCTGAAGTAACTATCATTGTTTTGTTTTTTATTTGTACAGAGTATGTTTCATTCATGTTTATCCCCATTTATATTTGTGTGACTTTTTAAATTGATATTTATGTTCATTTTTGAAATTCAAATACTCTATCAGGTTTTATTATGTTTTTAATGCTTCATTGGCCCACTTTTAGCCTGAAAATTTAAACTTTCAACACAGAAAATGGTTTTTTTCCCCCTGCTTTGCCTTTGATACTCTTTCTGCACTATTTAGATTAGTTTCTTTTTAAAGATCACCAATTATCCATAAGGTAGACTTCTCTTTTCACATTTACTTTTCATCATATTAGATTCTTTCATTTTTGTGTCTTTTCTTTGGCCTCCTAGTAGATAACCAATATCAGAAATGTTGCCCATTTGAATTACTGTAGTGTTTATTCACCTCTGTACTGTTTCTGAAGCTATACATTTTTTTATTCTCATATCATATTTCATTTATTTAAACTCTGCCTACCATCCAGTTTTCTATTTTTTCTATCTCAATATCTCTTATTTCATATATACAATTTATTCAGCATTAACTTAGAATAGAAGATAGAGCTGTCAACATTTGTTTCCTAAAAAATGATTTTCAAAAGAGGTCTTTCTTTCCACTCCTTCAGTGTTTCTCTTTATGTTACATAATCTTTTCATCAGATTGTAACTATTTTGAAAATGTTTTCTCATCCTTTAGTGATTTCTATCCAGTCTGGTATTTTGCCCATAAACAAAAGTTTCAGGTTCTACTTGACATCCTTTCCTTTCTTCCAGCTTTTAAAGAATAATCCTTTTAGATATTAAGTTGGAAAATTAAGTGGTGAGCAACATTTTGTATTTTTACAAGGGCTTTTTTGAATGTGAATCTGCTGAGCTAAAAGGAAGTTTCTAATTCCATTACCTGGTCATCTTATCTTGCCAGACACAGTAAAGAGTGAAATTTAACAAATAACTTAGAGATTCAAGAGCCTATCTGTGGTGCTTTCAGGAAACATGAAAACAAAAGCCTATGTAAGATATTCTTAAAATGAATTGCCTCTCTATTTCCAACTTCACATTGTTAAACATGAAATACTGTCTTCTATGCAATTTTACATGAACTTCTTGAAGTTCTGATCCCAAAACTAGTGCCAAAAATAGTTTAATGGAGGCACAGTTTAGGGATTTTAAAATATTTTGTTACCCTAGAAATTAACTTTAGATAAACAGTGTTTTTGATCTCCTCATTTTGGCCAGCAAAGGATCAGTATTTGAGCAGTAAGATAATACAGTGGGAAGTATGCATGGAAGGCTCTTTAATTCTATCCCATGACTCCCCCATTTTATGAAAATTATTTTATGGCTTCTCCAATTCTTTTTCATACCTGAGTTTGGTTATGGGAATTCTTCCTGGAGTCTGGCAGGACATTTATCAATAATGTAGTTCATTCTGTTGCTGAAAACATGCAGCTTCTGGTAAAGAACCCACCAAATATTTTCTCTGGAGAGCAGCTCCTCATCAGGGATTTCACTTTCTATCCCTGACTATCACAAAAGGAGGTGCCATGATTAATACTCACTAATGTAATGTGAGTGGAAGTGATGGCTGGCATTTCTAGATGAAGGTGTATGTGAGATGGGATTTCATTTTTCACACTCCCATCTGCCATTTGCCAGCTGAATGCCAGGATGCCAAGCATCTCAGGGAAGGTGGAGCCACAAGACAGAGGGAGTCTGGACCCCAGCATCACCACAGAAAAGCAAGTTGCATATCAATGAATATTCACATTGGACTCTTTATGAGCAAGAAATTAACTTTTATTGTATTAAATCGCCAGGGGGTAGATTTTTTCCCCTAAAACATCTACTGTCATCTTATAACTAGAACTGGTTTGTGTTTAGTTTCTTATTAAGAAGGTGGAAAAAATCAAATCAGTTGTTTCTAACTTCCCAATGTTTCTCAAAAATAATTCAGAATGAGATGCAATAGGTAACTAGATGTGCTTCAGTTTCCCCACCATTTTGAGTTGCCTTTTCCTTCAACACACAAGAAACATAAATTGAGTACCTCATCCTGCATGATGGTGAAATTTTTGGGGAATTTCCTATGTGTTTATAAAAAACCACATGAGATGGAATTTCAAGAATTACTTCATGTTGCTTGCACCTCACACCCTGAACTTCTTCATAAATCTTTTTTGGTCTTTCTGTAATAATGAGTCAACACCAAAGGATGAATTTCTTAGGGCTGTCCCACGCTTTACACTCACCCTTCTCTTCAATCCACAGAGCACAGATACTATTTGGATTTAGGTATTAGGGAGACCATAACATGGAATAGGAAAATTTAACACAGATGCCATGTATCACGACTTATACAGCCCACTGGATATGTCCCTTCACAGCTGTTGACTCCTGGCTGTCTCTATCTTTACAACCTCTACTTTTGTCATGATGCCCATGTTGCTGGAGACAGATCTCATACGCAGCACTAACATTTCCCATGTCTTGTCTTTTCTTATTTAAATCAATATACCATAACCTGAATACATTCAATGAGTTATGACAGATGTATATACTTGTAAAACTAATACTTTGTATAGAACCTTACCATCATCACCTTAACTTTTCACTATCTCCTTTGCAGTTCATATCTCCCTTGACCCTCCTTTTATTACTAAGTACTGTTCTATTTTATGAATAAACTACTTTGTAAAGTAATTTTATTCATCTGTGAATGGACATTTGAGTTGTTTCTAAGTTTCGGTTATTGCAAATAAAACTGCTATGAAGATTTATGTCCAAGTCATCTTTGTGTGGACATGCGTTGTCTATGAAAAATACTTTTAAATGTAATAGCTGGGTCATATGGTAGGTGTACATTTAACTTATAGTAATTATCAAAAGTAATGTTTTAAGTGCCTATAATATTATACCTTGTCACCAGCAATATATGAGAGTTCCAGTTGCTCCACATCATTTTCAAGACTTCGTATTAGGAGTTTTAAATTTTAGCCATTTTCATAGGTACATAGTAATAACTTATTATGGTTTTAATTAACATTTCCCTGATAACTATTGGTATTGATTTTATGTGCTTTTTGAATATTTGTATATTTTCTTTTTAAAGTTTTATTTATAATTTTTGTAGGTACATAGTAGTTGCATATATTTATGGGGTACATGAGCTGTTTTGAAATAGCCATGCCTATGAAATAAGCACATCATGAAGAATTGGGTATCCATCACCTCAAGCATTTATCCATGAAGTTGCAAACAATTTGATTATACTCTGTAAGTTATTTTAAAATTTGCAGTTATTATTTACTATAGTCACCCTGTTGTGCTATCGTATAGTAGTACTTATTCATTCTTGCTAACTCTTTTGTTTTATACCCATTAACCATCCCTACCTGTTCCCCAGTCCCCCATTGACCTTCCCAGCCTCTGATGATCATCTTTGTACTCTCTATGTCCATGGGTTCAATTGTTTTGATTTTTAGATCCCACATGAAGTGAGAACGTGCAATGTTTGTCTTTCTGTGCCTTTATTTCACTTAACATAATGATCTCCAGTTCCATCTATGTTGTTGCAAATGACTGGATCTCGTTATTTTTTATGGCTGAATAGTACTCCATTGTGTATATATACCACATTTTCTTTATCCATTCATCTGTTGATAGACACCTAGGTTGCTTCCAAATCTTAACTCTTGTAAGCAGTGCTGCAACAAACGTAGGAGTGCAGATATCTCCTTGATATACTGAGTATATACCCAGCAGTAGGATTGCTGAATCATGTGGTAGCTAAATTGAATATTTATATATTCTCTTTCATGAAGTGGATATTCAATAATTTGCTCATTTTCTGAAAGCTGTTTGCTTGATCTTATTAAATTTTGAAATTGTGCAGACATACATATACACATGAACACGTACACATAGGCACTCTGGATAGAAATCCTTTGTTAAATATATGTAGTGTAAACATTTTCTCTCAGTCTGTAGCTCTCTTTCTTTGTTCTTGAGATGTCTTTTGAAGAGCAAAGATTTTTAATTTGATATGTTTTAATTTATTACTTTTTTCTATGATAGTTCATGCTTTTCATATGTTATCTAAAAAAACTCTGCCTATGTCAACCTTGCAAAGATTTTCTCCATTATTTTCTTCTAGAATTCTTTTTTAATTTTAGCTTTTAATTATACATATGCATTTTGGGTTAATTTGTATATATAATATTAATATAAGGTAAAAGTCAATGTACATATCCCATACCAATATCCAGTTGTGTCAACACCACTTGCTGAAGAGATTTCCTTTCCTAATTGAATTGACTTGTTATTTTGTTGGAAATCATTAGATTGTTTTTGGGTGGGCTAATTTCATAACTGTTTTCCATTCAATTGATCTTTATGTCTGTCATTTTGCCAATACCACTATATCTTCATGCAAAGACTTGAAAGTGAAAGTCCTCAATTTTTCCTTTTTATAAAGGGCATTGTATCCATTAGATTGTTTGCATTTTCATAGAAACTTTAGAATCAGCTTATCAATTTCTATATAAAGGTTAATTAAAATTATGATTAGAATTGCAATAAATCTATATGTCAGTTATCAATACTGAATCTTTAAATGATGTATATGGTATATGTCTCAATTTAATTTCTTTAATTTCCATTAGGAATATTTTATATATTTTAATGTACGTATCACACATATCTCTTAAGTTTATTCATGTGTCTTTTTTTGAATTTAAGATAAATTTTTTAATAAATTATTTTCCAGTTCTTTTCTATTAATAAATAAAAATTAAACTGATTGCTATATACTAACACTGCATCATATGACTTTGCTAAATTCATTTATTAGTTTTAGTGGGTATTTTTTATTCATGTCTTTGTATTTTTGATGAACATGTATATGTCATTTTCAAGTGAACATCATTTTATGTTTTCCTTTCCAATTTCCATGCTTTTTATTTGTTACTTTTTCCTACTGTACTATCTAGAACTTTCTATTCAAAGTTTAATAGAAATGGTGACCACAGCCATTCTTGCTTTTTCCTGATCTTAGGGGGAAAGCATTCTGTCTTTCACTATTTACATACAGTATCTTAGTTAATGGCCCTAAATAACTTGAGTGGTAGGCACCTTATTATTGTTTCTCATTTTGATATGCTTAATGTCTCACAGCTTGTGAACACCAAAACAAAGACTACCCTAGGTCAGGTTGACCACAGGCTTTTATTCTGTCTTTTTTTTAATCATTGTTTTTATAGATTTAGGTAGTTACATGGATACATTGCATAATGGTGAGGTTTGGGCTGCTAGTGTGCCTGTAACCTGTAGAGTGAACGTTATACCCAACAGGTAATTTTTAAAACTTCACCCCTCTCTCATTCTCACCACTTTTGGGGTCTCTACTACCTATTATTTCACCATGTGTGTCCATGTGTACTCATTGTTTAGCTCCCACTTCTAAGTGAGAACATGCATTATTTGATTTTCTGTTTCTAAGTTATTTTGTTTAGAATAATGGCCTTCAGCTCCATCCATGTTGCTGAAAAATACATGATATTATTCTTCTTTATGGTTGCATAGTATTCTATGGTATATATCCACCATATTTTATTTATCCAATTATCCATTAATGGACACTTAGGTCAATTCTATGTCTTTGCTATTGTGAATAGTCTACAATAAACATACAAGTGCAAGTGTCTTTTTGATATAATAATGAAGACTCGTCCTTTTAATTAACCCAGATGAAAATAAGGAAAAAAAATCAAAAAAATGAACAAAGACTTCTGGAAATATGAGATTATGTTAAGCATCCACACCTACAAGTTATAGGCATTCCTGGGGGAGAAGAAGAAAAAATAAAAGGCTTAGAAAATGTATATGATGGAAAATTTCAGGAAAACATCCCTCATATAGCTATAGAATTAGACATCCAGATACAAGAAGCTCAAGAAAACACCTGGAAGAGTCTCAGCAAGACAAATCTCATCAAAGTATATGGTCATCAGACTACCCCGTCAATGTGAAGGAAAAAAAAATAAAAGCAGTTAGAGAGAAACATCTAATCATTTATAAAGAAAATCTCATCACACTAACAATGAGCATCTCAGCAGAAACCTTACAAACCAATAGAGATTGGGGGCCTATTCTTAGCTTTCTGAAAGAAAAAATAATGCCAATCAAGCATCTTATATCCTGCCAAGCTGAGCTTCATAAATGAAGAAGAATTAAAGTTTTTCCTAGGCAAGCTGCTAAGGGAACGTGTCACCCCTAGACTGGTCCCAGAAGAAATGCTCAAAGAAGTTCTAAATATGGAAACAAGGGGCAATGCTTGCCATCATTAAAGCACATGAAAATATAGAACTTATAGATACTAAAAAGTGATTACACAATTGAGACTACAAAGCAACTAGGTAACACTGTGACAGGAGCAAAACCTTGTTGGCTTTATTCTTAATGCCTGCTCTGCACTGCCTCAAGAGAAGCTGGATCAGAGCCTGCAGCTAAATTTCAGGCCTCCACCCAGGCTGCCTGCACCAGGCTTAGAGCCCCAGGCACATTGTCTCTCAGCTTTGAGACCTGCTCTGTGCTAGACAACAGCTGAAGCCCATTCCAGAGATCTCCTTTCCTGAGCCAGAGCTGCTTTTTATAACACTTTCATCTGGCAAGGATATGACTCTCTGTGCATGGTGGGGGATGGAAGGCATAAATGGGAGACAGAGGGAGTAAGGGAGTCGAGGAGTAGAGGGCATGCCACAAAGAACATGGAGTCACTAGAAGAAATCTTTTTCTTCCCTAACTCTGTTAGTTCCTCAACTCTGTTTCCCCTGGCTAATGGATTAAGTCTATATCTAATCTCAGAGCACTAGTCACTTATTAATCAAATCCCTCTTAAATTACTTATTCTTTGTCTCTTTTTCTTATCATAAAATAACCCTATTGCACTGTTGATTGTGAAACAGCAATGAGATTATATCAGTGAATACACTTGTAAACCAAAAGCTGCCATATAAGTGCATATAAGTAACGCTGCCATTGTTGTTATTATTGGTACTGAAAGAAACTCAGAGAATGGATACAAAACTGAAATAAGTTTACTATTTCTGAGAGTCACAAAGGACCAAGATTAAGGTGCCCTAGAAATCTATGAAAAGATTGCTTTTACATTTTATTTCCTGATTTTCATCTTTTGCCAACTACATCTGAGACATTCTTTCTGGGAAAAGAATTTAAAAGTGGATGTTAGTGTCTGGGAAAAAAATGTAGGCTCTGTGAATATGACAGTAATTTTTAAACGTGGACTAATTTGTACAGCCCATTCACGAGTAGTTTGAGTTTTTGAACTAACTTTCCCTTTCGAAAAACTACTAATCCTAGTACTACTAGCATTTATCTTAGGTAGATATATCTCTGGTGTACTTATCAGTAGGAGTCACTGAAGCTAGGAAGGAATGATTTTTTTTTTAATCTATCAATCCAGATGGTGTGAAAGAAGAATCATCTTAATCAAAATAACAGCATCCAGAAACATCTGGTCCCATAAGCTTTGTTTATCATTTCCTGAACCTCAGTAAAAGCTTTGTCTTGTGATTTGTAGGTGGCCTGGTATTTCTTACAATGTTCCAGATGTTTTTCCTGAAGTCAGGACAGCCACAGGAAATTTGTTTAACATTATAATTTTTAATCGTGAATGGGTATGTAATACTTTTGACTTTCATTTCCTTTCAGAACCTTCTCAGATATTGTCTTTTTGTTCAATTTTCAAGTTTATTGAAATATATCACTTTCACATTCCAAAGTTATCTACTAGAGGGAGGAAAATGCACTTTTTTTTTCTATTTTCTCTAGACCTAGCATAGTTCCTGTCATATTCTAAGTACTCAATAAATATGTGAATTAGTGGAGTAAATGAATGAATGGTTAGATTAAAATTTTATTTTCTGTCATATAAACATGTTAAGATTGGAAGACAATAACCACACACACACACATACCTGGTTTTGTGGAAAGAGGGGGAAAAATAAATTACTTCAAGAAATTTTTTATATTTTTCACATATCTTTGTCAGACCAAGTGGCAATATGGGTGCTTTATAAAGTAGTCATCAATATAAACTTTTACAGAATTAGATGGAGTCATTTTATGCTGCAATTCCATGTAAAAATGGCCTTAGCTATAGAAGTTGTATGTGTTTTCATGATTTTCTAGTTAAACATGCTGGTATAGTGCCTGAGGCTCAATGAGACCTCCTGCAGTTTCAGGAATATGCTTTCTTTATGCTATAAGACTGTTTGTTTATAACTGTCAAACCACCAGCAAGTTATCAACTCACATTCAAAACAGGCACCAAGCCACACTTTTGTTAATGTGAATTCTTGAAGAAAACAGAAACTAGACTGTTTTTGTAAGTTTTAAACTCATAAGCCAAAACACAGGGATTTAAAAAAAAAAAAAAAAAAACAATGATTTCTTTCTCAAGAGGTTTTTTTCTTTCCTTGGTGGTGTTCAAGCAAGAACTGTTTTGGAAATGCTGACAGGATCATAGCAAAGGCATCCAGAGGGAAACATATAATATGTTTATTTATCTTAGAAACCACAGAACATTGCAAAAGGCCAAATTGGCCCTGTAAAATGTGTTGCTAACATGTACAGTATGATTGCTTAGTTTGGACAAAGTCAAGTCATTTCTGTGCTGATAAAGAAGGATCACAATCTATATTCCGGCATCTCTAGAATTTATGTCTACAGCTCAACCCTTTCCCTTGAGCTCCAAAATTCTAGATCTAAATCCTCCTTGACACCTCCATATGGAAGTTGAATATGCATCTCAAAAAGAACAGATTCAAAACCAGATATTTGATTCTCAGTTCTTCCAGCTCAACCTCCCAGTCATTACCATCTCAGTAAATGGTGACTTCATCCTTCCAGTGGCCCAGGCCAAAATTCCTGAAGTCATCTCTGTTTCTTTTCTTTCTCTCTCATGCCCCATCTGATCATTCAGCCATCCCTGGCCTCTCTACCATCAAAACAAACCCCATATTTTGATCCCTTCTCAACAATTTTTCTACTATTATCCAGGTCAAAGTCTTCATCATCTCTCACCTGATTATTGCACTAGCATCCGAAATATTCTCTCTTGGCCTATTCCTGTTACCTTACAGTCTATACACGCAAAGGGATCCTCTCAAAGACAGTTGAATCAAGTCACTCCTCTACCGAGACCCCTCTAATAGCTCTCTGTCTTACTCAGAGTAAAAGCTCATCTTTACAATGGCCTAAAAAGTCCTACAGGATGCGATTGTCATTACCTTTCTGACCTTGTATCATATATTATCTCTTCTTGCTCACTTTACTCTGCTCACGTTTGTCCTCTCTGCTCTTGTTGGAACGTGCCATGTATTTTCCAAATTCAGGGCCTCTTTTCTTGGCTTGCTCCCTTCAGTTCTTCATCTCCCTGCTCAAATGTCACTCCTGATAAGTCCTTTTTCCGACCATCCTATATAAAATAGCAAGTCTCACCCCCTTCACATCCCTTATTCCCCAGTTCTGCTTGACATTCCTCCACTTTAATTGTCATGTCCTGGAATGTCTCCTCCTGCTGCAACATCTGCTTCAGAGGGCAAGGCATTATGCACTGCTGTGTCTCTGCCACTAGAACACTGTCAAGCACACAGTAGGTTATTAATAAATATTGGCTGAAAAAATGAAGTAATATGTGCTAGTAGATATATCTGATCAAGACAAAAAAGTTGGATTATTTTGACATTTTTGAGTGTATTTTAAAATTGATTTGTGTTTCTATGCTTGTTCCTGATGGCCTGGAAGCATTCATTCAGCCCTCACAGTCACTGCAGAATGTGTGGCCTGGGAAGAGTCTCCTGATCTCCAATGCCTAAGTGATTGATGGCAGTCATAATACTCAGGAGGCAACTCACCCAGTCCTTTTCTGGTTATCTTATACTGGGGTAGGGTGTGCATATGCCCTTTCTTTTGGCTCAAAATTGTTCAACTTCTTTGAAGGTTGTTTTAGTTTCCTGAATGCGTATGCTTGTATATGGTTTTAATAAGTTTAGTGTTCTCCCTTTCTTGATTTTACTTTGTTTTCCACTATTATACTTTGTGGTGTGAAATTGACAGTCTGTCACAGACCTGTGATTTGAAATAATTGTGACAGATGGTGTGCTTGAATACATAAACAGATCCACTAGAAGGAATGTTTTAGCAATAAGTGTGGAAACTTAAAATTGAGCAGCAAAATCAAGAGTGAAATAACTGCAATGTCGACTCAGCAACCTCGAATGTCTGTGCTGCAGGAGAGTCTGAAGGACAGTGAAGTCTTGTGAAGAGTTGTTGTGTGTGTGAAGGGGCAGTCTTGGACTGGGACTGCCTGGAACATTGGATGAATGAGAAATGACTGTATAAAACATTTTTAGTTTACTTGAGGGATTAGGCAATTCTTCCTTCGTATAAAGATAAGATTATGATATCCTGCAGCTGCCTCTGCAATAAAATTGTGGAATAAACCAGTTTCTTGGAAAAGCATTATGGAGAACGGTAAAGGAATATAAAAAAGATAATAGTGATGATTCAGACAAATGAATGAGCAGAAGAAGAGGAGATCCAAGTTATGCCTAATTTATGTCATGAGAATTACATAGTAACATTTATTGCCAGATCAAAGTCTTTGAAGAAAAATGCTTTAAAAGATCATGAATACTGTGTTCTGGAAAATCTGTGTCACTTGAATAAACTAAGATGGCTGTACTGAAGACAGAAAGTGGTATGGCCTAGGCTAGCATAAATGTACAACAGAGGCCTTTCCAACCAGGAGGGGTCAGAGACAAATTTTTAAGTTTCCAACCTTTTATGTGAAGCACCCATAATCGAACAACAGTTTTAATGAAAACAAAAAAATTAAACATTTAATAAGGAAAAAAGAAAGTGGATATTAATGATTAAGTTGTGTCTCCTCCCAGAAGATATGTTCAATATCAAACCCCCAATACCTGTGAGTCTGACTTCATTTGGAAATAGAGTCTTTGCAGATATAATCAAGTTAAGATGGGTTCATACTAAATTAGGGTGAGCCTTAATCCAATATAACTCATGTTCATAGAAGAAGAAGAGAAAAGACACAAACACATGAGAGAGAAGGCCATGTGAGGGTGAAGATGGAGGCATAAATTAGAGTCACGCTGCCATAAGGCAAAGAACACCTAGATTTAACCAGAAACCTAGGAGGAGCAAGGAAAGGTCCTCTCCTAAAGGCTTTGGAAGGAATCTGACCCTGCTGACACCTTGATTTTGAATTTTTAGCCTCCAGAATTGTGAGAAAGTAAGTTTCTGTTGTTTTAAGCCACCCAGTTTTTGGTACTTTATTATAGCAGCTGTGAGTTCCTTACAGAGGCCAATAAGCAGGAGACAAAAGACAGACATGGTACAATAGGAAACGAGAGGACTCTCTGCTGACTTATTTCTCCAAGTGTGGACCAAGAAGCAGCAGCATTCCTGGAAGTTTGTTTGAAATGCAGAATCTCAGACCTCGATCCAGAACTGACACATAAGAATTTCCCTTGAAATGATTATAGCTCGAACTGTGTGCCTGTAATAACAATGGCAGTAGCAACACCATAGTTGAGCCCTTTCCATTTACTCTACTTTGATCTATAAGTTATATTCTACACTCGCTAACTGAATTCACACACCAATCCATAAGACATGTACAATTAATATTCCCATTTTATGGACAAGGAAATGAGTCACAGAAAGGTTAACTAGCTTCCCTTAGTCATGCAAATAGTAAGTGTCGAAGCCAAAGAAATCAGCTATATTTATCTTTATTTCAAAGGAAATAAAGATACATATATATGTATATATGCAAAAAGATATATATATAAATATATATATATAAAGATATATATGTGTGTATATATATAAAGATATATATGTGTGTGTATATATATAAATATGGGGGGAAGTTGTGTTGACAAGAGTGCTGGAGAATCAGGCCTGTTTCTCATTTTGATACTGAACAAAATTAGAAGTAGCTTGACTACTGGAAAAGTGTGTTGGATCTGCCTTGCAGATAAGTGTCCAAAATGGTCTTCCCCTCTTTAGATTTCTACTTATTTCTCACCACACTTGTCAGTTAAGCAGCAGGATATCTGCAGGCTTTTCCCCATAAGAGAAAGGCTGCAGCATAAAGGGTATATCATTCAAGGCTATAACATGGAGTGTGCATCATTGAAGGCTACAACATGAAGGGTGCGTCACTCAAGGCTACACCATAAAGGGTGAATCATTCAAGGTTACAATAAGAAGGGTGAATCGTTAAAGGCTATAGCATGAAGGGTGCATTATTCATGGTTACAACAGAGAGAAGGATGCATCATTCAAGGTCCAGCTCTGAACAACAACAAAAAAAGTCCATTTATGGACATGCACCTTGAATTCCTGAATGTCTTCCAATAGAAACCACCTATTCAACTGTAGTCATGAGAGGAGGATCTCTTGGGAGATGAAAAAGAGAAGAAAAAGAGAGGTTTCTTCCCTCTTATTAAAAATACTGGAAAATTCAGATTTTATGGTCCTGCAAGAATGTGGAAAGATGGAAAAGAGTAACTTTCCCTAATGTTAATATTACCTCGGGATATGTCAAATGTAAATGAAAATTATTGCTTCTGTTTCAGAAGAAGAAAAATAGTTTGATTAAGCCTCCTTTATGCCAACCTGTCAGAGGTGTGTCCCAGCATACGTCTTGGATTTTGAACTTAGTCCCTGTCTTGAATAGTGCCTCCCCACCAAATCTTGCTCTTGAACTATTATGCATCTATGGAAACCCACCTCAACTGTTATCTCCTCAAGTTTTTCATGTTCCACTGCACTCATTCTGCTACTATTAGCAGAATTGATTACCTCTCATGTGAGCCACTACTATAACTTGCACATATTTCTATGACAAAATTTAGTCCACCATATTTCAATTATTTGCTATACTTAATAAATTATTTAAATTTACACTGTATTTCAATTATTTTTTCCCATATGAAACTATGATTTATAGGGGTTTTAACCATCAAATATCTAACTTCATAGAAGACAGAAACTATTTTCACATATTTGCTTATTAATTGTTGATAGCACAAATGTACAATTTGATAAATGTTTACTGTAAGTAAATCATCCCCAGGCTTATTAAATTGTCTGCATTGATAGTTGTTTATAAATTCTACAGAAAACATTTCTAACATGGGTGGTTTAACTAAAGAAAATACTTACGTCTAATACATCTAGTAATTGTAGAAATGTTCAGCCTGATTACATGAAGTCACATGATAGTTTTAATATTTATTTAGCAGAGGGGTAAATTGAAACATCAGTTCTCTAGACCAGTCAGGAAATGTATGCTTTGTGCTTTATAAGCTTACATTCAACATAGATGACATAAGTTACCATACTCAAATGTAAGATAGGGAGAGGTAGAAGAAATAGCTGAGAACTTGAAAAGATGTACTGTTATTGTCAACAAACCAATGTCTTCTCCCTTCATAAAATTGTGTTTAGGGAATATTAACAATTAAGCTTGTATACAATAGTAATTTTGAATGTATTTTTAAATTTATTTTTTCAAAATAATGACATTAGTAAAAATTTTACATAGCCTGTATTGAATTCACACATTCAAATGAGGCTTTACCAGTAATGATGGGGATTAATACAGAGCTAGTGTTTGGCATTTGACTTTATCTCAAATGAGCTAACTGCTCAATGAATTACAGAAGACTCATACTCTTTTTATTTTTTCCTGGAAATTAAAAAAGAAAAGCTTTACTAAATATTGACATATATATTTACTCCAAATTTTACATTTAGTGAAATAAGAATATCTCTAGTAGCTCAGTTAACATCAACAGAAAGCTTCAAAAGATGATTCTGAAAATGGCAGGCAAAATTTCTTTTTATTGTAGGCAATTACTTAAACTGGAAATTTGGCTTTATGCATAATAAGTCATGTGGGTAAAACATCCACATTGCAGTTAGGTTTCCAGTATCTAGCTTTTATTTATTTTTTAGCAATGACATTAACAAGATTTTGCCAGGTTATAAAAATGAGGGCTTTCTTGAGAATTACTTATAGTTTCCGAGTTGAATGGCAGAGCGCACGTAGACACATCTGAAGGTGGATGGCTGTATCTCCCAGTACTGGACCGGGTTGCTGAAAAGACTCACACCCGAATAAGAAGCCTTTTTGGTGTTGTGTCCAGGTGGGCAGAAGTCACTTGATCCAACTACAGAGATATTGTTGTTATGAAGGTAGACAACCTACAACATGAAACGATAGAAAATAATTATTATTCTCTAAATATGTTGAGGCCCTTCAGGTAAACATTTTATTTTTTTTATTATTTTTTAATCCTTCACTTTTTTTTTTTTTTTTTTTTTTTGAGATGGAATCTTGCTTTGTCACCCAGGCTGGAGTGCAGTGGCATGACCTCAGTGCATTGCAGCCTCTGCCTCACAGGTTGAAGCTATTCTCCTGCCTCAGCCTACTGAGTAGCCGGGACTACAGGCACACACACCATGCCCGGCTAATTTTTGTTTTTAGTAGAGTTGGGTTTTCACCATGTTGGCCAGGCTGGTCTAGAACTTCTGACCTCAAGTGATCCGGCCACCTCAGCCTCCTGAAGTGCTTGGATTACAGGCGTAAGCCACCACGACAGGCCCCACTTTGAATAACTGACTACTTCTCAGATTAAACTTTTGATTTCTCCCTTCCTTTTGAAAATTTGCTTTTCCCTTCTTTAGTCTTGTCTTCCCCATCTCAGTAAATTGCATGCCAATCATTTCAGATGCTCAGGCTATATACATTGTCATTATCCTTGAGCTCCAATTCTCTTATGCTCTCTACATAATCAACAACAAATCTTGCTAGCTCAGCCTTCAAAATGTACACTTAATCTAGTTCTCTCCACCTCTACTCCGACAACCTTGTCCAAGTCACCATTGTTTCCTTCCAAATGATTGAAGTTGCCCTGATTATTATTCCTGCTTCCCCTTTTGCCTTCCTAAATTTTATTCTTTTTTTAAGCTCTCAGAGCAATTGCTTTAGAAAGTAAACCAAATTATATGTTCTTTGCCTCAGAACTCCAGTGGTTTCCAATCTCATGCAGAATAATAAAATCTAAAGTTCTCAAAGGGGCCTACAAATCCTACATGATCTGACATCCTTCTACTCTGACCTCCTTTTCTCTTACTGTAAAAGCCAGTCATCTGGTCTACTTGCTGCTCTTCTAATGCACAAAGCATGATCTCTTCTTAAGTTATCAACACCGTTTACTCAACCTGGAATAATCTCTAAGGTGTCTTCAAGGCTTGTTGCCTCATGTAAGTCGTTTTTTCTTACCAGAGAGACCTTCCCTGACCATCCCATTCTGCCATTCTCTGGGGCAGAATTACGTTACATGTTTTTCTTCATAGCATTATCAATATGTAGCATATTATGCTTATTTGATATTGTTTGTTTCTCTCCTCTAGAGTAAAAGCTCCATGAGACAAGAATGGTTCTGCTTGTTTATGGCTGTATCTCCAGTACTAGAACAGACCAGGTGTTCAATAAATATGTGTTGAATGAATAAATGTTATTTCATATATCAGGTCTACATGACTATATTGGGTCTACATGAAATATTATGTTTTCAGGACAAAAAATATATACACCTTTTAACAAAATGATATAGAATGAGAAAGTGCTGTGTAGTGAAAAAGAAAAAGAGAGCATAAAGTACTGGAATTGAAATAAAGAATCACAAACTCCAAGAAATTCTTAAATATTTAAACATCACAGCATTTAGAATAGACCTAGGAAGTTTTAACAAATACATATTTTACGTAATACGTTTTACTTGAATACAGTGCAATATAATTAATCAGAGTTTTTTTTCTGAATTATGTTTTACAATCATGTTTAAGATAATGGTAATTTGGCCATAGATTTTCTTAGGGTCCCTAAAAACCGGAATTATACAAAGAATGTTAGAAATGAGTTTACAGTTCACTTTGAGGATATGAGTTCTGTAGGTCAAGAAGCAACTTCTCTGAAATCATACAAGCAAGGTTAGAATATAACACTAAGACAACAAGGTCTTTTTTTTTTTTTTTTCTGAGACGGAGTCTCGCGCTGTTATCCAGGCTGAAGTGCGGTGTCGCAATCTCGGCTCACTGCAAGCTCCGCCTCCCGGGTTCACGCCATTCTCCTGCCTCAGCCTCCCGAGTAGCTGGGACTACAGGCGCCCACCACCACGCCCGGCTAATTTTTTGTATTTTTAGTAGAGAGGGGGTTTCACCATGTTAGCCAGGATGGTCTCGATCTCCTGACATCGTGATCCGCCCACCTCAGCCTCCCAAAGTGCTGGGATTACTGGCATGAGCCACTGCGTCCTGCCACCAACAAGATCTTAAGTGAGCTATAAAACCTATGAAGTACTCCCTTAAAACATAACTTGAAAGCCTGGGCGTGGTGGCTTATGTCTGTAATCTCAGCACTTTGGGAGGCCGAGGCGGATGGATCATGAGGTCAGGTGTTCAAGACCAGCCTCACCAACATGATGAAACCCCGTTTCTACTAAAAATACAAAAATTAGCATGGCATGGCGGCACGTGCCTGTAATCCCAGCTACTCGGGAGGCTGAGGCAGGAGAATTTCTTGAACCCGAGAGGCGGAGGTTGCAGTGAGCCGAGATTGTGCCATTGTATGCAGTCCAGCCTAGGTGACAGAGCGAGACGCTCCGACTCAAAAAAAAAAAAAAAAAAAAAAAAAAAATTTGAAATATTGTTCTACCCACTAGGACATTCACATTCATGTGCTGGTGAAAACGGCTTTGTTTTTGTAAGGGCTGAAAAGCGAATTAGTAGATGTCATATAAAAACAGAAACAAGGAATATTAAAGTGAAAGCAACACTTATATGTATGGTTTATGGTTCTCATATTTTGGAAGTTTCTTGTTGTCATTTACCATCCTCTATATTCCAGTAGTGATTAGCAAGTAAAGGAAGGGGTGTTTGGTGAGCAATTTATGGTTAATATTGAAAGTGAGAGAACAAAATATCAAGACGTAAGTATTAGTCTGTGTAGAACAAAATAAAAGTAGATTCCAAACTCATTCTATGGGGTCAATATTTTCTAAGACCAAAGCCAGACAAAATTCATCATAAGAAAAAAAAATGTAATCAAATACCTCTTATGAATATGGACAAAAAATCTTTCACAAAATGTTAGGAAGCTACATTTCACAACATATAAAATGATTTCATGCTATAGGACCAAACATGATTTATCTCAGGGTTGTAAAATTGGTTTAACTTATGAAAATCAATCAAAGTAATATCAATGTAATACACTATATCAAAAATATAAAGGCCAAAACTCGCATGATTATCTCAATAGAAGCAGGAAAAACATGTAAGAAAAAAATTCATAATAAATGTTTTCAGTAAATCAGAAATAGAAGGGAACTTCCTCAACTTGATAAAGAGCATCTATAGAAGACCTGTGGCTAACATCGTAACTAATGGTAAAATGAATGCTCCCTCCTCCTAAACTAGCAAATAAGGCAAAGATGTCTAATTTCATCACCTTTGTTCAACATTGCACTGGCGATTCCAGCCAATGCAAAGGGTGGGTTGTGGGGGAGGGGGAGACCTAAAAGAATCCAAATAAAATAACTAAAGCTGTCTATTTTTAAATAATATATCCTGAATATAGAATATCCAAAGGAACTCACAAAAATTACTGCAACTAAAAACAAATTTGGCATAGTACCAGGATAGCTCAATATATAAACATCAATTGTATGTTTATACATTAGCAGCAAACAAATAAAAAAATTAACAATTCAAAACAGCATCAAAAAGAATGAAAAACAATGAATGTAGTAAAAGAATTGCAAGGCATGTATGCTAAAAATGACAAAAACTGTTGAGAAAAAGAAAAGAAGATATAAATAACCCTTGTTTGTGACTTGGAAGGCTCAATATTATTAAGATAGTAATTCTTCCCAATGATCTGTAGATTCAAAACAATACCTTTCAAAGCCTTACAAGAATATTTTTCCAGAAATGAAAAAGTAGATCCTAAAATTGATATGGAATGCAAAGGAACCAGAATAGCCAAAATAACTTTGAAAAAAAAGAACAAAGTTGGAGAACCTACATTTTCTAATTTCAAAACGTAATCAAAAGCTACAGTAATTGAAGGGTATAATACTGTCATATGACTAGACATATAGATAAATGTAATAGAATTGAAAGTCCAGAAATAAACCCTTACATTTATGATCGAGTGATTTTCAACAGTGACAAGACAATTCATTGGAGAAAGAATATTATTTCCAACAAATGACATTGGGACAATTGCTATCACATACAGAAAATGAATTAGACTCATATCATATACTAGGATTATCTCAAAATTAGATTATAAAACCAAATACAGGAGTTAAAATTATAAAATTTCTAGATGTTAAAGTATTCCTGGAATCTACACAAAACTATGGTCTATGAAACAAACAAAAATGATAAAATAGATTAATGATTCCCTGTGGCTGGAGATGAGATATTATCTCATGCCAGTCAGTATGGTGATTATTAAAAAGTCAGGAAACAGTAGATGCTGATGAGGCTGTGGAGAAATAGGAGTGCTTTTACATTGTTGGTGAGAGCATAAATTAGTTCAACCATTGTGAAAGACAGTGTAGCAATTCCTCAAGGATGTAGAACCAGAAATACCATTTGACCCAGCAATCCCATTACTGGGTATATACCCAAAGAAATATAAATCATTCTACTATAAAGACATATGCACACATAATGTTTATTGCAGCACTATTTTACAATAGCAAAAACATGGAACCAATCCAAATGCACATCAATGATAGACTGGATAAAGGAAATGTGGTACATATACACCGTGGAATACTATGCAGCCATAAAAAGGAATGGGATCATGTCCTTTACAAGGACATGGATGAAACTAGAAGCCATCATCCTCAGCAAACTAACACAGGAACAGAAAACCAAATACTGCATGTTCTCACGCATAAATGGAAGTTGAATGCTGAGAACACACGGACACAGAGAGGGTAACAAAACACACAACAGGGGGTAGGGGGTGAGCGGGCGAACTTAGAGGATGGGTCAGTAGGGCCAGCAAACCACCATGGCACACGTATACCTATATAACAAACCTGCACATTCTGCAAACGTATCTCATTTTTTTTTTAGAGGAAATAAAGAAAAATGATGAGGCCATGTCAAAAAGAATCAGGAGCTAGACCAAAGAAGCTCTTTCCAGTCAATTCTTGAATAATTTGAAAATTAAAATTAGTGACAGTAAAAAAAAAGAATTTTTATTTTACTTGTGGCTTCAAACTCCCCCTACTCACTATGGCACCAACATCACCACCCCTACTGAAAAAAATATCAGCATTACAGAAGACTTTAAGTTTCATCTCCATACTTCTAAATCAAAAACTTTATTGAAATCTAGCTAATGTAAATTGTGCTTCATGATTTAATTTTTTTTATGGTATTTTGTCATAGAAATTCTAACTAAGACACTCTGGAAAAAAAACTTCTAAGAAGAGCTTCCTGCTTCCCAGCATCCCATAAGCAGGGTGGGGGTCTTGCTTTTTGGATATTCCTCACATAAGCAGTGGCTTTGCATTACCTGGATGTACTTATGCTCTGCCAGCCCACCAGGTACTCTGGTAAGCTTGTTGTTGTCCAAGTGAAGCTCCCTCAGATGAGGCGTGTTGGCCAGAGAGCCATTGTCAACAGCAGAGATGCTGTTGAAACTCAATCCCAACCTGCAACAGAAAGCAGAAATGAAAGCAAACACCACACATGGATGCCTTTCTTACAAGCATTGTGTAGTTAATCAAGTCTATAGGAAAGGACATTTTTTGTTTTTGCACTTACTCTTCCCAGTTCTTGGAGTGCTTTCTCCAACCTCTCTGAGCCTGGACAAAGTCCATTTATTGTTAAGGTCTCGGCTCAAAGTTACTGTCTTTGAGATTCATCTGACAGAACGTGATTGGACATAGTCTCCTATTCCTTATAATATCCTAAGTTCCAACATCAAATTATGGTCAACCATAATATTGGAACATAATATTCCTAATAGTTTATTTTTAAAAACTGTTCACTTATTCAAACATTTATTTGTATATTTAATAAACAAATATTCTTGAAAACTTATGTGCATGATATTATGCTAGGCATTGTGAGGGACAGAGGTCTCATGGATCAAAAACCACTTTTCCCATCAAAGAATATTTTACCTAGTAAAGGAGTTGATTATACACACACACATGCATATATATATATATACACATTCAAAGATATATTTTATATTTATTTATCCACCATGAAATTTATATATAACAACAGGAATGAGTAAATCTGGCATGATAGTGTGCTTCTCTGTAGGGACAGTCAGCAATATGTACAGATCAAAAAGAACATAGTGTTCCTTGAAGACAAGTGAAAACGTTTGCCAGATTGAAGTTATGTTTGAAACCAGGACAAGTACTAGTATCACTTATTTTAAAAAAAATCATTAAGAAGGGCCAGCAAAAACAACAACAACAAAAGCTTTTCTTTTGTTGATCTACATTAAATGCCCAGAGATATTTTATTTTAAACTTTTCAGAGAAGAGGGGGTTAGAGAATCTCATAATTATTAAAATAGTAATTTGTGTGATGCTCAATATTTCTCTGTCTTGGTAGATTTCATTTTAATGGATTTTCAAATTCTAGCAACTGTGTTATAATTTACTTAACTTTCTGTTTGATGCAAATAAGTTAGAACATATTAAATGCACATATTGATTTAATCACACACTTTGTGTATAAAATATAACTAATCTATAAACAGTATAGTATTAATAAAATATGAAGCTGATCTTGGTGGTTTTAGTAAGGGCACTATTTCATTGGCTTCTTCTCAAGAAATAATTGGATATGCTGAAGTTTGAGATTATAGAAACAACAACAGCAGTGAAATGTAGTACACTCAAAAATCAATCATCATGTTTATAATTCTTATCATATAAGCACTAATATACCTAGCCATTGTTCTGATAGAATGTCATGAAAGAATATTATTACTTAGCCAAATTATTCAGTCCTTTCAGGCTAGCTGCATCAACTCTGCTGATTTTGTTGCCATCAAGATGTAATTCCGTAAGGGAAGGAGGAAGACCTGGAATGTGGAATTAAAGATGTTAAATTAGCAGATAAACATTATAAGTACAGAATGTGGACAAACTTAAAGAAGACATATGCCATCAATTTTCTAAAAGACACACAGTTTCAAAGAATCAGCTTTACTTTTATCTTTTTTTTTCATCCCTTTTATAATAATGTGTGCTTTTGGAAGTAGTGGAAGCCCTTGCTATTTTTCTCTTAGGTTGACTTTAACAAAAACCTGGATGATTTCTATCATGTAGTCAATTTTTGTTCTTGGAATAGAAGAACTGAAGTCAACGCTGAGTCTCATTATTCTCTTCCACCTTTGTTAATGGGCTAAAACTGACGTTGATAAAAGATAGTAATTATAAAGTGGGAAAGTCACTATTCGAACCATAATGAAGAGATTACGTATAAATTAAACCCATGTACAAACTTAATTGTCTATTTCATTAATGAGCATCATTAAAAATTAACACTGATATACTGTGCTGGTCTTAGCCTTAATTGACTTTTCCATAAAAGCATCAAATACCTCTGCAAAATGTCTGTGTAGAAACAGCTAACATTTACTTATGCCTATTAAATCCAGAATGTTTATGCAGAAGGAGTGGAGAGGTCTATAATCAAGTGATCTGCCATATGTGGAGCACCTGGGGTAATAATTTTACATCCAAAGTACCCACTAAACCTCTAGATAGTACTTGCATGGCTGTGATTTCCAAAGATCGAGTATTATAAATATAAAAGTTTAAATATTTTATTTTCATTTCCTCCTAGCATCTGAGGCTGTATTATATTTTATACAGCTTTTAAAATAACATATTGTTCCACTTAATAGCAATAGATACAGAGAAAATAGCAAATTGGTTAAGTGTAGAAAGAACATCTGATTGGCAGAAAGTCTTGGCTATTTGTCTATAAAGACACAGAATTGAAAAACCACAGGTTTCATTTTGTCTAAAATTTTTATCACATCACACTGAATTCTGTCAATATTGTCCATTTAATAAAATAGTTTAGTCCATATTTGACTTGAAAATGATTCTTAGTTTCCTATGGTAGCATATTTTGTGTTAGAGCTGCTAGGAAAAGGAACATCTATTTATTGTATGTCTGTTACGCACCGAACATTGACCTTGGCACTTTTCCTACTTCAAATCCTTTAAGCCTCTCAAAACATAAATTATTGGTCACTAATCCCTTTTCACAGTTAAATAAATAAGACTCAAAGTTACAAAGTAATTACAAAGTAATGCAAAATGTATATTTTTTAATGCAGTGCCTCCAGTACACCAATTGCTATCACAACCATCGGCCTTACTTAGTTTCAAAGTGTCTCCCTTTTTGGGATGTCAGTTTCCCAAATGTAAAGTTATAGCTAAGAAGAAGTTTGACTATGGGAGAAAACCTTGCAATAGGTTTGAGATAGACAAATTTGTAAAGTGCATCATTAGCTTCTGCAACTGTGGCATTGAGTTAAAGAACCCATACTCCAGTTATTTTATTTATTTGTTTGTTCATTTATTTTAAATTTTCTTTTTTCTTTTCCTTTTTTAAGATAAAATATATTGAGGTTTACATTGGGCCAAGTACTTGCGTGTACAATACAAGCCTTACTTCTATAGAGTAATCCTCACAATAATCCTAGTAGACAGGGTTATTAATAGCTCCATGTAACATCTAACAAACCTGAGGTTATAGAAATGCAGAATAATTATCCTAAAGTCACAGTACAACTAAATGACTGAGTTAGGTCTCTCACCCAGGTTGATCTAAGTGTATGATTTTTATAGTCTCTACACTACTTTCTACTGCCTTTCCATTTCCATGAGTGATGGGAGAAAATATCACCAGGAGGTTGCTGATATTCAGGCATAGGTATCCCAGCCTAAGCAAGGTGGAATCATGTATTAGATAAGCATAACGATGAATAGAAAGGAGGACTTAATATGCCAACAGAGTGAAATAGTTAAACACACGAGTTCTGACATCAGCACCACACAATTCCATCTCTGCCGCTTCCTAGCTCTAAGAACTTAATTACAATTTTCTTTACCTGTTTAAGCCTCATTTTCCACTTTTATGAAACAGGAATTATAACCCTACTATATAGGGACGTTGTAAGAATCATATAGAAGACTCCATGACAAGCATTTGGCATGATACCCGGAACTAAATACATGCTTAATAAATTGTAGTTACTTAACTTTTCTATTAAGCGGTAGTAAATAAAAGCAAGCTATAAATGATGAGGAAAGAATACCTGGGATAGATAGAAGACATAGCAAAGTAAAGGAAAAGAGATCATGAAATGATAAAAGGTATCAGTGAAGGATATTTTGGAGCATGCATTAAGAGGGACAGCAAAGTCTGAGATTGTGCTAAATGTAAGTCATCTGGCTGCATGAAATAAATTTCAGCAAGAATTTTAATAAGATCTATCTATCTATCTATCTATCTATCTATCTATCTATATCAATCCCCAATTTATATCTATCTGAGATATAAATATTTCATTCCTGCACTGGGGATAGCAAAAGATTACTTGTTACATGCAAAAAATTGGAGACTCAACATGAAAGTGCTTTATGAATTATAAATCAGTCTTTATCATCTATGTATCTATCTATGCCAGTAGTTGCTACTAAGGAAGTCAAAAGCATGCTCTGTATTCAAAAGACTAGGAGGAGGGCAAGGGGTGGTAAGAAAGCATCCTATGGAATATGTACTCTCAGGAGTTGAAATTTCTGTAAAAGAACAATAAAGGACAACTGGTGTTTTCTGTGGCCAAATGTCTACATTTTGTACGCACTCAAGAACAAGGCATCTAAGTTGAGAAAGGGACAGACTGAGGGGAAAACTAGATAATATAGAGGGCTTCTGTGAGACTGAAAAACCCAGAGTAGGGACGATGTGCAAGTTAGAGGAATTTATTATTGGTGGTTTGATGCCTTTTGTAATTCACAAAGACTGGCTTTTGTGCCTCTCCTGGGAATCCCTTGGAACAATGAACTTACCCTTGTGGCTATGTGGTCATTGCTGTGTATTTGTCTGGCTTGGTTTTAGAGAGTAAGCTCCTAAAGGCATGTAGCATATCCTGTTCCCTGCCCTGTCTTAAGTGTTTGGTACATCGCCTACACATACTGATTGTTCAGAACATTTTTAATGCATAATAGAGAGTTATATTAATTCCCTACTTATCTATATGCTAAATATTTCTCTAATTATTTATTTAACTTTAAAACAACTCAATGAAGTGGATAGCAGTATTATTTCCACTTGACAGATAAAGAGATAGAGGACAAATGAATAACTTTTTCAAAGTCTTTGAACCACTTTATGGTAATTTGGGCTCAAGCAAACTGACTCCAAAATCTACACTCTTCACAACACACAACTACCACTATCATTCAGATATTAATAACTGGAGTGTCTTAAAAAGGAAAAAAAAATTCCCTAAGCTATTGCAGACTCAAGATAAAAATTGGATCAATTTCAGAGGTACTCCCATATATCTTTTTTTTTTTTTTTACAAACACCAAGGCATGCTATTTTTTAAATAAATGTACTTTTTCTTTGTGATTTTACAATATTATAAAATCACTGTGCATTAAGTTGTGTCTTAAACTAGACATTAACAGGAGTCTACCCATCTCTACAGTGAGCCTGGATGGCCCCGTGGTCATCCAGACTGAATCACTGGATATAACACTAGCAGTAATAGAGAATTTGCTGGAAATATAAACACTGGATGAAACACTAGCAGTAATAGAGAATTTGCTGGAAATAAGGTTGGCCTCTTAGGTGACAATTCCAGTTTCCACAAGATTTTTTTTTTTTAATTAAAGCCTTTGAATTTAAATTTTTCAAAATGTTTTGGAGAATCTTCTATCACCTTGAGGAATGCTGGTGATATTGGTATCAGCAATGCGGATGTAGGAGAGCTTCTTCATTCCCTGGAAAGCCCCATTTTCAATTCCTGAGCTCTTCAGCGGATTGGTGCCCAGTTCTACAAATGTAATAAGTGCAAGGCTTTTAGAGGAAATTTTAGGATATTACTAGTCACTGTAGTATCTGTTTCAGCAAGCAACCTATAAAGAAATAGGGATTAATATCAACTTGACTAAAAAACAAAAGTGAAGTTAAAGAGCATGCTCCTCAGGAGAATAGCAAAATAGGATAAAAATTTCCCTTATTAAAACAAAAGCCAAACAGACAATGACTTATGAATAATAATGACTTATGAAAAAGACTATTAGTGAAAGCAATACCAATAAAATTATTTAAGATGCATACACAGGTTTGCCCAGAAATCAACTAAAGCAAGTTTACAATTCCCATCTTACGTTATTTATTATTTTCCTAAGGTATTTTAAAATTTTGTTAAAGAATTTCAATCTAGCATTTTATAAGCCAATAATAAAATTACAATTTTTACTATATGTTTAGAGAAATTTTTTTTTTTTTGAGACGTAGTCTCACTCTGTCACCCAGGCTGGAGTGCAGTGGGGCCATCTCGGCTCACTGCAAGCTCCGCCTCCCGGGTTCACGCCATTCTCCTGCCTCAGCCTCCCGAGTAGCTGGTACTACAGGCCCCCACCACCACGCCCGGCTAATTTTTTGTATTTTTAGTAGAGATGGGGTTTCACCATGTTAGCCAGGATGGTCTCGATCTCCTGACCTCGTGATCCGCCTGCTTCGGCCTCCCAAAGTGCTGGGATTACAGGCATGAGCCACCGCGCCCAGCCATAACATATTTTTAAAGCAAATGATTTATGAGTGTTTAGAATACAACAGGTCCCCAAAACGGAAAGGTATCTCAAAATATCTGTAGTTAAGCACTATTTAAACTCATCTTTGCATATTGTGTGTGTGGTAGGGTAACTTCAGCCCTAGGGTTTTCTCCATATTCTCAGATACTCAAGGACATACATAAAAACATCACTGTAAGGTCCAGATTCAAAATCCCAATTTCTCTTGGCCCTGTTCTTATAAATCACATAGGCTCCAGGCATGTAGCTTGTAGCTAATTTACCTTCCTGCACTTAAAACCCAGTTGAAATCTCTTAAGATAAAAACTTGAGTTTTGGTCTTAAAGTTATAAAAATGTCTGTACCTATGACAATCATCTGGTTCAGTCCATTGAAAGTAACTTTTCGCACTTTGGTGATCTCATTCTCATGGGCACGCAGCTCCTGAAGAGTTTTGGGCATTTTTTCTGGCAATTCCTTCAGCTGATTCTTGGACAGATAAAGTCGTTCCAACTTCACCAAAGGTGTAAATGCTCCAGGACTAACTTTGCTAATTTTATTGTTGACAAGAATCAATGCCTGTAGATAGTGAAGAAAAACATCTCTTTAAATCCAAAACCTTCCACATACATGTAAAACAAGGGCATGTTTGTTCATTCCATTCATAGGGATAGCAGAGAAATCTAAAAAATTGCAAGAAATCAGAAAAAAATTAAGTAAGTATTATTTCTTTACTTAAGAAGTGTATAGGCCAGGTGCGGTGGCTCATGCCTGTAATCCCAGCACTTTGGGAGGCTGAGGTGGGAGGATCACTTGAGGCCAGGAGTTCGAGACAAGCCTGGCCAGCATGGCGAAATCCCGTCTGTATCAAAAATACAAAAATTAGCTGGGCGTGGTGGTGGGTGCCGGTAGTCCCGGCTACTTGGGAGGCTGAGACAGGAGGATCACTTGAACCTGGGAGGCAGAGGTTGCAGTGAGCTGAGATCACACGACTGCACTCCAGCCTTGGTGACTGGGAAAGATTGTCTCAAAAAAAAAAAAAGTTATAATATGAGGACCTGAAAATCAGGAATGAAGAGAAGGGAAATGTAATAAGATATATAATATATACATAAACATACATGCACTCTACACACACAGACATGTATGTATGTATATGTACGTGTATATATCTATGTAATTTTTAAATAATAAATACTGCTAACAATTGAAATGACCCTAGATACCTGAAAATAATCAATGCCACAGACATCCATCCCGCAGTCAGCTTTTTAACTTAAAAGTCCATCTTCATTGATCATGAACATGGATTCCGCTACAAAAGGATGATACCAATTTATGCTATCACCAGCAATGCAAGGAACTAAAATTTTCCCGTAGCCTTGCAATATTTGATATTATGTTTCTTAAGAGTATGGCCAAAATAATATCATGTTGTAGCTCATTGCTTTTCTTTGTATTTCCTTGTCATTTAAAAAGGTTAAACTATTTTTTTTTTATTTTCCTACCATTTATTGTATTTTTTGGAGAGAGGAGATTGCTTGATCACCAATACTTCTCATGTTTATTAAATTTTAATATAGGTTAATAATTGATTTAGAAAATAAAGATATGGTCAATATGACACAGAGAGCCTTAACATATTTTTCTCCTGATTTTTTTTTGCCTTTTTTTATGTGTAAAGGTTTTATATGACAAATACGTTAATATTTTGGGTAATTATTTGATTTTTATTTCTGAGTTCTCCTTATATAAGAAATTACCTCTAATTCATTATTATTATGCTTATAACAATTGCTAGGCCTATTTTTGGACTATTTTATTCTTTTTCAATTATCTGTATGTCTAACAAAACCACATGGTTTTATTATTTCAAGCCACTTTATTAACTAATTATAAGGAACTTAAAATAACTTATTAAGGTCTAATTTTGCATTTTCAATTATAGTATATGTTTCGCATATATGAAAATGTGGAGGGGCAAAAGGGGACCTATAATAGGAAAGCGAGTATTTTTAGTCTCAGAAATGCAAGAATGTTTTCTAAAGGTAATAGCTGATTAATTAATATATGTATATCCTCATATAGTTCACATTACTCGATGAATTAAAACTTCTTATTAAGTAACATAATCATTTAACTAATCCTGAAAGATGCATTGGTTGATTGATACACAATTCTAACACACTGCGATTAATAATCAAAAGTTCAAAAACTTGTGGGAGTTAAGGTCATAAAAAAATTGACATTAACAAACAAAAAATCAGGGAAAAGCCAGAGCCAGCTGAGTGGAGTGAGGTGACATATATCATTACAAGACATCCAAAATTGTGGATGCCTAATGAAAATCGCAAAGGAGATATTCAATTCCTATCCATAGAAGACCATTTTGAAAGTGTGATATAATTAGATGTATTAAACATGATCTGAAAAATCTGTATTATGTTAAATGTTTTTAAAACCTGACTTTTAATATGATTTTTTTCTCCAAAGCCATTTATGTAGGTCTTACACTGTACCAAATATTGTTCTAAAGGCTTTTTTGGTGACTGTTACATTTATAGGCAATTATTAGTGCACATACTCAAGCCAGAATTCTGAGTTTAGAATCTCAAGCTCTGGGTCTTATTTGGCCTGTGACTATGAGCATGTAACTTAACCTTTCTGTGCCCATTTAAAGGAGATATCAAGTGTGACTACCTCATAAGAATAGTTATAAGAATTAAATAAGTTAATGTATATAAGGTACTAAGAATAGTGCCTAGTATATATAGTAATTGCTAAACAAGTGTTTGCTTTTGTTCAGTCTTTGACAATTTTTGCTGATTTTTAATTAAAAAAATTTTCCTTACTCAACTTATTAAGCTTCAATTCAAAGAAAATATATTAAATGTTGTCATTACCACACTTAATTTTCCATTATTTTATAGAACAATTATATAGTTTTTCCCACTATATATAGGTATAAAATTACTCTTATGTAACACACACCACTCATAATGAAGCACATACAGGGAACATGATTCTGTTAAATTCTTTCTATTTTAATCCTTGCTAAATTTTCATTTCTCTCCTTCCTTAAGTGTGGCTTTGCTAGGTGAAATTATGATGTTTATTTGCAAAATAACAAGGATAGAAAGGATCATGAATGAAACAGTAAGAGAAAAATAGCTGCTTAACATCCTCTGAATGGTTGAAGGCTCTAATGAACTCTCTTTATTCATCTGATGTATACTTTGAAGTAGAAAGAAAGAGATTGTCAAGATGATGGCTGCCTAAAAACAGAAGGAGTCTTAGGAAAAGAAACAACACATTATTACAAATGCCAGATTTAATGAGAATGTCATGGACACTAGATGTCACTTACTTAAGGATATAAAGGGTTTTTTTAAAAAATATTCCAAGTATACTTAAATGTACAGGAAGTTGAGATGACAGTAAGAATGTTTCATCCTTTAAAACAGTAGCTATAAGGCAAACTTATCCAAATAAAAGTTTTAAAAATATTTTAGTAATCTAAATTTAATAATATTCATTTTTTATGGTCTCCTTTTTAAACTTATGCCAACAGTAGCTTAAATAGTCACTGAAAACCTTGCTGGTTTCCCCATCAGCTCATTCCCGGTGAAACCTTAAGGTGAAGTGAGGGGGAGTTGGTGAATAAGGTTCTCATCAGCGGAAAGAGACCCAAAGGTCGGAACCTCCAGCTTGTCCTTATCCTCCATTGCTTCAGCTGTTTCTTTCACTCTAGCCAACTCGTATTTTTATTTGTCTGTTTCTTATTTTCTTCTGCCTTTGCTTTCTTCTTGTACAGAAAGTCCTTCAAACTTCTGCTGATCGTCTAAAACTCCTTCCTCGCATATTCTCTCAAAACTGTGTCTGGTAATTGGATAAATAATGATGCCTAATTTTTTCTTTTACTTTAAGTCCATAACACTCACTACTCATATCATATTGTGCTTATATTGTTGGACACGTCAATAAATTGATCATGGCACTGTTTTATCTACCAATTTTTTTTTTTTTTTGAGATGGAGTCTCACTCTGTCACCAGGGCTGCAGTGCAGTGGCGTGATCTCGACTCACTGCAACCTCCCCATCCTGGGTTCAAGCGATTCTCCTGCCTCAGACTCCCGAGTAGCTGGGACTACAGGAGCGCGCCACCATGCCCAGCTAATTTTTTTATTTTCAGTAGAGACAGGGTTTCACCATGTTGGCCAGGATGGTCTTGATCTCTTAACCTTGTGATCCACCCGCCTTGACCTCCCAAAGTCCTGGGATTACAGGCATGAGCCACTGCACCCGGCCTTTCTGCATTTTTTAAAATGGTTCCTTGTAGAGTCTTAAAATTTTAGAAAAAAATTTTTCTTCCTTTAAAAAAATCTGGTATATTTTCTTCTAATGGCTAAATGTTTACTGCTTTTCCCATCTTGGCTATTGTAAAGTTTATAACTAAATGGTATCTTCATTATAGTAACTCTGTAATAATTATGACCAGTTTATTCTATTTTATATTATTTCCTTTGTATCTATATTTTTATTCTAATGTATATCAGATGATTTATATTTATACTTTAGTAAGTAGTGCCTATTCTCATGACATATCTTCCTCAATTATTTTCTATAATGACTAGAATAAATAAGTAGATATGAAATTAGAGTTTGGTATGTTTATGCTCCCAACATTAAGAATGTATTCCTATGACATTCATTATACGAAGCTGTGAACTCTAATCTCCACAGGCAGGTAACAAATCACTAGGTAAGTCTCTGTATTGTCTGAAAATTCTGATTCTTTAATTTTTATTTTTAATATTGAATAAAAATCTGCTTCTGTAAAACTTCTACTCACTAGGAGGATTCTGTCATCTTGTAGTTGAAACAAGTAAATACCATTCTTTTTCTTCAACATGGCCCTTCAAATGTGCCACTAGTGACCCTCAACACTGAGTTTAGACATCCACCTCTCCATCCACGGTGCCTATGAGACCTAATTTCCAGATTCTTTATCTCCATGGTCATCCTTCTCTAGATGTTCTTGAATGCCTTTCTTAAAATGCCAAGAACCAGACTCAATGCTTCAGAGTGGTCTACCAGAATGGAAGTAGACACAGTGAGATTTCCAGAGTATATATTTTGGACATTGAAGTCTGCCTTATTTATATTTAATGTGCACTCATATTTTGATGGAAGACCACATCACACTCATTCTACAGATAGAGAACTGGGTGAGAAAATGCATTTTATAGTGATTCTGGTGTTCTGTGTGAACAAACAATGCATTTACTGTTACAGAAGGTTCTCTTAGCAAGGCTTACCTCTATTTTATTGGGTTGGTCATTTCCCTTGTATAGCATATTCTCTCCCAACTACCACAATATTCATTCTTTGCCCTTTTTTGGCCCTTCTTCAAGTCCTGGGAAGCTGACCTCTGGGGAATGCATTAATCAAATGCCCTTGTCTTTTGGTCTGAAGTAGATGCAACCACACAAGACACAGGCAGGAAATTAAGAGGTGGAACTACCCAGCTCTCCCATGGCTCTGAGACCCTCAAATTCTTCTAGACCTTTGTGGGACTGGGTGCTTCACAGTGCCTTGTTGGGTTCCCATGCCCCTTTGCAAATAGAGGTTTCAATAAAGTCTCCTCCATGAAACCCCTTTGTGAGTGGCATCTCTTTTCTGATGAAATCCTGACTGATAGACTGAACATTATGATAGAGTAGAGAGATAAGAGAAAATCAAAATAAACATACAGATAAGGACACAGCATGCATAATCCTAAAGATAAAGCAAGAAACATATATATGAAGATAGAATTATATTTCGCTAAATGAAATATGAATAATTATCTTTTTTTCACTTGATTCCAATCTTTGAGACTTTAGAACATCATTCACACCTCTCTTAGAAAATGCATGAAAACAAACAAAAGAAACAAAGAAATAAAATAATACTAGGATCAATCCATTTTGTGTTTTGTTCCACTATTAAAATACAATTTAATTTGAAAGACAATTTTTATTCCTGAAAACGTGAGAGAGAATTAAGATCTAAAGTATTTTTATGAAGAAAATACCTAAGATATATGGGGTATATGTATTAAAAAAGTCAGGTAAATTGTTAGTGGTTAATAAATATGATGCTTTGCTTCCCTACCACTGCTAAAAAGGTAAACTATCGCAAGAACAAAAAACCAAACACCGCATATTCTCACTCATACGTGGGAATTGAACAATGAGATCACATGGACACAGGAAGGGGAATATCACACTCTGGGGACTGTGGTGGGGTCGGGGGAAGGGGAAGGGATAGCATTGGGAGATATACCTAATGCTAGATGACACGTTAGTGGGTGCAGCGCACCAGCATGGCACATGTATACATATGTAACTAACCTGCACAATGTGCACATGTACCCTAAAACTTAGAGTATAATAAAAAAAAAATTAAAAAAAAAAGAAGCATAATTCAAAAAAAAAAAAAAAAAGAAAAAGAAAAACAGTGTTTGGGGCAGAATTAATAAAAAAAAAGTAAAAAAAAAAAAAAAAGGTGAAGTTAATAAACACTAATGTGCTTCTTTGTTGGTACATAGTACTCTTGGCCTTATCTAGGTAGTGTTTTGAAAAATACCTTGAGTCTTATCTTATTGTGAGTTAAAAAAAAATAGTTCTTACGTGAAGGTTCTTCAGGTTCTTAAAGTCTCCATCTTTGATTTCGGTTATTTTGTTGTTTTGCAGGTCTAGCAGAGTTGTGTCAGGGGGAAGATCCTTTGGCACTTTGTCCAGACCTAGCATAAGAGTAATAGGAGTGTGCTGTGAGTAGAAAGGACATGTGGCTACAGAATCACACAGCATATATTTACCAAGAAATTAATGTTATGATGATCATCTTAACAGTAACAACATATTTTTCTTCTTCTAAGAATTACATTCATTGTAGGGTAAAATTTTTGCTTTATCTTTTGCAACCAAGTCAAATGACTTTTTGTATTTAATAATAAACTCAACATGATATTTTCCTCATGGAATTATTCCTCTGCATTAGGGGAACATTTGTGTTGCATTAGGGTGTGGCTCAAATCTATATGTTTTACCTCTTTGTTGTTGTATTGAAAAGTAGTTATTTTGATAAGTAGTCAGCACGAGTGATTGGCAAATTTATACATTTTTACATAAATACCGTGTCAATAATTACTCTAGCCAAATCATCAGTAATAAAGATCTTTTTGATACACCTAACCCTGTCACAGATCTACAGTTAAAATCATATAAACATATAATCAACTTGTGGCAGGATCTTGAAAATTTATCCAACATTTTGGGATAACGGTTCTTTTAGTTTTCATTGGAATGCCAAAACAATATCCATTTCAGTTGATATTTTATGACCAATAGATATATGGCTAGTTAGAATGAAATAAATTGGGTAGTATGACATATCTGAAATTAATTTTATGAAGCATTACTTTTGGACTTTAGATTTTGGTCTAGCTGAGTGTATTATTGTTTTTAGTTTGTAAATGTAAATTCATTGAATTACCAAATGGTCCTGGTATTAAAAAATATTTTAGTAGTCATTCAGCTAGTCATATAAGGATGAACCAGAATTATACAAAAGGCAGTTATTTTTGAATAAATCATCATGAATCATAATAGAGAAAATTATTAAATAAGGCCTTTTGCCTTTCTTTTTTTCATTGTTTCATATTGAAGTAGGACATCAAGTAAAAATTTGATATTCTATTAACTCAAATTAATGTGATCATTTCTGTATTTTAAGACTGCATAACACAAATCAGAAATATTTTTTAGCCTTTGGTAGAAGCAATCTCTCCATCATATCTGAAACTTGAAGTACTGAAGATTATTTTTTCATAAATTCAACAAGCCTTTATTGAATACCTCTTGGGCACCATGAATTTATTAGATCCTGGGAATATAGCAGGACCAAGGCAGATATTGCCCGTGACTTCATAAAAATATAATTCAGTTTACTGTTTTCAATTAAAATAAAATTACAACAGGGTATAATAACCGCTATGTCGAGAAAATCACTTTTCAATTTTGAGTTTTATGTAAACATACTTGTAAACCACCATGGTAGCCATACTTTGACTGTCTTCATTTCTTCCATGAAAGTTACAGAAAACGTACCTGAAGCTACCTATTTCTGAGTCTTTTCCAAATATTTTTTTATTTATAATATCACTGCTCCATTGATAGTTGGGGTTGCAGGTGGAATCTTGTTCTTAATTCAGTGACCACCTATCTTTATAAGTTTAAGTATCAAAATACAAGTAATTCTGAACTTACATAAATATGTTACATAAATGTGTAACTCTTATAGACACAGTTCCCATAGAAATAACAAGAGTTAAGTGTTTTCAGTGATGAACGGTAAAACACCAGAACAGCTACCTTGTAGGAGGTTGCTTAATGACACTGTACAGTTGTAATCACTGCCATTTTCGGAAATGTCAATTTGCTAATTTCATGCAATTAGGAATGGTAGATTTCTGCCAAATCTTTGTTAATTGGTGTTCTCCAACCCAGAAAAGACAAACTTCTTTTCATTTGGAACGTAGTTACTACATTTTATCATTCCTTCTTGGGCACCTTCATCACAGTCCTAATTTCCACTTACGCTTGCTTTTATTCATTGGCGAACTTAAATTCTAGTGACTCTCAACATTTTGTCAATGCGAAACTGCAGATAAAATTTCAAATGTGTAGGGAAAGAATGATGTGTCTGGATGGCTGACACTTTCACTTATGTTGTCATCCTAAAATTTTATAACACTAGGAACTACTTAAGGTAATTTATATACATCTTATTTCTAGAGATTCAGAAAAAAGGAATACCATCCTCAGGATTCTAATTCTTGTAGTTTAGTTCTTGGAGAGTCATTTCAATGATTAAAATTATAGTTCTACAACCTGCTCTGAATTAGTAAATTTATGTTTATTGGGGGGATTTCACATATTTTTTATTAATAATTTAGTTTTAGAGTTTATTTTTAAAAATGAAAATATGTTATTATTTACCTTACAATAACCCAATGAGATAGGTAAGGCAGTATGGTAATCTCATACTTTCAATTATTTTAAAAAGTTTCATAACATGAACAAGCTTATCTAGTTAGGAATGACAAAATGTGGATTAGATGACAACTCTCCTGGCTTCCAGCATGACTTTTTTTTCTGGCATACCTATCTGTATCCCCTGAAATAATTGTTCTGACATCAGACCCAGTAATATGCTGTACCTGTAAGGGGTAGATAAGGCATTGGAGTGTTAACTAGCTTGCTCAAAGACAAGAGACAGAGTATAATGAAGAATTTACTCTAGTTATTATGAGTTCTCTGAATGTCACAAAGGGAAGGGTCCTTAAATATCAGCTAATCTATGGTTCCCAAATGCTGATTAGGTAGACTCTATGATGAGGTTTTTAGCAATCCATATCAAAATAAAAAAAAAACAATAAAAGCAGTGTGGTTAGTTTTAATGTAAATTATCTCAGACACACACACACAGACAGACAGACACACACACACACACACACACACACAATTTCTGAGACCATCTGAGACCATTTCCTGCCTTCACTTCCATTTCTACTTTTAAATACACCTTCTTTAAAAAATGATTATGATAGCAGATGGCAGGCTCTTCTTTTGTTAGGTTTGGTATTGACTTTAATGAGAAATTAACTCGTTCAACATTCAAAATTTTACTTATCCCAGAAATCAGAGAATTTTAAGGCAGTCTAATCTTCTCATTTCATAGGTAAGGAAACAGAAACCCAAAGAAGTTAAATAGCTTATCTAAGGTGCCTCATGGCTAAAGTAGATCAAGAACCAGGATAGTTTGAGTCCTCACTCCAGAACTATGTTTTTTGTTTTTGTTTTTGTTTTTGTTTTTTTGTTTGAGACAAGAGTCTTGCTCTGTCGCTCAGCCTGGAATGCAATGGCATCATCTCAGCTCACTTTAACCTCCGCCTCCCGATTCAAGCGATTCTCCTGCCTCAGTAGCTGGGACTACAGGCGTTTGCCACCAGTGCCTGGCTAATTTTTTGTATTTTTAGTAAAGATGGAGTTTCACCGTGTTAGCCAGGATGGTCTCGATCTCCTGACCTCATGATCCACCAGCCTCGGCCTCCCAAAGTGCTGGGATTACAGGTGTGAGCCACCGTGCCTAGCCGTGGTGTGCCATTTATGCATGTGATCATTGTGCATATTTTCTAATGCTGATCTACAGCTATTCCGTGAGCATATTACACTCATTCCTAGCTACTCAATTTTTGTTCATGCAATGCATATTTTATGTAAAACTCCACTTATTCATTTATTTCTATTTCCATTCTAACAATCCCTTGAAGCATATCCGTTATCCCTCTCCTCTGTAATATTCATGCTGACCACCCCTGTATAACAGTAATCTTGCACCTCTAAACTTCTTACAGGCCATAGATGTATAAGTTTAAACTATACTGTCCTGCATTTCAGGGTCTTTGTTTGTTTTGTTAGTTTATTTATTTTTTTCCTGAGTAAGGAGGACTAATTACTGTTTCTCATCAGCATTTTGCTCTGGCTGCTTTGAAAACAAGAAGTGCCTTTCTGATTAATTAATTTTAAAGTCTATCTGCCTTGCTGTCCCATGATGAAAAGTTTATGAGTATGGCTTTGAGATCATTTCTGCCATGTTCTGTTATAACCATCTCCCTATAACCTGCTATCATAGGAGTTTTTATTTTCCTCAGAAGTATTAGGATACAACTGGTTATAATAATTATATTTTTTCCTGTTTCCAGGAATATTTTATAAATGAATGCTACTTACTATCAAATATGTCATTCCCATTATCTGCACCTGAAAATTGCTCTTACTTTCTTCAGTGTCTTTGCCATATTTGTGAAGCACCTTTTGTCACATACATATCTCAAGAAGACTGATTTTTCTGTCTAATAGAGTGACTACTCCAGCAGTAAGAGTTTCTCTACATGGCATATATTTCTCCTGGAAAAGCATCAGTTAGAAGCTTCTAAATGAAGAAACAAATCCCCATTCATAGATTTGTATTTTCAAAAACAAACAATTAATCCTGAATCTGATTAATCCTCTAAATTCCAAAAGAAAATGAAGAAATTGTGAATCTGTAGTGTAAAGGAGAGTTAAGAGATGTTTTAGCTGGGTGCTGTGGCTCTTGCCTCTAATTCCAGAACTTTTGGAATCTCAGACAGGTGGATTGCTTGAGCCTCTGAGTTCAAGACCAGCCTGGGCAACATAGCAAGACCCCATCTTTACAAAAAATTAGCTGAGCATGGTGGCACAAGCCTGTAGTCCCATCTACTCGGGAAGGAGGATCCCCTGAGCCTGGGGAGGTTGAGGCTACAGTGAGCTGTGATCATGCCACTGCACTCCAGCCTAGGCAACAGGGGGAGATCCTGTCAAAAAAAAAAAAAAAAAAAAAAACCAAAAAACAGAAGCTATTTTTAAAAAAAGCAATGTATGTACTTCATCTGGATCCTGACTCATATAAATAAGCTATAAACTATGGCTATTTTATTTGAGAGCTTTATTTTTCAGAGAAACATACTGGTAAGTGTATTGTTAGATAAAATCATATATCTGGAATTTGCTTCAAAATGATATGGAAGTGGGTGGAGATAGAAAAATAACGGCATTAGTTGACACTGGTTGAAGCTCTGTGGTGGGTACCCAATGGGGTCATTTTATTCTGCAGAATTTTCATATTTAAACATGCTCCTATAATAACATTTTTTTATAAGACTGTTATGTGAATTTCAATTCTGGTTCCTCTTCTTTATCTTTAAGATTAGAAGACATATTGAGGCCGGGCGCGGTGACTCACGCCTGTAATCCCAGCACTTTGGGAAGCCGAGGCGGGTGGATCACGAGATCAGGAGATCGAGACCATCCTGGCTAACACGGTGAAACCCCGTCTCTACTGAAAAATACAAAAAATTAGCCGGGCGTGGTGGTGGGTGCCTGTAGTCCCAGCTACTCAGGAGGCTGAGGCAGGAGAATGGCGTGAACCCGGGAGGCGGAGCTTGCAGTGAGCCGAGATCGCGCCACTGCACTCCAGCCTGGGTGACAGAGCAAGACTCTGTCTAAAAAAAAAAAAAAAAGAAAAAGAAAATTAGAAGACATATTGTTTAAACCCTCTGTCCTCAGTTTTCTTAAGTCTTTCACAGAATTTTTGTGAGAATTCAATAAGCTATGCTACAAAATAATCTCCTACCATAGTGCATAGCAGCGTCTCAAGTATTGCTACCTATGATTATTATTAATAAGCAAAATAGAGGGTGTTGCTCTCATTATCCTTCTGAATAATCTTTCTGATTATTCATCTGTAACTCTTTCTTTTCTGTACAATTACTATGCATATTATCCTAGAGGCTGAAATCTGTTTTTCAGGTATGTCAAGCACAAGGTGTTCATCTAAAGATCTTGGTCCTGAAATGTTTTTGTCTTGACAGTTATTTCCTGGTCTTTCTGCATTCATCATTGTTCCCATGAAGTTCAGGGCCTTTGGGGTGCTTGTCTACCAAGTTCAGGGCTTTTGGATAAGCCTTCAGTTTAGGAAGCACATGATCCCCAATGAGTAATTAGACTCCTCAAAAACTGCTCCTGGTCAATTTAACCCTATTTTAATGGTAGCAAATGCTACACTCTTTTGCAAATCTATAAAATATTACTCTTTGTTTGTACATCATTAGAGTCAGAATGGCTCGGGTTAAAATCAACTTGGCTGTTAAGGAGAGATGACCGGAATCTGTAAGTTAGCATTCCTCAGGCTCCATTTCCTCATCTGAAAACACCAAGCCGGAAGTAAATTGTGGTAGAAATACACGAGGACCAGAGATTATTTTTGATAATTGCAAAAAGCTTATTTGAACTAAACCTAATCTTCAAAAAATATAAAAACAGATAGTATTCTATGAAACAGTTATCCTACCTTAATTTTTTTAACTTTTAAATAAACAAATTTAAATTCTGCCTTTAAGCCTATGATTGTATTAATTGTATGTGATTTTTAACTAAATAATTCCTATTGATACTGATGAATTTTATGGTTATTCATAAAATGATATAAAAAGTAAAATGTTAGCATTTTAAATTATATGTATCAATTAGCCAGGTTCAATTTATGTCCAAAAAATGTTCCATAATGAAAACAAAGTCATTAAGGTACGACTTAATACTTTTCTCACAATCTTAAGTAGAAGAATTAAGTAACTATGAAGTTAATTTGTAAATTAATTTAATTATAATTATTTAACATCTTAATGTAGTTTGTAATCATTAAATAATGACCTTCATGGGGGACATGTAATATCTGTGGGCTTTCTCTACATAATACATAATTATGCTCAAACTTCTCATTAGAAATGTATATAAATGTAAGTAAATATGTAGATGATTATATTTTTCAAAGATGGCATACATTAAATTTTCTATCCTGCATGCTCTTCTACAATATGCATTTATCCCAATACCATTAGGAGGTAGCATCTAATTCCTCTCTCTTCCCTTTGAATTCAGGATGGCCTTGTGATGCCTCTAGGAATCAATAGCCTGAAACACCATAACATTTGAGACTAGGTCAGAAAAGGTTGTACAGCTGCTACCCAATTCTGGGATGCTTGCTCTGGGACAGCCAGGGGCCATAGGAAAAAAGAGAGGCTGTCTGAGGCAATCCAGAGGATACAACAGCCAAGCTTGTGGGCGACAGCAGCAGCAACTGTCAGTTATGAGAGTGAACAGGTGTCCAGCCCAGGCTAGCCTTCTTAAGATTATAAATCCCGGGTAACATTTGACTACAAATGCAAGAGTGACCCCAAGTGAGAACAGCCCTTCAGAGCCCTTCCCAAATTTTCCATACCTCAAGTTGTGAGCAAATTAAATTTTTTTTTAAGCCACCATGTTTTGGGGTAAAATTCACTCAGCTGTAGTAACAGGAGCATAGTGGTTTCCTACATTTATTTTTCATTGAGCAGCCTTATTTAACATAATTCTAAATTTTCCACTAAAACACACTATTTTCAAGGTAGCCTGGATTAGACATTTGCTCTCCCAGTTTTTGTAAGGAGGTTTATCTTCTTTAAAATCAAGTTATTTATTAAAGCAAATAAGATACTACTTAAGATATTACCAAAAAAATCATTTCTGAATAAAGACTAGTAAGAAATAGACTTCTTTTTTTTTTTATTTCCCTTCTTTTGGTTATCCCAATGATGAATAGTATTGTTATGCTAGAAAATGTCAGCAATCTGGTAAACATCATGTTGGACAAAGGCCAGGTTGTCTTAAAACATCATGCTTTTTTTCTGCCATGTGGCAGGAGTCCAAATTCTAAGATTTATTCTTATTGACTTTCAACAATTTTTTTTTATAATTCTGTATTCAACTTCATAATTGGGACATTGGTGGTGTACTTCAGTTTTTGGGCAAATGACCAAAATAATATTTAGGAGCTCCAGCCCCACCAAAAACTTTTCTGCTCAAGGCAAGCATGTTCCCCTTTTTCCATCTTAAAAATGGCAATCTGACTGCGTTATCAGTTAGACCAGGCTTCATACATAGATGATTCTTCTCTTTAATTCTATTCTCTTTCCAGTCAAACTCAAGGAATTTCTAAGCTTCCTGGTTTTACAGTTGTCCTTAAAGGGAAGGAGCAAGGATGCACTGAGAAATCACTTTTGTTTCTCAATCAGGCATGTTCCCTTCTCTTTGCAGCTTGCTAGAGTCAAGAATATTGTAGAATATTCATCCAAGCATTAATTCAAGAACCAAGCCATGCATATGTTCGTGTATTCATTCATCAATCGTTCAGTGATGTGTAAAGAGTCTACAAAGTATAAGGCAGTTTGTTGTGTAGAGGTTGTACGAAGATAAATTATTGCAATACTTCTTTTCTAGTGAAAAAAAATAAAATAGATATATAAAAAGATAAAAGATATTGTATAATCACAGATATGTATATATAATTGATTATTATAGAATAATCAAAGCAAATGTAGATTACAGTAAAAAAGGCAGAAGTAGGCAAGCTACAGAAGTTAAAGCAGTCCACAGACTAAGTCAAGAGTAACTGAGTCTTTACTGTTACAGTATATATGCTAAGGGCTTTCTCTTTTTATTAAGACTGAATTGCAGACTCATTTTTTTTTTAATTTTTGAGGAACTATGTAATCTTTTTCCACTCTTTTGAAGGAGAAAAGTTAAGATTAGAGGGTCTCATGGTTTTCCTCTTTTACCCAGGGAATTGATATTTTAGCTAACCAATTCCCACCATATCCCCTGGAGCTAGGGATGTTCTTCCAAAGGAAAATGAATCACAGCTGCAATCTCACAAAATGCCTTGATCCCACACAGCTGCCTCTCTCTCCCTCCTGGGGACCAAGAAGGAAACAAGGGCTATGTTAGTTGTCATTCAGGTCAGGGAGACAGACGCTCCCTTTGACCTTCTTGACTCCCTCTCTTCCTCCTCTCCATCTTTAACCCCTGGATTCAGGAGACTTGTTTAACCAGGTCACATTGAGCATTACTCTTGCTTCATCTGAAGATCACCCATACTCCACTCCTACCCAATGTCAATTTAGGCAATCCAGTGGTCATACTCTGTGCACAGCCTCCTTCCCATATCATGTTTTGGAAACACCCTTTTGGTGCATTCGAAACTCTGAATGAGGAGCACCTCACACCCCTGCTGCTGCAGAGCCAGACATAAATGATAAAGGCAACTGAGCCTCTAGCATTCTGTCTGTTCCTCTACAAAATAGTCCTAATTTATTTTTCTGGGTTGATTTCATGGGAGAAGTCTAATGGTTCATTTACCTCTTGTATAAGGTCTGCTTCTGGAAAACCAGTTTCTCCAGCCAAGCGAGAAGCTGTAGTACAATATGTCCCAAGTGGTAACTTCTGACAAAATTTTTCACCAGTTCAAGAAAAATGATTATGAAGAAGAAGCAACTACATAATTTAAAAGGTTGTACTTTTTCTGATATTTTTAAAAATTAAAACATTATTTGCATTATAAGGTACATTATTAGAAACCAGTAGTTATTTGCAATGCTTCTATATGGCAAAATTAAATGTGTTTCATCTTCTGGCACCATTTCTAGAGGGCTAAGTGTGTGGGGGTATGAATCACTTATGATTATAAAATAGCCAAATACTTCATTGTTCTCAAATCAAACAAACTCATTTTGTTCAAAGGAATATTGGTTTGGAGAACATTCAATTGCCTAGTAAATGCACAATTTTTTTTGTTCTTGTCTATTTACATTTGGAGATGATGTGGTCCTCTTTAGAGAGGTGGAGAGAGATGGTACTATTTTGTGTCTAGCTTGACAACCCATATACTTATTAGAGACTCTTAATAAGTCTCTAATAAGACTCTAAATAAGTCTCTAATAAGTATATGGCTTATTTTCAATGAGTATAATATGATATAATATGAATTGAGAATAATAAGTATAAGTCATTGAGAGTCTCTAATAAGTATATGGCCTATACCTATTATTCTCATTAATACATAAAAATAAAAGGAAATATCAGAAACAGCCTCATGTTCTTAGCCAACTTTGCCTGAAATGGTAAGTGAAATGTAAGTTACTATAATAAACATTTGTGCATATATTTTTCTATTCTTACCCAGTGAAATAAGATATATTTCCATTTATCAAATGAGGAAACAAAGTTTTGAAAGTTTCAAGGTTACAGGTAGTAAACAGCAAAGCAGAATTTGAGATCAGAGGTGTTTAACTGCACAGCCCAAGTTCTTTCCACTATTAAATAGTTTTAAGAGGCATTTTAACTCTTCTGAAATTTGTTTATAAGAAATACATCAAGAATTATTATTTTAATTTTGGAGACTAGTCAAAAGACAATACTTGTTCTTATTTGACTTGTCAGGACTGATTTGCATTTCAGTAATGAGGTGTTAAGTCCATACCAAATTATACTACCTGGTGACACTTGATCCAAAGATGAATGGCTAAGCCAAAGAGTACCTAAGTAAGGGAAGCTGTCTTCTTCAGGATGCCAAGCATATAAAATAGAAAATCCCATCAAAATCAGAACGTTTTAAATTTTTTTGATTTTTAGAAGAATGAGTTACATTGTGGATTTATTATTATAAAGTAACTGAAAGACTTCTGAATTTGCTAACTCTACATTTATTTTTAACATTGCTTTTTGAAATAAATGCTATAATTAAGAGGGAACTGGTTTATTTCTTAACATGATAGATAAAAGAAGACAAGATATGGGTCTCATAAAATTGTGGTTCCAATTACAAGGTAAGTTGCAACAAGTTCAATGAAACAACTTGGCCAATATCTATGAGGAATTCATGTTTACTGTCTCAATCCCTCATCCTCTTAAAAAAAAAAAAAAGCACGTGTTAATACTACTGTGATAAATTAGAATTAGGGACTAAAACAGTCCATGCATTTTTCCAGAGGCATCAAATTATCCTGCAGAGTAATTACATAATTTTAATTTCATAGGTTTTTACTTCTTAGCTTTGAAAGAATTGTTTAAAATTTTGATGTTGTTTAACTTTGCCAAGAATATTTCTTAGTGGTAAAAAGTAGTCAAACATTTTAATTTAAAAAGTTTATTTGTATTAAACATTATTTCGATAATAAGATGACAAAGGACTTTTGTCCTTCAACATTGTAGCTTCTCTCTGCTCATTAAGTGTCTGCCAAGGATAATCCACCAAGGATAATCCTGAAGACAGTGTTAGTCTTTGATACAGATAAGCATTAACATTTGCCATCCCCAACTGCATTGCATTTATTTTCTTTATTATAATAATTCAAGCTTCATGCTTAGATCACTAGAGGACATAAAACAAATTAAAAAATCAACTATACTGCATTTACAATGAATGAGGTGGTGCATTTCTCCTGCTTTCTTTCTTTTTTTCTTCATCTGTTACTGCATATAATCATCATATAATTTTAACACTGCATGAAGCTGCTACTATGACCCAGGTACCTCACACGATTAATAGGATTTCTAAGACTGTGATTTTTCTGCAGATGGAGATGTCAAGGCTCTCAACAGCTTGCCAGCATCATAAAGTAAGGAAGAGTTAGATAATAGTTAAAAACATGAAATGAGTTCATTTGTTTTATTTAAAGTCAAGTGAATTTCATTTCCCTTTAAGAAATGTATTTTCTTAGAGATAGCTGATTAAAACTTTTATAATATATTTAAATATTCATCTGTAAATTTTAAAATATTGAAAATACCTTGCATGAGACCACTGCTCATTGGAACTTACTTAGTTCCCTTAGTTAAATATGGTTTTAAAAACAAATTATTTTTATAATTTTAGCTACTTCCTTAGTATATGAGTCAGTAAACCTAGCTATAATAAAGGAATGATGTACACTTTGAGCTCCTAGAAAAAAGATAACATGTAGAAAACTTTCTCATCTGAAAACAAAAAATAAACAAAACAATATCAATGGCAACAACAAAACTGTCATAAAGATCCCAAGTCAGTGAACTTGCTGCTTCCTAAGACTACATTTTGTTGTTGTTGTTGTTGTTTCACTTTGAACAATTGACTTATGCCTTTTTACATAACAGAGAATTGGAAAACTGGCCCAGTGCTTTCATCAGGGTCAAGGTTTATGAGCTATTTTTTCATGGAAGCAAAGGCAAACTATATTTACGAAAAAATAAAACTTCACTAAAGTGACTGGCCAACTCTTCTTTCCTTAAAAATATCAACCCTTCATTTTTGATAATACATGTAGCGAGAGTAATAATAAATTCTTTTAACTTTTTCTCAGAGGCAAAGTGAAATTTAATTCGCATTACATTTTTTGGGAACTTCGCCATTTTAGTAACTTCAGAAAAGATTATCCTGTGTATATCCATCAAATGGTGATTTCTTTGTTCAGATTTTTTTCAACCCTGTTATTTTCCTGCCCAAGGCAATAATGCAGGTCATCTCTAGATGCTTATAAAATTTCTGAAGAGTAATCCAATCTCCCCTGTGGCAAATACACAATTCAAAAAGTAATAGTCACCACCACTAGAACATAAGATCCACAAGAACTAGGGCCATATTTGTCTTCCTCATCCTTTCTCCCCATGCCTAGAGCAGAGCTCATCCATGATGGGTTCCCGATATAGCTTCTGAATGACTGAACAAATAGATCCATTGGAATTATCCTGCGGCCTTTTGAAAGTCTTCATATAACATTTGTATTTGGGTTTTAAATAGCTATACAATATATGTGTTGAAGAAGCTATTTCAAGTGTTTTTCAGTCGTTACTACTGAATATACTTTATATTTTTTCTGGGTTCCTATAGGCAGTTTATTCCAATTGTAGAAGTTGCATTTTTCTTCTGCAAACTACTGCTAGAAAGCATGTTCTGAGTAAATATAGGACTTCTGAAAGAAGTGCCTGATCATAGTATGGAATTTCTTCCAGAAGGAAGTACACATGGCGGAATCATGATATAAAGATTTTTTTTTCTTTTCATCTCCAGTAAGAAAATACACCCCTTCAAAAGGAGGAATGTGAATGAGCTGCCATGTAAACTGAGTTCATTCCCCTTTGGCCCATCCACTGAGCTTCAATCTTTCTGGAGATTTATCTTCTAAGTGTAATGCTCTTGGAATTTCCAGACCAAATTTTTCTGAAAAGATGATAAATCAAACTGTCTTTAGGGTGTTAGGCTAAAGATATATGTAACACAATTATATTGAATATTTACACCATACCTTAGTGATAAATATTTCCTTTGAAACTTTCTAAAGAATATAAGCAGCTGGATTACAAAATGTCAAAAGTAAAGACAAAACTAAGACTCAGAGATTAAGGGAGTATTTTGATACTTGAAAGATAAGATTTTGTCATAAAATTTGATGTGTTTTGCTTTTGATAACTGATTATTTTACAATTTAGTAATGTTGAAACTCTGTTGTCTGGGCTAAGTGAATAGTAGAGAGACTGACCTGATTTTCTTAATATCTAATATTTTATAAAAGCATATTATAGAATTAAGATTAAACCATTACTCTGAAATTTTAGAACATAAGACTTTTTTAATTCAAAATTTTATTTTGTAGAAGAAGGGATATAAAGCTCAGAAATATTTTTAAAAATGATTTGTCCAAGATTGCAAAGTAATGGAGGAAAAAAGGAAGAGGGACAGAGAGGGAGAGAGAGAGAGAAAGAGAGAACAACAACGCTACTTTTCTTTCTATCCTGTTCTGCTTCCTTTACTCCTCATTAGGTGGCACTGTCTCTCAAATTTAGAGAGATTAAAACTGAAAATGCTAAACTCTCAGAGTTGCCATTCCCAAGAATAAAACAAGTAAGGTAGGTAAAGAGAAACTGCATCCCACTCACCCAAATCAGAACACTGGACCACTCGAAGATGGCATTGACAGCGGAAGGGGCACACTGGGCCTAGGGAGGGCTCGAAGTCGCGGTCATCAGGAACTTCTGGGCCTATCCCAGAAGCCTCATCTTCTAGCATAAAGTCAAATAAGCCTCTCTGTTGAAACGGTCCAGCCCAGGAAACTTGTGCAAGCAGAAGGAGGATGATAGTGGCCTTCATGATTTATCTCATGTATTTTCACAACCAGGGAACCTAGGAAACAAATGAGAGATTTAAGAAGAGTAGCACTGCCTAATCTGTGTGTCGTTTCTTATATAATATGCCACAATACAGTGAGCACAGAGAAAAGATGCAAAATAATATTTCATTTGTTATCAGGAAGCAGAGCATTAAAAATGTATTGAAAGACAATCAGGTACATTATAGTATCATTTGCACAGCTATTTACTTAGGATGAGAAATCTGAGTATTATTTAAATCTGCTTGTTTGAATTTTGGGTCTAAACTAAGATGATATACTATATATCCAAATCATTTGCAAAATTGTCATGGTAATAAATCATGTTGGGCTTTTCAATGCTCACTTAACACATGGTCAGATAAAATTATCTCTATCCACATAGGAGATCTCCAATTTCTGCTTCAGAAATATCTCTGGAAGCCAGTCACATCTCTCCATCCTACCACAATTATTTTGATCCAGGCCCTTCTCATCTCTCCCTAAACTACTACAAGAGCTTCTAATTCATCTCTGCCTTGCATATTTCCTCTATTTCAGTCCATCTTCCATTTTGCTGCCTGAGTCATCGTCTAAAAATTCAATTTTGTCTTATTAATTTCTACTATAAACCATTTATTAACTTCCTATGGCTTATCAATACTGTCCACAGTCCCTGTGCTGTATGTCAGACCACTCATAAATTGGTATGAATTAATAGCTCTAGCCACATTCCTTTTCATTGTCACTCCATTCCCAGTCCTCACCTGAACCCTGACAATCAAAGCTACTTGCCATGTAGAATACCGACCTTGCAAGAGAGTTGTAAAGATTAAATGAGATAGTGGGCTTCTCTTCTGTGTCCCCTGGCTCATCCAGGCAAGATGCTGCTTTCTCCCTCTTCTCTGCTCCCAAAGCACGTTGCTCTTACCTCTTTTAAAGAACTTATCACATTATATTGCAATTTGTTTTGCGTGCTTGGTCTGTCCCTCACTAGACGATGTACTCCTTCAGGGCGTGTCTTATTATTCCTTGTTCTGTACCCGGGCCTTGCACAATATTTTGCACACAAATGACTCAATTGACCATCACTTTATTGACAAGACGATTTATTCCATTTGTTCCAAGCAATCAGTCTGATTTTTTAAAACACAAAATTAGCTTTTTTTCAGTATCGAATTTCTGATATAAAAAAAGCAGATTGAAAACCTCAACTTGGTATAAGCAAGATCGGCTTTAAAAAATAAATCAATTTCCTAGTTTCTCAAACATTATGTTTAATAAGCTAATAAACACATATGGAAAATTCTGATTTTTATGTGATGTATATATGATCTCATTTTGCTAACAGGGCATTTTGTAAAAAAACAAGTATTGTTTTGATAAATGTATTCCATATTTATCCATTCATTCCACAAGCACGAATCTATGTTGTTAAATCAACTGAAGTGCACTAAATAAATCTGAGTGACAAAATCGTAATAAATCTGAATAACAAAAGTACTTGATTATATAGCAGCAAAGTCATTTGGGAGATGAAATATTTTTTAAATTGCATTGAAACCATTCTGATATCTCCAAAACATAGTAGATATTTAGTCCCATCATAGCAGATATTTAGTCCCATCATCTCTACCTTGAATTGTACACTTAGACGAATCCATATTAAAGCTGTACGTTCGTAAGTAGAATCTTACAGCTGTTTTGAGTCATTATCCAATTGTAGCATATTAAAAAAAAGAAGAAAGAAAGAAGGAAGGAAGAAAGAAAGAAAGAAGGAAGAAAGAAAAGGAAAGAAAGAAAGAGAAAAAGAAAGAAAGGAAGAAAGTGAAAGAAAGAGAGAGAGAGAGAGAAAGAAAGAAGAGAAGAGAAAAGAAAGATCTTTGTATGATCTAACCTTAAGGTATCTTCTGGGAATTTTTGCCTAGATTCTCTAGAGAAGAAACAAATGTTTTTCAGTTTCTTACATGTTTGTTCTTAGTTTATATTTACTACTGATATGTGTCTAAGGCAGCACATGTTGAATACAGGCTTGTGGCTTTTCATTTAACAAAATATCATAAAGATTATTATTCACACTGCCACTTTAAGTTCAACATTAAGCTTCTTCTAGCAGCCCACTCTCATTCAGTTACTGAGTATCCCTTTAAGAGAAGACTTTTGTTTTGGCAGCCTGTTCCTTTGGATTGTATCTGAGGGAGTGGTTTTGTATCTGTTTCCCATTAAAAATGCAATGTTTATGGTTTACCACAAGCTTGCTAGCCTTGCATATTTAATGTCTTACAAGTTTAAAAGAAAAATGAAGCAAAGTCATTGCAGATTTAATAAATAGCAACGACAGTTAATGCAGATGTCACTTTGAAATCTTTTCTCCAGAGCAGAACATGCCTGGTTGTTTCACTAACAACCCACAAAAAGAAAATGTTGAGTATTAGCTGAGAGAAATAGTATTATAATTTATGTTTGTTTACTCCTGTTAAAATGGTACAAATTCTCCAAACAATATTCTTTTTGATTGAAGCTGAATATAGACAGGCAGCTTATAACTTCAATCACCGACCTTTATTTCATTTTCATTTGCTCGTGTGTGTGTGTGTGTGAGAGAGAGAGAATGTATGTGTGTGTGTTCATGTGTGTGTGACAGAGAGAGAGTGTATGTGTGTGTGTGCATTTAACCCTGACTGTACTGTGAAAAAATAATTGCATGTCCAGAAACTTTGTGCAAAATCTTCCATAAAATCATCTGTTTTAAATTAGTGTCATGGTACTTCAAGACCCAGCATCTTAAAACATTTAATGTGGGCTGTCAATACTGATAATTCCTTTCGTCATTTCCTTCTTTCCTTAATTAATCAGAAATATAAAGAGCAAAGAGCAGCTGTCCAAGTAGTAACCAAAGAGATTGTTATTGAGATGATATGCTGTTTAAATTATACTGAAACTGTTTTAAGTAGTCTAAAAATGCATGACAATGTCCAAGATGCTAATTACTAATGTAATATCACTACTCCACTGAAGCTAGTTGCCATAGTTTACAAATGTTTTACCAAAAATAATAATTTCTGGTTCCTAAAACTAGTTAAGCCCATTAAATGAAGTATGTCATCCAGATCAACATTTGCATTATGTTATCTATGCCTCTGGTGTCACTTTCAAAGTCAAAATTTAACCCTCAAGAGATAAGTGAAGCTATAAATGCAAAACAAAATTAAAATCCTACAGCACTAGATGATTAAAAACTTCAATTATAATATATGTAATTTTAAAATAAAGAATAAAGGCGGCATTTATCCACAAACAAGGGTTACTATAGGAGGCATTTGGCTCTTTTCTGGTTAGAAACAGCAACAGGAAAAAAAAAAGCCACAGGTATTTACATCACTGGGAGCCCACTTAATCAGTGGTCACTGTGTTACCCTGTTTTAAAATTAGAAAATTAACCCACATCCTCATTTTATAGTGAATGTATCTTAAAATTTCACTTGCAGTGAAGATACTGACTGGGACACTTTACATTTAAGAAATTATACAGCGTTTTTAGTATCTTAGGCATTTAATAACATAAATATTTTCAATGTTTATTTTCACTTCTCTGGTGATAATTTCTGTTCATTTCTGGGGTTGAAGAAATATACATTAGGTATTTTCAGCTAATCACCAGAGTTCAGTTCTTCTGGGCTTTTAAAAGTCCTTAAAGCAATCAAAAATTCAGGAGAAAAATACATTTTTTAAATATATAGGTCAATTACAGATATGCTACTTCAGAATACTTTTCGGTTACCATCTCTTGAAGAGCTAAACATTCATTAATACAAACACAAAAACATTAATATAGAGAGTCATGGTGTTAGGTTACAGTTTTTTAAGAAGCATCTTTGCAAAAACAGAAGAGAAAGAAATAAAACAATGCATTCAATCATTTTATCAAATATTTAACTTCTGTTTTCAAATAATACTTGTTTAAAATGTTGCATAAAAACTATAAAAGTTTAACAGTTTTTTTTTTCCTTTTCTTTTTCTCACCAAATAATCCCTTTTGCTCGCAACTTGACCGAAGTTTTATTAGTCTGTAGCAGAGTTCAGGACAATTATTGAAAACCATACCTTTTAATCCGGGAATTTGCCACAGGAGCCCTCAAAGCTGAGATGTAATTACACTAAATATTCAGCCCAAGTAAAAGAGTTTGCAGGTGTGGAAAGGAGGAGGGGGTAGGTGCTGCTCTGTGACTAGGTTGAAAACCTCCTGCTTCTACTCCATAGCACAGTTAAAAAATAAGGTTTCCCTCAATGAACACAATCCGGCTGACACCCACATTAGATCATATGGTAATGATATGTCTCTTGTATTGTAGCCAGAAACTTTATCGGCCTTTTTTTTCCTCCCATTTGCTTTATTCTTTTTGCATCTGCTTAAGATTCTAAACTGCTTATGCAGTATAGTGGAGCAACTTGATTTGAAATTTGTCTTATTGTAGATTCATTTCCCTAAGATATTGTAACTAAAGGGTTTGTTTCCCCACCCCCCATCTCATTTCATTCTCCACCCTTTCTAGCCTTGTTTACAAGTAGCATTTATTATACTTCCAAAATGACATTTTTTTCTTGCTTTTGGGATGTGTAAGTCCAGAAAAATGGAATGAAATTAATCTTGTAGTTGTTTTAAATGTGGACTGCAAAAATAAATGAGTAGCCTTATGTGAAACTACTCATTCGGATTCCTACTTGCCTTGGAATGTTTGTGTAAATTCAAGCACTATGCTGTGGAGTTTTTCTGTATATTTTGGACATATTTCTAAAGTGTCCTGAAAGAAAGTCATGGTTTTATATGAAAAGTATGTCATCTATCACTTTCATTAATCATAGTTTAAAATCTTTCTCCCTGTCCACCAGTTTTTAAATAAAATACATAGATAACCTGTAGTTGATCACAACATAGTTTCATCCTCTATATATGAAAAATTTGATTTTCATAGATTATACTTTTATGTAAACTAGAACTTTGAAAAGGCAATAGAGTCTATGTGTCTTTCCAAATTTCAGTAAATGAAAAGAAAAACAAGTGCAACTACAAGGAAAGGTATTTATTTAGCCACTGGAAATCTTTTTTGAGCTTTTATAATTCCCTTGCTGGATGCTGTTAGTTGTCTCTGTGTAGGTCTCTGTGTTTTGACTTGTATCATTATGCTCTGGCCCCTAGGCTGTTACCAGGTGGAAACTGGAAATCAACAGTTTGAAACATGAGATGATCCCCCTCCCATCCTCCAGCCTCCTTCCTTCCCTCCTCCAGCCATCAAAGTATATTCTTCCACAGTAAATATTCTTTTTCCTCAAAAAAACTTAGAGAAATTAAATTCTCAAGTGGTATCTAAGGAGGGGGAGGCGTGTTACCACGTTATAGTTTGCCTTATTTCCTAAGCCCAGCCTCTCAGATAAACAATTTACCCTACTCTGCATCTCCTTAACATTTAATAACCACATATCTAGTTATTCTGATAGTTTAGACAAAGGCAAGCACTATTGTCCCTGGACATTGGTGCAAAAGTCCATGATCCCCTTTACTTGGAATTTATTAATTTCCTTTCTGAACTCTCCTTATATGGCATTTATCTCTTTTTGATGACATATAATCACTCCTGCCTCATATTATAATTATTTATGTACGTGTCTTACTCCAAGGGAGGAATGACATTGTGTTCATGTTTGTAGAATCCCTGCACCCAGAATAGCCATGGTATATACTAAGTTACCAAGATACATTTGCTAAATTAGTAAAGACAATCAAATGATTGGCTATGGACCGTACCCGGACTGGTGTTTTGCCCCAATCCTGGCTTACTGTTTATCAAAACTTAACCCTACTAAAGTGTATATGACAAATTATGGCCATCATTACAAGACAGAGAGAGAGAAAAGGAAGTATTAAAGAAAAAGTAGAAGAAGAAAAATGAGGAGGAGGAGAAAAAAAGACATAATGCCTTTTTATGTAGATAATTTTACTTTTATAAAAGCAGAACCATTATGGTTAAGATTTAGATCTTGTTCCTTCCCCCCGATAGTAAGCTATATGAACTCAGGCAACTTGCTTAACCTCTCTGAATTTCAGTTTCCATATCTGAAAAATGGATACAAATTCTTACCTAACTCATAGTGTTGGAGTGGAGATTAAATAAGGCAATATATATAAAACACTTAACTCAGAACTTAATCCTTATAAGTGAAAATCTCTGTAAATGCAAGCTTTTATTATGTCTTGACATATTTCAAAACAATCCTTTGAGTTAGACAAGATAAGTCATATTTACTATTTCTGTTTTACAAATGAGAAAATTGAAGCCCAGTGACTTGCCCAAGTTCACAGAGCTGGCAAGAAACAAAGCAGAAACTAATATCCAGGTCTTCTCATGCCTAATCCACTTTTCATTACTAAACTATACTAAACTATAATGTATCTTAAGAAAGAGGAAGCAAATTCTTACATATAGAAAAGTAATTATCAAAGTTTTGAGATAACATCTTTTCAGACTATTTTACAAACCATGACCAAGTTGCAATGCTTTTAAAACTTTATTTAATTTGTTCAGGAACAAATAAAAATTTTCTTTTTGTTGTTGTTGTTTGGAAAGAAACTCACCTCCAAAATCTCAAGCATTTTACCAAACATCATCATATTTAAAAGCTGCATCTTTAATCACAAGTTACATCTATCGTCATACTCATTTTTCAGTAGAAGAAACTATGTCCCAACAAAGTCATACGCAGTTAAGTCACCAAGAGGTCATGACACTATGACCAGAAACCAGGTCTCTTGCAATCCAACATGAAATGGAACCATTTTAAGACTAGAAACAGCACTGTGCACAGATTGCTTAAAGTCATTCTGGCTTGGAATGTTTGGGGTAGGATTCCCTGAATCCCTGGCTGACATATAGATATGTGAAATATTCCAATTCAGAGCACATCCCACATCTACTGTTAAACTACTTAAACTTTGATTTCTACTGACAACCCACTAGCTAACAGGGTTAACTGTATTCTGCACATTGTCGAAGTTCATTTCAGGGCCATTCTCTCTCATTGACATCACATACAAAGTATTTAATTGTACCTGCCCATTAAGGATATGAAGAATGCCAGAGCTTAGAAAGGTCTCCTTCTGACACCCCTTTACTTTCTAAGAGGTCTAGAGGCAAGTGATTATCTTCACAATCCTGATGTGACTGGTTTGTCTGTAGACTGACTCTGCAAAGTCAGATCTGGGTCTGGTGTGAATTGTCTGGCTCTGTAGTTGCCACTGTAGACAGAGTTCTTCCCTAGCCAAGAAAGATGACTAGCGTGGAACTGAGGGCACTTTGAATACAGAATAGCTTGAAAGAAAATTTGGTGTAGACAACTTTTACCTTGGCTATCTTCCCATGCCTCTATTCCTCCATCCCTTACCATTGTGTTTGGTGTCCTGGTACCTTGTACAAGTAACTTAACCTCTTTGTTCTCCAGGTTTTTAACCTATACAATGTGAGTAGCCACAGTGGTATCCCCTTCATGAGTTTATAGTGAGGTTCAAAGAAGTTTAATACATAAAACATTTAGAACTGTGCCTGACACATCTCAAGCAACACTTGTTGCTTCCGCTGCTGCTTCTCTTGTGTTTTTTGTTATTACAAACTTTACCTTGGACACTCCAGTACAATAACCAGACTGCACATCTTTTATAGTCCAGTGGATTTTCTGCCTAACAACAGAAGAAATCAGCTAAGCTATGATATAGTTTGGAGCTAGATAAGCTTTCGTTTAAGCCTTGACTTTGTGTTGTTACATAACAGCCTGGCTTTCTTTATGCATAACATTTTATTGGGCTCCAAGTCCAGCTGAAATCCATTCATGGACTTTATAAGGAAACAGAGACTCCAGGTTAAGAATTTCTACTCTGAGCAGTAAAGTAGAAATGGGAATAGAGACAGGGAAAGGATAAGTAATGAATTAAAATAGATTAAAAAGTATCAAGGAGATATTCAGTTCCTTAATTTCCTGACTTTTCTTGAATGCTCTGGGGCATCTCTTTTGTCAGTTGTAATTAATTAAAAGATTAATTATTATTTCCATAATATTGATTAGTTTGTACTTGGACAGTAAATCAACACTTATTGAATATCCATTAGTCTGCACAAGGTACATACCTCTCTGTTAAATACAAGGAAATTTACAATAACTCATCAATCAATTAATCAAAAAATATAGACTGAGGAACCACTGTGGGAGGAAGTGTTATACCAGGCCCCATGGAAGATACCAAGAAATACAAAGTACGATGTGAAGGGCATAGCCTCAAGGGAAATATGTTGCATAAGGAGATATGGCATAAACTATAGATTTGTATAATAATATTTTAGCTTTAGCATACCAGAAAACTTATAATGTATAATTCCCGGCCAAAGTAAAGTATGATGTAATTAAAATAATTGTCTTAGAAAGTCAGAGAAGGGATTGAGGGATGGATCACTTTACATTTGAGTGGTTAGGTAAGTGTTTATAATGAACAAGGTACAATTTGAGCTAAATCCTGAGGGATGAAAAGAATATGCATGGAGAGAAAAGAAAGAAATGGCTTTTTATGTTGGCAAAATGACACTAACAAACCTTGGCAATGGGAAAGCAGAAGACAATAAATAAATCAATGTGGCTTAAGCAGATACTTTCTTTCAAAGAAGCCTTGAGTTCCTTTATTTCTTTGAACATTCAGTAACTCTCATGGTATCTGACATGTCAAAGTCACACAATAAATTAATGTCCCATGTTTATGGAAATAACTAAAAGGAGATAATGAAATAAATGAGGGTAAGGTCTAACTGTGGAAGGACTTGAAATTCTCCCATGGAGCACTTATACATTTATTCATTCATTTGTTCATCAAATATTAATTTGTTGATGAATATGTGCCAATTATTATGCTTGAATCTAGATGTTATCAAAGGTAATTGAATGAGGTAATAACATGATCCAATTATTATTTTAGAAAATCAAATCTAGCAAGCACATGTAGAGTGGTGAAACTAGAGTCAAGGAAACTAGTTAGAAGGTTGTAGTTTTAATCTCAGTATATTAATATCTTAGTAAGGGGAAGGAAGATAGATGAGCATGGCGAAAATAGAGCTACTTCTCAGGAAGATGATGTAATACATTAAAAAGAAAAGTTTGGAGTACTCATTCTGCACCAGGCACCATGGTACATAGTCAATTTTAAAAGCACAAATAATGTGTGATGAGGCAGCGTACTCTGAACACTGCCCTCTGCACCACTCTAACCAACACTTCTGCCATTGTAAGTGATAGCAGGAAAAGTTGACTTCTTTGTTTGCATTTTCATCTCCAAGGATGCTTCCAATGGAAAGGAAGAACAAACAAAAATGATTACGTTAACTAAACTTCTTGATGTATGTGAAAATTATAAGAAATTACTCATTCTATGTGAGTTCAACTTTACTTTTAGGGTACTAAAATAATGTATCGTCTTGAAAGGGACTCTGGTCTGAGCAATGCTGGAGAATCACACAATCTGAATTATAGAATGACAGAAAGAAGGAAAGGTTCATATGGAATTTTCCCGATTGGCTGGTTTTTCACATGGGAAAGGACCTTGTGTTGAATGAAAGCTTCTTGCACTGAGTGATGGCAAAAATTTTGACATTTTACAGATGAGGTGATCTTTGGAACTGCGTATACTGGGAGTGAGGGAAAACTACAAAAGAGAATGATAAAAGCCAGACATTACCTGGAAGACTCCTTCCTGGGTCCTGCTCCTGCCTTTTTGCGTGTTAGTTGAATATGCTGCTGAAACCAGGCCTGCCACCATATACCTGCCAAAATAGACCCTTTAACAATGCCTTACCTCCTTTTCCAACAAAGAAAAATGCCCTGTGTGAAGTCGGAAGTTGAGGCCAAGCACAAGATACGATATAATAGAATAGTGTGGAATGCCTGACATATGGAAAACAAAAAAGACCCTGTATTTGTGATTTCCTTCAACAAAGATCTCTTCTCTTCACTAGCTTTTCAGGAAGGTAGCATAATGCAGCAGTTCAGCATGCAGACCAGGGGCCAGATTGCTTATGCTTGATTCTCATCTCTGCCACTGGCTATCTGTGTGACCTTAGGGACCTTCTCCATGGATAGTACCTGCTTCAGATGAGAATAAGATGAGTCAGTATATGTAAAGGTTTAGAACAGAACTGTCATATAAGACAAACTCTGTTAAGTTAATGACACATAAATAAAATTTCAGGATGGATTGAAGATTTTAAGAGATTGTTTTCTTTTTCTACTTGCCTTTTATTCACACTCTAACCTGAAAGTTATGTCCTGTTTAGTTTGGAGCATTCAAATGCAGGTCATGTCTGTGCAGCATGTATTTACTGTAGAGCCCCTATTTGGTGTGTAAATATTCTCCTTTCAATTTACCCAGTATCTTAGGAAAAGTAAATGCTCCACCACAGGGTACAGCCTTGCAGAATTTAAGTAGGCAAATGAATGAAAAGTTTTATTCTAATGTTGGTAGTATAAAATAATGACTTAGTTTAGGAACTTTTTCTGAGATAGTTTCAGCCCCTTGAGAACTATTTGATTTGATTCAAGTTGCTCCTTCAAAGGCAATAATTCATCCCTTGCAATTTGCCTTTTTGAGATTATTTCTCTAATAATTCATGACATGATTTTTTGATGCAGATATATATTAACTTGACAACAAAGTAAAACATGCTATTTGAATCATGAGTGTTTTTATTTTTGGAAATAATCCTGTATCTTGTATAGATCCTTTTCTACTACCTGAGAAAATAGGCTGCTTGAAAATAATTTATGTGCCCATTCTTTATAGAATAATGTCTGAGCTTATCATTTATAAAAGCATTAAATCACCAATATGCAAGCTTCCTTTATAATTATGAGCCTATGGGGGCAAGAAGAGAAAACTGGGGCATGATCACATTTGGTGTTTCAGGTTTAAATCTCTTTGGAGCTTTCTTCATCAAAAGATTGGCTTCTTATGAAACATCTTCATTCCTGGAGGCGATTTTCAATAACTTTTCTAGCATTACTCATCGTCTACGACAATTCAAATCCAACTAGAAACAGAGTATTTAATTCTTTCCATGGGCCAAGAACCATAGAAGTTTGTGCTATCAAAACACTCTCCAAATAGGTGATTTGTTAACCCTCTGAATGATAAGAACATTATGTGCCTGTCACTGGAAAGTAAAACCACATAGGGAAAGCTGCTGAGAGATTACAGGAAATACTGTGAAGGTTTTTTGTTTTTATTCCATGTAGTTGCAAATCTTGACTGCTGCTAGCTGACAATTAAAATGTGGTAGTACCAATGTTACATTAACTCGTGCTTAATGATGCCATTGCAAATGCGGTGGTTTAAATGACTCCTTTGTGTATGTGTGCTTTTCATTGTGGTAAAAATATACATAACATGAATTTAACCATTTTATATTTAAGTGTTCATGTTAGTGGAATTAAGTATATTTACATCATGCAACCATCACCACTATCTATTTCCAAAAGTTTCACTACATCCTAAAGACTCTGCATCAATGAAACAATAACCTCAGATTTCCTTTGTTCCCACCTCCAACCACTTATACCCTCTATTCTGCTTTCTGTCTTCATAAATTTGCCCATTTCAGATACCCCATATGAGTAAAATCATAGAGGTTTTCAATTTAGAAAAAAAAAAAGCTTTCTGTATTCATTTCTTTGTTTTGTGCTAGAATTTGTTTTTTCAAATTTAAGTGGGAGGAGAGTGAAATGGGAAGAAACTATCAGAGGCAAGGGAGGAGACAGCACTATGAGGCTTCAAGGGAAAGACTTCTAGGAAGACAGGCATGGCTTTAGTCAGTAAGCACTGGGAATTTGCTATGGTTCTTTAAAGGTGCAATTTGGAGAGGCTTAACATTTTTTTATTAAAATCTGTACCACACAGAAACATAGCAATTAAAATGTACAACTGTTCTGTAAAAATAATTCATCAAAGAAGCTCTAATGTCACCAAATGTTTGTTTACAAAATATGCACTGTGGACATAATTTGGAGACCAGCTAAGGTATGTGGTGGGATGACACTGACTCCCTATTAACAGGCCGTATTTTAAGTTCTCTAATCAGTATTCACAATAAGGCTTCAGTAACATACCTGTCTTGTCACAGCAGTTTTATGAAAAAAAGGAAAGGATATATCTTGTGACTATACAGTTTAACTAACTTGTCATAGTCAAATAAAAGCTTTAATCTTGGTCTTACGAGAAATATTTTCCAAAAAAAAACTATTTTATGGAACAACTTAATAAATATCTTCCTAAAATAATAATATCTATTGCTGTACAGTGTTGTTGTTTTTTTTTTAAATATTGAGTACTTTGGGCCAGGCACGGTGACTTACGCCTGTAATCCCAGCACTTTGGGAGGCCGAGGCGGGCAGATCACGAGGTCAGGAGATCGAGACCATCCTGGCAAACACGGTGAAACACCATCTCTACTAAAAATACAAAAAGATTAGCTAGGTGTGGTGGCGGGGGCCTGTAGTCCCAGCTGCTGGGGAGGCTGAGGCAGGAGAATGGCATGAACCCGGGAGGCGGAGCTTGCAGTGAGCCGAGATCGCGCCACTGCACTCCAGCCTGGGCGACAGAGTGAGACTCCATCTCAAAAAAAAAAAAAAAACACAAAAACTGAGTACTTTGAAATTAAAAACAAATGACTTAAATGTCTAAATTTAAGCAACAGAAATAATTTAAATATTATGTAAAGAGTTTTAGAAAAAAATCAGTACCAGACAAAATTTGCCTAAGGTTACTTTCATTTGCAGTTTTAAAACCATAATTTAGCTCACCCCACAGTTAAATCATGCTAAGCATTCTTAGATGTGGCTCCCAGAATGCAAACTCCATAAAAGCAAGGATATTGTCACTTTGGTTCACTTTTGTATTTTGCATGCCTAAAACAGGCATGGCACATGGTAAACCTAAATAAATAGTTGTTGATTATTAGCCCTGTAGAGGTCAAGATTCTTCAAACCCCGAGGCATATACATTCAATTTTTCCATGTTACATCCCTTTAAGCAGCTAGAAGAATCTGTCTTTGCTGGCAAAAGCCTGTTAGCTTGGCACTGGTTCAAGTCCAAGCTCTACTCAAGCTGAATATCCCTTCAGAATGGCAATTTTTGACATCTCAGTCCATCCAGTGCCATGCCAGGTCCCATAGTTGAGATTTCACCATACCAACTGGCTCTGCTCAAAGTTTCACAAATGATCCCCCAGGCACCCACCAATTAAACTGCAAAACCCTACTTGTCTGTACTTCCTGTTGCCTCTCCACTTTTATTTCCATACCTCAAGGCTTTTGCCAGAAGCAGGATTTCCCCACAACTGGGTAATCCTCAAAATGCAGTCAGTTAACAACTTCATAACCTTTTTCAAGTATTCTAAATGATAAAATCTGCAAAATCTTATCATTATAAAGTAGTTATATTTTATGTGATACGTTAAAATACATATGTAATAATTATGAAACTATTTATCTATGTATCATCTAAATTCATGTTACCTACTACCAATTGTATAGATTTTACTTTTTTTGAAAAATATTTAACATCCTTTAACCTGATGCTCTTAAAACCAAATTCCAAGACACTGTATTTAACTTAACATTGGTAACAATTAATTCCTAAAACATATCAGGTGTATAGATATTTGGAAGGTTTCTATCTGAAGACCCCTTTAGTTTGTTGGGATTATATCAGACACATAGTCTTAGTTCACCAACCTTATGAGATCATTCAAACCTCTATCTTTAATGTCACAAAAGATTCCCAATAATAGTGACATAGTTTGGATATTTGTTCCCACCCAAATTTCATGTTAAAATATAATCCCTGATCCTGGAAGTGGGGCTTGGTAGGAGCTATTTGGTTTATGGAGGTGGATCCCTCGTGTCGTGGTTCTGTCTTTGCCATGGTGAATGAGTTCTCTTGAGATCTGGTCATTTAAAAGCATGTGACATCTCTCCTGCCACTCCCACCTCTCACTCTTGCTCCTATTCCAGCCATGCAAAGTGCTTGCTACCTCTTCACTTCCTGCCATGATTGTATGATTGTAAGCTTCCTGAGGCCTCCCCAGGAGCCAAGAAGATTCTAGCACCATGCTTCCTGGAAAGCCTGCAGAACTGTAAGCCAATTAAACCTCTTTTCTTTATAAATTACCCAGTCTCAGGTATTTCTTTGAGGCAATGCAAGAACAGCCTAATACAAAAAGCCATCTAAAGATTATACTAATCTTATGTCTTATGTGTTACTTCTACTACATATGGACCCCGAACATTCAAACTTCTCAAAATGGTATAGAGGTTTATCAAAAAACTAAAAATAGAACTACCATACAATCCAGCAATCCCACTTATGGGTATATATCCAAAGGAATTGAAATCAGTGTGTCAAAGAAATTTCTGTATTCTCATGTTCATTACAACACTATACATATGGAAGATACGGAATCAACCTAATTTTTCATCAACAGGTAAATAAAGAAAATGGTATATATACACAAAGCAGTACTACTGAGCCTTAAAAAAGAAGAAAATCTTGTCATCTGTGACAACATGCATGAACCTGGAGGACATTATGGTAAGTGAAATGCTCCAGACACAGAAAGACAAATACTGCATAGTCTTATTTGTATGTGGAATAAAAAACATTGAATTCATGGAAGTAGAAAGTACAACTGTGGTTATCAGAGGCTGGGGGTGCAAGTTATGGGGAGGAGGCAATGGAGGGATGTTGGTCAAATGGCACAAAATTTCAATTGGGGACTACGCTTTTGAGCTATATTGCACAGCAGTGTAACTATAGTCAATAATGTATTATATTTTTCAAAATAGCTAAGAGAGTAAATTTCTAGTGTCTCCCAACAAAAGTGAGGTGATAGATATGTTAATTCACTTAATTCAATCATTCACATTTTATTCATAGTGAAAACATCACATCATACCACAAAATGTATAGAATTATAATCTATAAATTAAAATAATATTAATAAAAATAAAACAAAACTTCTAGTGCTCTCCCACCATCCCACTTCCCTCTGCATAGCCTGGTCCATCCAGGTTGCAAAATGACAAAGTTTGTTTACAAAGAGGAGCATCCCTTAGAAGAGTACTGCTCTGAGGGTGAGAAGATCCAAAGGAAATATTCAGAACTAGCAGGAGGTAGTGGAAAAGCCTCCCAAAGCTCAGATGGGAGATCTGGACAAAAAGAAATACATGATGCTTTCTCATCTCACAGTTGGTCAGTTCTACCTTTTGATCTGGAAGTGAACTCATCTCAAATTGGAACTCATCTTATATTCAATATACTATCAAATTACATTGTATTGATAGTATATTGAAATAATAGACTTGGCTAACAAACTTATACATGAGTGTTTATATATTTTTCATAGGATATAAATGCCAAATGGGCTATATTATAGCATTTTATTATAAAGTATAATGAATTGTAATATATTGTAGGGGTTTTCAAACATGCTACCCTTTGAGGGTTGAAGGAAAATGTGGCTGATTCTTACCCAAACCTCCTACCACTAAGAAAAGGTCTATAAAGATATAATAGTTCTGAACAGTCATTTCATAGTATACATACGAAGAAAGCATATATGAATTTCTCACATTTACAAACATCTCTAAAGGAAGGGATACAATATAAAATAGAATATATAAAAAATGTATAAAATTACATTTATCATGTCAATTTATTTTTATTTGGCTCTTAGTCAAACTAAAGAAGCAAAATTTTTCTAGTTTCCTAAAGCAAAATTAAGGCTATTGAATTTAGATATTTCTTATTTTCTCATTAAGCAATTAATGCTACAAATGTCCTTCTTAGCACTTTCACTGCATCCCACAGATTTTTATATGTTGTCTTTTCATTTACGTTTAAATACTTCCAATATTTATTAAATTTTCTCTTTAGATATCTTCTCTGACTCAAATGTTACTCAGAAGTGTGTTATCTAATTTCAAATATTTGGAAATTTGCCAACTATCTTTCTGTTTCATTTCTATTTTAATCCTATTGGGTTTGAGAAAATACTTCGCATGCCATCTAATCTTTTAAACATGTTAAAGCATATTTGATGTTCCAGAATGTGGTCAATCTTGATTAATGTTCCATGTGAGCTTGAGAAGAATGTATACTGTGCTATTGTTGATTGGAGTATTCTATAAATGTCAATTAGCCCAAGTTGATTGACAGTGATGTTCACCTTAAATATATTCTGATTTTCTGCTTGATGATCTATCAGTTATTAAGAGAGAGGTGTTGAAAGTTTCTGCTATAATAGTATATTTGTCTATTTCTCCTTTCAATTTTGTCAGCTTTTGCCTCATGTTTTTTTGACACTGTTTTGGGGTATATACACATTTAGAAAAAATTAAAATGGACTTTATCATTATGTAATGCCCTCGTTTATCCATGATAATTTTCTTGTTCTGAAGTATACTTTGTTAGAAATTAATTCAGCTACCTTAGCTTTCTTTTGATTATTGTTGGCATTGATATATCTTCATCCATGCCCACACTTTGAACCGATCTATTTATTTTTAAAGTTGGTTTATATTACACAACAAAAAGTTAGGTCTTGCTTTTTTATCCACTCTGACAATCTGTATTTTAAGTGGTTTTTTGATCATTCATATTGAGAATTATTATTAATATAGTTGGGTTAAGATCTAATATGTTTGTAACTTTGTCTTTTTGTTGCCTTTTTTCTTTTTTTTCCTTTCCCACTTTCTCTGGTTTTAAGTGAGCATCTTATATAATTCCATTTAATCTCCTGTCTTAGAATATATATATATATATATATATATATATATATATATATATATATATATATATTTAAATTAATGATTTCCTTAGAGATTTCAATATACATTTTTAACTAATCTAATTTTCATTCAATAACACTACGACACTTCACTTGTAGTACAGGTTCCTTATAACAGACTATTCTCAAATCCTTCTTCCTCTCCCTATGATATTCATTTCATTCATTGCACTTACCCATATGCTATAATCACACAATAACTTGTGCCTATTATTATTTTTAAGGAATGGTTAATTTTAGATCAAATGAAAATAAGAAAAGTAAAATATTTTTATCTTTTTTGTTATCTCTGAGGCTTTTCTTTTGTGTATGTAATCAAAGCTTGTGACTCATATAATATTATTTCTGCCTAAAGAAAAATTTTAACAGTTTTTGCATGCAGGTGTGTTGACCATGGGTTCTTTACATCTTTCTTTGTCTGAGAAAGTCTTTATCTCTCATTCACTTTGAAGGATAATTATGCTGGATATAGAATTATTGTCTGAGCTTTTTTTTTTTTTCTTTCAACACTTTAAATATTTATCCCACTACATTCTTCCTTGCCTACTCAATTAATCCATCCTCAAGGTGCTAATAAAGACATACCTGAGACTGGCTAATTTATAAAGGAAAGAGGTTTAGTGGACTCACAGTTCTACATGGCTGGGGAAGCCTCAAAATCGTGGTGGAAGACAAAGGAAAAGCAAAGGAACATCTTACATGGCAGTCAAAAGAGCTTGGGCAGGGGAACTCCCATTTATAAAACCATCAGATCTCATGAGGCTTATTTACTAACATGGGAACATTACAGGGGAAACTGCCCCCCTGATTCAACTATCTCCACCTGGCCCTGACACGTGGGGATGATTACAATTCAAGGTGAGATTTGGGTGGGGACACAGCCAAACCATATCACCTGCTTTGGGACAAGAATTCCACTGTACTCTTGTTCCTCTGTAGGTAGGATGCAGCATTTTCCTCTGAAATGTTTTAAGATATTTTTTCTTCTCTGTCTTTTATAGGGGGAAGTAGGGGTTCAAAGTTGAATATGATTTGCCTAGATTTGTTTTTGGTTTTGTTTTGGTATCTATCCTGTCTAGTGTTCTCTGAGCTTCCTGAATTTATGATTTGGTGTCTATCATTAATTTTAGAAGGTTCTCAGATATTATCGTTTCAAATATTTCTTTCTTCTTCTGGTACTCCAATTATGTGTATGTTACACCTTTAAAATTGTCCACATTTTAAAACTTACTTATTTTTTTCTCCTCAATTATTTTTTCTCATTGAATTGCAGGTTAGGAATTTTCTGTAGACCCATTTTCAAGCTCAATGATTCTTTCCCCAGATGTATCTAGTCTACTAATGAGCCTGTCACAGACATTCATTTCTGTTACAGTGTTTGCAATTTCTAACATTTCTTTTGGATTCTTTTTCAAGGTTTCCATCTCTCTGCTTACATTACCTAACTGTCCTTGCATGTTGTCTATGTTTTCCAGTAGAGCTTGTAACATTATCATAGTTTTTAAAAAATTTCCTGTCTGATAATTCCAACATATGTGTCATGTCTGAGTTTGGTTCTGATGCTTACTTGCCTCTTTAGACTTTTTTTTTTTTGCTTCTGCCTTGTCATTTTTTATTAAAAACTAAGCATTTTTTATTGATTAATAGGAATGAAGGTAAATAGGTTTTTAGTGTGAGGATATATGTAAATTTTCTTAGGTTTTGAACTGTATCAATATTTGATTTGGCTTTAAGTGACGACGTTTTCAATTCCCCTACTGTCCTTGTTTTGTCTCCCTGCTTGGCCTTGACTTTGCTTAAATACTACTCCTCCAAGAGGGTATGTGCCTCACAAAGCTTACAGCTGTAATCCACTGTTAAGCCTAATAAGAAATGGGGGAGATAAATCATTCTCTTCTACAATTAATTCTTAGTTTTACTGGACTTCTCAAGTATGTTTCTCCTGGTATAGCTTCCTACCTCCTTGATAAAACAGGAAGGCTAAAGGAGCTGGATTGGCAGGAAACCACTACCCTCAGCTAGGATACAACCCTGGTAATGTCTTCTCCGCTGGATAGTAGTTCTCTGTTACAGAGAAAACTCCAGATTTATTATACAATGACCATCTTCTGCCCATTCCAGAGCCATGAGGGACACTTACTTACATCTTCAACTTGAGAACTTGGTAAAGTTTCTAAAGGAAAAACCCATGAAAGTGCAGTCTACCCCTAAGACTACAGAACCCAGGAGTTTCTCACTTTCATGTTAGTCCATATTCAGCTTCCAGCAACCAATCAAAATTACCATTGAAGTGTTTATACCCAGGTTGGACTCCAGTGACTTTTGCTCCAGTTAAGCAGATCTCAGCTGTGACTCTCCGAATTCACCTATCTATCTATATTTTAGGTGGCATTTTGCCCTGAAACCTAAGTTTTCTGCCTGGAGCCAAGAAAGATTATTTGTATTTCAGTTTCTTCAGATTTTTTAAATTGTAAGGATGGAAGTTACTTCCAAGTTCTTTACATGCTGTTGCTGAAACCATAAATGCCATTTATTTTAAATTGGTGAACTTTGTCTTTCTTTTTAGCTTCCAAAATTCTACTGCTATAGTCTGCTTTCCTCTTTTCATTGTTCCTAGGTAGATCAATAGATAGATCATATAGATATAGATACAGATGATATAGATATAGTGGTGAGAACATGTAATATGAGATCTACTCTCAACAAATTTTTATGTGTACAGTACAGAATTGTTAACTACAGGCACAACATTGTAAGCAGATCTCTAGGAATTAATCACCTAGCATAACTGAAACTTATATCTATTGTATAGCAACTTTCCATTTCTGCCTCCAACTGTCTCCAGAAAACCACAATTCTACTTTCTATTTCAAAGAATTTGATTACTTTACGCACCTCATATAAATGGAATCAAGCAGTATTTGTCTCTTATGTCTGACCTGTTTCACATAGCATAATATTCTCAAGGTTTGTCTATGTTGTTGGATATGGCAGGATTCCCTTCTTTTTTAAAGCTGAATAATATTTCATTGCATGTGTATACCACATTTTCTTTACCCACTCATCTGTCAATGAGCATTTAGGTTATTTTCACATTCTGTTATTTTAAATAATACTGAAATGAACATAGGAGTGCAAATACAGTACACAAAGATTCCAATTTCTTCACACGGTTGCCAAAATCTGTTATTTATTTATTTTTTTTTGGCAACAACCACCCTAACAGGTGTGAAGTATTAGGTTGGTGGAAAAGTTATTGCAGTTTTGCCATTAAACGTAATAACATAACCATAATTTCTTTTGCACCAACCTAATAATATTGTGGTATTGATACAGATTTTCTTGATGATTAATGATGTTGAACATCTTTACATGTATCCATTGGCCATTTGTATATTTTCTTTGGGAAATGTCTATTCAAGTCCTTTGCTCATTTTTAAATCTGGTTATTTGTTTTCTTACTATTGATTTGGAAGATTTCCTTTTATATTTTTAATATTAACATGTTATCAGGTATGTAGTTTGCAAATATTTTTTCTGACTTCGTAGGTTGTCCTTTCACTCCATTAATTATTTCCTTAGCTGTGCAGAAGCTTTTTAGTTTTATGTTTTACCACTTGTTCATATTTGCTCTTTTTGCCTGTGCTTTTTTGTCATATCCCAGAATCATTGTGAAGACATATCATGAAGCTTTTCCCTATGTTTTCTTCAAGACAAGAGTTTCAGGTCTTACATTTAAGTCTTTAAAAAATTTTGAGTTGATTTTTGTATACTGTATAAGGTAGTGGGTCTGATTTCATTCTTTTGAATGTGGATACCTAGTTTTTCCAAGGCCAGTTGTTGAAGATAATATTTTTCCCCATTCTGTATTCTTGGCACCTTTGTCAAAGATCAATTTAACTTATTTATATGGATTTATTTCTGTACTCTCTATTAGGTTTCATTGGTTTATATGTCTGTCTTTATGCCAGTATCATACTATTTTAATTACTGTAGCTTTGTAATGTATTTTGAAATCAGGAAGTGTGATGCCTTCAACTTTGTTCTTTTTCAATGGCCTGAGGATTCTTCATGTGATATTTGTCTATTATCTCTTCTTTATTCCCATTGGCACTCCCTTGATTGAAGCTCTCTGTCACTATGTCTCGAATAAACTATTGTTATAATCTGCCTCCAATGTTATCTTCCCCTAATCCATCATCCATAAAGCTACCAGAGTGACATGTGTGACTTAATAATGTCTTTATAGACCAAGCATGATGCCTCATGCCTGTAATCCCAGCACTTTGGGAGGCCAAGGCGGATGGATCATTTCAGGTCAGAAGTTTGAGACCAGCCTGACCAACATGGTGAAATCCCTTCTCTACTAAAAATACAAAAATTAGCCGGATGTGGTGTGGTGGCACACACCTGTAATCTCAGCTACTCAGGAGGCTAAGGGAGGAGAATCACTTGAACCTGGGAAGTGGAGGTTGCAGTGAGCTGTGATTGAGCCACTTGTACTCCAGCCTGCCTGGGTGACAGAGCAAGACTCTGTCAAAAAAAAAAAAAGAATGTTCTTATGATATTTGTTGCTTAAAATTCATGAAACACTGCACAAAGATTATAAATAGAGGCTAAACTTTGGATATAACCTTAGGCTTAATGATTTTAATTTATCTGACTTCCTGAGCAACTGGAAGATCTCACAATGACCCAATAGTTATCTATTTATTTGCCTAAAAATGTTCCTACTCTTAAAAAAACCTTAATTCACATTTACTCATTTTTTATTACTCATCTGATCTCTGTAAGCATTAAAATTTGAGATTCCCATTCTATATGATTCAGTGCTATTCAATAGAACTTTCTCCAGTAATGGAAGTGATTGATATTTTACTGTCCCAAATGTGGTCACTTGCCACATGTTGCTGTGGAGCACCTAAAATGTGATTAAGGTGACTGCAAAATTAAGTGTTTTATTATATTTAATTTTAATTAATTAACATTTAAATTTGAGTGGCTACATGTGGTTAGTGGTTCTTATTGGACAATACTGAAACAAACCACACTACTTGGAATATGTGATTAATGTTAGAGTTTGCTTAGGTCTTTGGTCTTATTTTTTACTATGTTCTTCTATGTCGTACATAACTCACTGGTCATAGTGAACCACCTGAAATGTCCCAAATGCATCACAGTTTTATACTTCCTCCTAGCTCATGTTTTTCTCTTCCATCAATTAATGAAATTCACTTAGGCTTTAATACTCATTTAAAAATAACTTCTCTATAAAGACTAAATTGATATTTGTCATTGTCTTGATCTTTACAAGTAGCTGTTACTCCTTTTTGTCATTTACACCATCAGGTACTTAACACAGAATTGTCTCAAATCAACTATGACATTCCATTGTGTTTGTTTTTTCATATGTCTCTCTCTTATTAAAAGAGAGTGCACTTAATACGCTTCTCAAGAATAAAGATAATGCACTATTACCTTTGTAACCTAGCACAGTGGGTACTCTATATGTACTAAATAAGTATATGTGGAATAAACCAACACATAGACAGTTAGGACTCTGATGCAAATCAATTTGAAAACTGGTTACATGATCTTACCAATATCTATTCTAAAAAAAATAACTCCATTAAATAAGAGCCATATTATCAGAGTCTCTAAAACTTTGATAGAGAACAGTATCTCTTTCAGTTTATAGGATATATAAAAATAAAATTTGAAATTAGTTGTGTTGATGCAGAGATATGATCATAGTTTCCTTTAAATTCCACCAGTGTATCTCTATGACTATATATATGAGAGATTATTTGGAGATCATAGTAAAAGTTGAGATTTGGGAAACTGTGAATCTCAAATTCAGTGTTAAATGTTCCTACTACACCTTGCCTCCATGGTAGACCTTGATTATCATATATGGAAACATAAAGGAAAAGGAATATATTAATCTTTGCACATGTATAATTTTTACTTTTTGAAACTTTTATAGGTTTTAGTGAGAGAATATAAGAATAGATAGGTTCAGATATTTCTTAACACTGTTTTGAACAATTGTCATTTTAATCTAAGATTTCCAAAATTTCTTATCATTTGATTGCCTTTTTACCCCTCATTGTTTTTTGTATGTAATTATTGATTAAAAAACCTGGTTGTTTGCTAAAAGAAATTCATTTTCCCATAATGTTGCATGGAATATAGAGCTATGAATCATAAAGACACATAATTTATGTATTTGGAGGAATGCATTACTGCATGTTTTCACTTGTATTAAATTATACCCCGAAGATAACTGTAAATATTATTCAAGCTGCTTTTTTCTGGTTGACATGAAAACACAAAATTCCTTGATTTATAGTGTGGATGAAGATTAGCATTCAGAAGTAATTTTTATTCTTAAGAAAAAAATAGCTTGCAGAAAGTAATTCATTTGTTTTAAGAGAATTTCCATCTATGAACATAAGAAATTGCAATAGCCATAAAACAGCTCTGCCAGACACTTAATTAAGTTTACTGTTATGGAAATTAATTTCTTTAGGGCCTAATTATTCTCACATTCATGCATTTAAAGCAAAATCTGTTGACAGCTACATATTCTACATGGCATGGTTAACATTATCAATGAGGATAATATTCATTAATCACTCAAGATTATTAAATCTGATTTTGTATCTGTTTCCTCACTCTCTTTTAACCACTGCAAATATGTGTACATTGGTTTTACAAGGCTAATGAGGTACAGCTACTCTGATAAAGCAGAAATTTTCTAGGTAAATTCTTTATGGGAGGGGGCAGGACTTGGGCATTTGTTATTGTTATAACAAATGCCTAAAATATTGGGTATTGAATTTGGGACTAAATGGTGGTAGCCAAGAAAACAGATTCTTTAAAAGGCTCACAAATGGAAGGGATAATAATACAGGAAGCTAGAAAAATGGCAAACTATGCTACCCACTTATAATAAAAATTTACTGCTATAAATTGGAAGATAGTAAATGGACTCAATGAACTTACAGATTTGGGAAGATGACTTCCAGGCAAAATGTTGAAGCAAGAACTAATGGCTTTATGCAGCTTATGATTAGTTACTACAAGAAAGATGGTCTTTTGTGTTAATCAGACCTGAATATGAATCATAGTTTCACTGCTTCACAGGTGAGGCACTATGAGCAAGTTTTCCTCTCTGAGACTTGGTTTGTAAAATTATGCTTAAAATAAAGAAAATAATAACCCCCATCCCAGAGAATTATTGTTCGGCTTTCACATTTAGATAGGTGTGCCTAGCACCTGAAATATCATAATTCATTAATAGTCCCAAAAGCCACAGTATGTTAAATGAATGAATATACTTCAATATGATCGCATGTAGCCTTTACAGTGAAATAGAATAGAAGAATCTATTAAGCCCCACCAAAACCTCCACAAACTACAATGTACTGTCCATGAGGGCAGAAACATGTTCTGCCTTGTTTATTGCTCTATCCCAGGCTCAAAATGATGTACATAATAGACACTCAATACACATATAAACATTGGGTAAGTGAATCAGAGAAAATTTTAATTTCTAGAATTAGAAAAAAGGGGACTGGTGGGACCATCTTTTTGCTTGAAGATGGCTCACGTAATTGCATTTGCCTACGTTGAGTTAATTGCAGAGACTGTGGCCACCTGAAAGAGACATGTTTTCTAAAAGAGTCACTACTACTCACCTCCAACACTCTGGCACTGTTTTAAAATAACAAACAAAAAAAAATCTGAATTTTTATAGACAATCTACCAACTTAAAATATTTGCTTAAAATTCTTGGGGTACACTTGAAAGTCTAAACAAAACATAACACTGGGAACATATGCCACATAGTCCATCAGTTTGCAATGTCTGAACTTTGCCTTTGACTTTATATTACAATCATTTTTATATTCTCAGCATGGCGTATATACTATTACAAGTGTGCATATTTTGTGTCTTAGAGTCTGCACTTGAAAAATGAGAAAGCAACAACTCCTTCCTACAATTGTTAGGAAGATCTGGTGAAATAGTGACTTCAGAGGGAAAGGTTTTTATAAATGATAAAGTGCTCCACAGTAGTCATTGATCATTGGTATTCTTCCACAGCACTTTTAGTTGGCCCTTATGGTTCACCAAGGCTACTAACACTTATCTCTAAGTAATTAATGTGGTGTTTTTGTACTTTCTCATTTATATAATACTTTACATTTATTGTCTTTCCATGAGCCAGAGGCTTACCAGCATATAACAACTTCTGTTTGCATGACAAAAGAACAAAGCAAGTACTTCTCAAAAGTCCTTTTAAGAAGTGAAAGCAAATAAAGCACTTATTGGGGGTTTACTTAGCAAAGCTTCTAGTTGCATTTCGACAGTTTAGGTGCTGGCTCAGGGTGTCTATACATGGGTGAGAGTGACGGCTGAAATCCTACCTTTAATCTGCCTTTATCTGCCCACGGGGTATCTTTTTTTTCTCTAATTCACCTGCCTAAAATGAACTCCTTTTGATTTCCCACCAAAGCTCCCTTCACAAGGCCTTGTGCCAGTACTGAAAGTGATACTACTACTGCTCATAAAAGCAACTTATGGCTCTATTAAAAAGAAAAAAGATGAATATTTTAGGTAAGTCTAGACCAAATTAGGGTATTATGTTATTATTAAAATAAATTAAAATTTAATTCTGAGACAACTGGGTCTCAGCATTCTTCATTTACTTGAATTAGAAAAAAAAAATCTGTAAAAGCTTATAAGATGATCTGAAAAGCTATGTTCTCTGAAACTGGGCAATACAAGAGCAGAGGGTTTGTTGCCAGTAAAGTTAGTGATTAATGTCAGAGAAAACGGTCTTTGCCTATATGAAAAGAGATTTCATTTACATAGAAGGAAATCTGCAAGTTAAAGATTTAAAAATACAAAACCCATGTTTAAAAAAAACCTTGCAATACCCATGTGCCTGTTCTGAGTAAGGCTTTCCTGGAGCCAGGAGGCCATATTTAAATTTCAGTTCTTCAGAAATAGCTGTAATTTTGTGAAAACAACCTCTTCTGTTTATTAATACTACCTTTATTTATACTGCATGTGTTTTTCCTGGATGATTACTCAAATTTTTTGAAGCGACTCAGTGAATGAATGCATAAGAAAATATTTATTGCTGATCACATGCACTCACTTCAGGGAATTTGCATTTCATAGAAGCATGTGTTCCAGATGTGTTTTATAAATTGCTTCTCTTAGAAATATTGGTAGGGAAACAAATCTCAGACCCTTAAGTCACCACCTCAGGACTCCACGTCGTGACTGAGGGCGATGGTACTGGTCTTAGGAGGCAGAAGCTCTTTTGAATTCTGCGTAAGTTCTAGCCTCAGACACAAAGGAGAGCCAAAGGTGGTCAGATGTGAGTAAGTGAGTGGGCAAGACGTGTTCTGAGGATCCAAAATTCTGGGTCAAAGCATAGCATGGCATCTTCCACAAACTATTTCTTAAAAAGTAATGAAAAAAAAATATGGCATGGACAAACTTAGAATACATTGCTATGTATTACCATGAAGAAAACAAAGGCTGATCAAAATTATTTACAATTTCCTAATGCTCCCTCACTTGAAATCCATGGCCGTTCACATCCTCTGGTTGGCACTGGTTCCCTTGCTAAGTAGACCCCAAATGAAAGGCCCAATTTATATCAAAAGTAATAGCAAAAACCACAATTATTTTTGCACCAACCTAATCTAATACAAAATGAAGTAGGCATGTATAAGGCCCTCCAGTTCAGAAGGACTGCTTCTGTCCCAAAGGCCATAATTAACCTAAACTACTAATAGCCATTTTTATTAGTTTCTAAAATAGAACAAGTTAGACTTAATTTTTGATTTTTTTTTCACAACATGGTTTGGTTTAGTGTTAGATTGAAAGGTAGAGTTAAATGGACATGATGCATTGTTTTGGAGTAATATTTATTTTTGTAACCAGTTTTTACTGAGGGAGCCACAGAATGACTGTGTGGTTTAAGATTGCATATGAAGCACAATGTGTCCATGAAAAAAATGTTATAGAAATGTTCTTTCTTTGCCATTTTATTCAATTTCTCCAAAAGCAGGCACTTCACTGAGGTAAGAGGGTTCACTTACTCATACTTCTCTCTTTAAAGTCTCCTGTGTTATATTTTTCAAAGTATATCTGTGGCAAATTACCTTCCATTCCTGCACAACATCTAGAATTTCTGCCACCTCCTCACTTTCTAATCCAGCCCTTAGATCTGAGACTTTGATTCAATCCTTTCCATTTGGATACAGAGAGACAGTGCGGTGTTGGGGAAGAAGTGTTTGTCTTTGCAGTCTTTATTAGTTTTCTATTCCCCCATAAATTTAGTACCTTGAAACAACACAAATTTATTATCTTACAGCCCTAGAGGTCAGAAATCTGTCACTGGTCTAAAATGAAGGTGTGGGCAGGGCTGCATTCCTTTCTGGAGACTAAAGTGGAATCTGTCTTCTTGCCTTTTCCAGCTTCTATAGGCTATCCACATTCTGTGGCTCATAGCCCTCGTACTTCTTCAAAGCCAGTGACAGCTGATGTCATCTTTCTCACTGCACATTGCTGTGACACTGATTCTTGTGCCCCTTTCTTCTACACTAAAGAACCCTTGTGATTACATTGAGTCCACCTAGATATGCTTCCTGTTTTGAGGTCAGCTAATTAGCAACCTTAATTTCATCTGCTACCTTATTTCCTCTTTTCTATGTATGTAATATATTCACAGTTTCCAGGGATTAGAGCATAGGCATCTTTAGGGAGACCATTTGTGTGCCTACCACAGAGTCTGATCCAGATTTGAATCCTTATTTATCTGATACTTGGATAAATCACATTATCTATTGAAGACATAGTTTTCTGATTAGAAAAATTAGAACATTCGTGCCTTGTAGTAATAGTAACTACCACATATTAAATGTGTTCCTGGCATTGTGCACAGTTAGAAGGAATTCAAGTATTTCAAGTATATATGCACTGAGAGTGCTTCTCTATTTATTTCATCATATTTCCCTCCCTCTTTATCTCAGAGCTGGAGGAGGCAGTGATCATTGGTAAATGTGTTTGTCCTCTACAGATTTCAAACATTTCTTGAGTGGGCTATTCTAACACCTAAAGTGGGAATAGGAATGGATATGACAAACAGACAGTATTATCAAATCCAACTGGTCATTCACCTAAGCCACATCTTCCAGTCTAGGTTTTATTGACAATAAATCTGACATATATGTTCCATCACTTTATTTTCTTTTTTTTATTATTATACTTTAAGTTCTGGGTACATGTTCAGAATGTGTAGGTTTGTTACATAGGCATACATGTGCCATGGTGGTTTGCCGCACCCATCAACCTGTCATCTACATTAGGTATTTCTCCTAATACGACCTCTCCCCTAGATCCCCACCTGCCAACAGGCCCTGGTGTGTGATGTTCCCCTCCCCATATCCATGTGTTCTCATTGTTCAACTTCCACTTATGAGTGGAAACATGCAGTGTTTGGTTTTCTGTTCCTGTGTTAGTTTGCTGAGAATGATGGTTTCCAGCTTCATCCATGTCCCTGCAAAGGACATGAACTCATCCTTTTTATGGCTGCATAGTATTCCATAGTGTATATGTGCCACATTTTCTTTATCGAGTCTATTATTGATGGGCATTTGGGTTGGTTCCAAGTCGTTGCTATTGTGAATAGTACTGCCATAAACATACATGTTCATGTGTCTTTATAGTAGAATGATTTATAATCCTTTGAGTATATACCCAGTAATGGGATTGCTGGGTCAAATGGTATTTCTGGTTCTAGATCCTTGAGGAATTGCCACACTGTCTTCCACAATGGTTGAACTAATTTACACTCCCACCAACAGTGTAAGAGCATTCCTATTTCTCCACATCCTCTGCAGCATCTGTTGTTTCCTAACTTTTTAATGATCACCACTCTAACTGGCATGAGATGGTATCTCATTGTGGTTTTGATTTGCTTTTTTTTCTACTGATGAGTGATGATGAGATTTTTTTCATATGTTTGTTAGCTGCATAAGTGTCTTCTTTTGAGAAATGTCTGTTCATATCCTTTGCCCACTTTTTGATGGGGCTGTTTTTTTTTCTTGTAAATTTGTGTAAGTTCTTTGTAGATTCTGGATATTAGTCCTTTTTCAGCTGGTAGATTGCAAAAATTTTCTCCCATTCTGTAGGTTGCCTGTTCACTCTGCTGATAGTTTCCTTTGCTGTGCAGAAGCTCTTTAGTTTAATTAGATCCCATCTGTCTATTTTGACTTTTGTTGCCATTGCTTTTGGTGTTTTAGTCATGAAGTCTTTGCCCATGCCTATGTCCTGAATGGTATTCCCTAGATTTTCTTCTAGGATTTTTATGGTTTTAGGTCTTACATTTAAATCTTTAATCCATCTTCAGTTAATTTTCGTATAAGGTGTAAGGAAGGGGTCCAGTTTCAGTTTTCTGCATATGGCTAGCCAGTTTTCTCAACATAATTTATTAAATAGGGAATCCTTTCCCCATTGCTTATTTTTGTCAGGTTTGTCAAAGACCAGATGGTTGTAGACATGTGTTGCTATTTCTGAGGCCCCTGTTCTGTTCCATTGCTCTATTTATCTGTTTTGGTACCAGCACCATGCTGTTTTGGTTACTGTAGCCTTGTAGTATAGTTTGAAGTCAGGTAGTGTGATGCCTTCAGCTTTGTTCTTTTTGCTTAGAATTATCTTGGCTATGTGGGCTCTTTTTAAAGAGTTTTGAAGTCGTTTTTTTTCAACTCTGTGAAGAAAGTCAGTGGTAGCTTGATGAAGATAGCATTTAATCTATAAATGACTTTGGGCAGTATGGCCATTTTCATGATATTTATTCTTCCTATCCATGAGCATGGAATGTTTTCCCATTTATTTATGACGTCTCTTATTTCCTTGAGCAGTGGTCTATATTCAAGATGAGTTGAATTTGTGATCTCCTAAAACTTTAACACTCCTTCTGTACAGAAATTCTGGATTCACTCTCTAGTCTCCAGCTGGAACTCAAATACAAGCCTGAGACCAAAGGCTTTATTCTTAACTGTTAATAATCTTCACCTTAATGCTAAAATTATCTTAAGGTGTAAATCATGTTATAAGCCAGTGTCTCACAAATACTAAATGTTCTGTAACTGTGAATTCCTTCACACTGCCCTATGAATGAGGGGAAAATCAAATAAACTAGAGATTTTAACCAATTATACAAGGTAATTGTTAAATTAATTAGCTTCCAATGTATAGGGCAAAATAATGTTTAGTTTAATAGGTGATTTGTTTGTTCATTTTATCATTGGTTCCTTCCTTCATATGTATATTAATTTTTATTTTTGAGAAAATATGAGGTAAAATGGATAAGACTGAATTTGATTTTGAGCATGGTGTTCATGTTTTAAAATGAACAACATAGAATGTAATTCAACTGTGCCCTGTATCTCTCAAAACTCGTGTTTCCTTCTTTTTTCCCCTGATACAGAATAACACAATCAAAAGAGATGAAACTGCCTGAAATCTATAATAAAAAATTTTTAGTACCCCAACTTGGTAGTCATGATTTTTACTGTATTGTTCCCAATACAAATTCATCCTTATATCTTATAACAATAACATATTTTGACAAGACCCTAACAGACAACATCTAATTATTACACTCCCTATGGTAATAAGTGGGCAAGGTTAAAATAAAATTGTATCAGTTTTTAAAAAATATTTTTTAGTGGACAAGATAAATCTCCAGTATTATTAGACTTTCTTGGAAAAGCTAGCTACTAACACTTAGGAACTAATGATACATTTTCTCTCTTGAAGCTGGTGGTAAATTTTACAGATCAGTAGATATTTTTCAGAACATCATATGCAGGGCGAGATCAGCCTTCTGCGGAGGGATTAATCAGCATACCTATTGGCGTTTTTGAGAAAAAACAGTGACAGATGTTGTATCATTTACCCTTTTGTTGTTGGGCAGATTTATATAGGCATTGCACTACCACGTAGCTAATGTTAAAACCAGAATTGCCACATGCAGAAATATACACTGTTAGTTTAAGAAGTGTGAATACCTGCTGTATCATCTTATGCTGTAATAGCTAAGTATAATGTGGAAATTTTACCCTTTTGGAAAAATAACTTGAAAAGCCAGTCCTGGTTTGATTTTCTCAAATGAAATTTTTCTAGGCTCTTTCATACATAGGTTCCTTTGATATTTGCTCAAGGGTACTATCATTTTTGATGTAGGATTGTGTACTGATGAAGGGTTTAGGCTCTGAAGTCAGAAAATCTGAGCTTGAGTCTTAGTTGCATCCATACTAGATGCAAAGTCTTGGGGAAGTCATTCAACTTCTGTAAAATTCAGAATATTTACTGTAAGTAATGTGTATCAACCTCAGACAGTTTCCATAAATTTTGTGTGAGAAAAGTCATTTTAATTTCTTAACATAATATGTGGCATATGGTAATACTTATTAGCTATTATTATTACATCTTATTTGTTGGGATTTGAACAGAAACTGCACATTCAAAGTATTGAATTTAAAGGATTAATAAAGAGACTATAAGTTTGTGGCCAAACGATAAAGAAACCAGGTTAGCTGGGCATGGTGGAGTGTGCCTG